>NT_187651.1:793112-1144418 GCF_000001405.40 Homo sapiens
TAGTGCTATAATTAAAAATGAACATTTTTTTTAAATTTTATTATTATTATATTTCAAGTTTTAGGGTACATGTGCACAATGTGCAGGTTAGTTACATATGTATACATGTGCCATGCTGGTGTGCTGCACCCATTAACTCGTCATTTAGCATTAGATATATCTCCTAATGCTTTCCCTCCCCCCTTCCCCCACCCCACAACAGTCCCCAGCGTGTGGTGTTCCCCTTCCTGTGTCCATGTGTTCTCATTGTTCAATTCCCACCTATGAGTGAGAACATGCGGTCTTAGGGTTTTTGTCCTTGCGATAGTTTACTGAGAATGATGATTTCCAATTTCATCCATGTCCCTACAAAGGACATGAACTCATCATTTTTTATGGCTGCACAGTATTCCATGGTGCATATGTGCCACATTTTCTTAATCCAGTCTATCATTGTTGGACATTTGGGTCAGTTCCAAGTCTTTGCTATTGTGAATAGTGCCGCAATAAACATACGTGTGCATGTGTCTTTATAGCAGCATGATTTATAGTCCTTTGGGTATATACCCAGTAATGGGATGGCTGGGTCAAATGGTATTTCTAGTTCTAGATCCCTGAGGAATCGCCACACTGACTTCCACAATGGTTGAACTAGTTTACAGTCCCACCAACAGTGGAAAAGTGTTCCTATTTCTCCACATCTTCTGCAGCACCTGTTGTTTCCTGACGTTTTAATGATTGCCATTCTAACTGGTGTGAGATGGTATCTCACTGTGGTTTTGATTTGTCCTCTCTCACCACTCCTATTCAACATAGTGTTGGAAGTTCTGGCCAGGGCAATTAGGCAGGAGAAGGAAAGAAAGGGTATTCAATTAGGAAAAGAGGAAGTCAAATTGTCCCTGTTTGCAGATGACACGATTGTATATCTAGAAAACCCCATTGTCTCAGCCCAAAATCTCCTTAAGCTGATGAGCAACTTCAGCAAAGTCTCAGGTTACAAAATCAATGTACAAAAATCACACGCATTTGTATACACCAATAACAGACAGTCAGAGAGCCAAATCATGAGTGAACTCCCATTCACAATTGCTTCAAAGAGAATAAAATACCTAGGAATCCAACTTACAAGGGATGGGAAGGACCTCTTCAAGAAGAACTACAAACCACTGCTCAATGAAATAAAAGAGGATACAAAGAAATAGAAGAACATTCCATGCTCATGGGTAGGAAGAATCAATATCGTGAAAATGGCCATACTGCCCAAGGTAATTTATAGATTCAATGCCATCCCCATCAAGCTACCAATGACTTTCTTCACAGAATTGGAAATAACTACTTTAAAGTTCGTATGGAACCAAAAAAGAGCCCGCGTTGCCAAGTCAATCCTAAGCCAAACGAACAAAGCTGGAGGCATCACGCTACCTGACTTCAAACTATACTACAAGGCTACAGTAACCAAAACAGCACGGTACTGGTACCAAAACAGAGATATAGATCAATGGAACAGAACAGAGCCCTCAGAAATAACGCCGCATATCTACAACTATCTCATCTTTGACAAACCTGAGAAAAATAAGCAATGGGGAAAGGATTCCCTATTTAATAAATGGTGCTGGGAAAACTGGCTAGCCATATGGAGAAAGCTGAAACTGGATCCCTTCCTTACACCTTATACAAAAATTAATTCAAGATGGATTAAAGACTTAAACGTTAGACCTAAAACCATAAAAACCCTAGAAGAAAACCTACGCATTACCATTCAGGACACAGGCGTGGGCAAGGACTTCATGTCTAAAACACCAAAAGCAATGGCAACAAAAGCCAAAATTGACAAATGGGATCTAATTAAACTAAAGAGCTTCTGCACAGCAAAAGAAACTACCATCACAGTGAACAGGCAGCCTACAGAATGGGAGAAAATTTTCACAATCTACTCATCTGACAAAGGGCTAATATCCAGAATCTACAATGAACTCAAACAAATTTACAAGAAAAAAACAAACAACCCCATCAAAAAGTGGGCGAAGGACATGAACAGACACTTCTCAAAAGAAGATATTTATGCAGCCAAAAAACACATGAAGAAATGCTCACCATCACTGGCCATCAGAGAAAAATGAACATTTCAAAGATGTGCTTCCAAATGCCAAATCATCACTAAAAAGCTCTGTGGCATAGAGGAAATTTCACAACCTTTTAGTGCCTCAATTTTGTGGAAGAATGGTTAGGAGGCTATTGCAATAACAAAAGAAAATTTGAATAGCTGTATCCAACATGAAAAGATTGCTAGTAGAATTAAATGAGTTACTATAGGTAAAACAATCAGGGAAGTAATTAAAGAGAATCTGCACTAACATTGTTTTATTAATTTAAAATATCTGTACACAATCCTTTGACTCATTTGGAATTAGTTTTAGTGTATTTTAGAAAATAAGGTTTATTTTTTATTTTCTCCCAAAACAATTCTTCAAGACAACTTTTCGAACAGTAAATTCCTTCTTTGTTTATAATATGTATTTTAATAAAGTCACTTATCTTCATGATTTCTAGGACATCGGTTCTATCTAATCTATTGTTCAGCATTCGTCTGAGTATTTTCTGAGCAGCAATTAACCCCTCTGTACCTCTGAGTGCCCACATTTCCTTGATCCATTTCACCTTGCTGATCAATCCTTCTTTACTCATAGTCTAAATTTTTTTTTTAGAACTTCTGAGAGTGCCTCAAACCTTGGTCTTGGGTCTTCCTTCAATCTTATTTGTCTTTCCACCTGATCTTAATTATTTACATCACATTATACCCTATCTTTATGGTGACAAATCTCAAAATTATCTCTCTGACCTAAACTTATCATTAAAGATTTGGTTGCAACTTATTAAGAAGTCAGGTTCAATGTAATACATGCATTGTTGATTTAATATGCTCATCAAAATACTTAAAATTTTATTTGAATGCAAAAAAATAAAGCTTTTAATTTTATCTCCTATTTAATAATTTTGACAAAAACATTATACCAATCATTACTAATTATTGCTGGCTTTTAAAATATTATCTGATTAAATATTTTTGACTTGGAAAAATGGTAACAAATGCTTCTCTCTTTCTTGTCCCCTTGAACCATACTTGATATATTGCTTTTTCCAAATCCGGGCCACAAGTTCAGAATATAGCCTGTTAAAATATCTTCTATGTATAAACTATCTTTAAATTTTCTTGAGAGAATACTGAGTAACCAAAAGCATTGCTCCTTCACCCTACAAAAGAGAGAAAAATTAAAAAATCACATTAATTTGTAATTTTAAATGGTAATTAAAGCTATTGTGAGGGCTCTTTTATCGGCCAAACTTGTGAACAAAAAACAGCTCAAATTTATGTGTAAATAAAATATATTGAGATGAAGCCTTTCATTCAATGTGTGATTTTCAGTTCAAAAAAACACACTGATGTTCAAGAACAAAGACTGGTACAATAACTATCTACAAAATGCTTTTGTTACTAGATTTTAATTCCTTCATCAAACAGACACAGTCAAAGTTGATAGTGTCACTAGATCTAGAGGTCTATCAATATCCTTCCCACCATTTAATATGTTCTTAATCTCAGGGAAATTCTAAATCATATTCTTCTAAATTGTACAGTTGACTCCTGAAAAACACAAGGTTTAGGGCCATCAAACCTCCCTAACCCCTCCCCACCACCCCAGCACAGTCAAAAATTCACATATAACTTTGGACTCCCCAAAACTAAACTAACAGCCTACTGTTGACTGGACAATCCTTAACACATATTTCATACGCTGTATGTATTTTACACCGTAGTTTTACAATGAAGCTAGTTACAGAAAAGAAAGTGTTATTAAGAAAATTATAGGGAAGAAAAAATACGTTTACAGTACTACAGTATATTTATTTCTCTCATAAGTTTACAATCCTGTGTTTACAAGATGGATCCTTCTTCTGAAATGGCAGCACACACAGCTGCAGGCCTCAATCTAGGGTACCTATCAAGCAATTCATTGTTTTCCTGTAATGTCAGGACCCTTCTCTGTTTCCTGGAAGAACTTTCAGCATCACTAGCAGCACTTTTTATAGGTCTGAAGGTGTTATTCAAGGTTTATGGTATTGCACTAGACATCATGAATAATACAGGAGAAACATGAGAGAACACTTTTTACTGTGTTAATTTACTGGAGAGACAAGCTACTCACAAGAAGATGATTAGCATTATGTGGCATTTTAAGTGAATACTCACAACACTTGAGTTCACTGCAAGAACAACAGGTGGAGGCTAGGAAATTATCCCAGTAGTACAGTATGTACTACAGTTAATTTTGTGCAGTTATGATTTACTTTTGTATATTTTTGTTTTACTTTTCTCTAAACTTCAATTGGCTGCATGTATGCTCTGTGTTTGCCTACGTCTTGATAAATTTTAACTTTTTATAATAGACGCATATATATCTCATTGTATTAAATGATCACTAGTATCTACATATGATTTATGCATTCATGACATCGTTTTCTTAGTTTTTTAATATTTCTTGTGTAGATGGGTCACCTGTTATCTTTTTCAATTTTTCATAAATCTCCAAAAATTTTCTAATATATTTATAGGAAAAAATCTACATATGAGCAGACCTGCACAGTTCAAACCTGTGTTGTTGAGGAGTCAACTATATATTATAATTTAAGAGAGGATTCAACTCTTTCATTCTACTGGCAATGGGTTAACATAAACTTTAGTCAGAACTGCTGAGCTTTTCTGGCACAATGAGGACAAATTGACCAATGTATTTAACCAATAGCTGGAGGAAAATTTTGCTAAAATTGGTAAGTATATCTTTATATAACTATATCCTTACAACCTGTCTCAACCTTCGTCAGATTAATCCTAACAAAACTGTAAAATGTCTCAGTAAAAATCTAAATGAATTTTTCATAACAAGTGCTGGCAATAGATTTTAAATATGTTCTGATCATTATTTGTCTCTTGTTGGCATGGAGAAAATCCTTTTTTTTTTTTTCAGCCTGGGGAATCCCAAACTATATCTCTAGTAACAAGGAAACCATTTTACCGGAATTTTTATTAACATGGAAAAGTTCTGTCAATTAATCAGACTTCACTGTCCATATCACTTTCAACCTTTTGGGAAGGTAGAAAGATGGAATTCTGAAACTAAAGTTGGTAAAGTTCACAGACATCGTCAAACTTGCATGGTCTAAGGTATTTCTTCTTTCTGTGGTTCATGAGTTAGTAACAGCTAAACCAAGTGTCTAGGAATATTAGCTCTGATTCTAGAAATCTACACTTATTTAACTAAATGCTGTAAGGACTCAGGAAATCCATTCTTTCAACAAAAGTTACTGAAGACTTTCCCCATTAGTATCCTAAACAATGTCTGCAAAATTGGTTTTCATACCTGGATACCTTGTCTTCTAAGAGACACGGCAGGGAAAGATCATAGGAAAAAAGTCACTATCAGGCACAGCTAACAACTAGCAAACCCATAGTCTTTAAAAGACTGATCCTTTGATTCCTATCTCTCAAGTAAAGAGGTTTAGGTCATCTTCATATTACAGGAAAGTATCCCTACCAAAAACTTCTAACTAATGACTCTTAGGATTCTTCCAAAAGCAAATAGTCTTTGGGAGAAGACAGCTTCCATCAAATGCCTTTGGATCAAGTGAATCACTATATGAGATATCGGTATCTGCAAACCAAGATCCACAAAAAAAGATCCATTGTTTGTCATATTTAATCTGTATATCTTGAGTTTTCATTTTCCTAGTTAACTTTATCTTTTTATGCTTAAGGTTACATTTAATTACTTTACCTATAAAGCTACTATTCCTAATTCCTCTATGCCGTCCTTAGTCACTCTCTAGAAGAGTCCGGAAGCTGGCCGTAATTTGTTCACAATTTGGCTAAACATGCAGTTGAATCAGTGCTAAGCTGCACACATTTTCCTTAGGATGCCAATTAGAGTTTTTTTTTTTAACATCGATTCCTAAATATGAAACATCTGGGTTTATCAATAATTGGACTCACTATTTATTGTTATTTTATCTGACAAACAGCAGAGTATTAGATAAATAGAAATCTTAAATCCTAACATGCTGCACCCAGGAAAGAAAGCTTATGCCTACAGCAGAACAGCACTTAGGGATCTTTAATAGAATGCAACTTCTGTCACTAAACCTTTAGAAAGAAATGTCTTAAAAAGAAGAGAACAAATGGCACATACTTAATTCATTTCTCACATTTACATATCATAAAAAATTCTTATTACATATTCAAGCTCCTATCACATCTACCTCTTCCTCTATGTGATAAGGTCTTCATTTTATATCCCCAAAAGTGATTAATAGCAGAATGGAGCTGAAAGCAATCAATAAACTCAATCAACCTTAATGACTGCTACTGGATTTGTGGTACCAGAACCTATTGATTATTACAGCAATCTTGACATAAACTAACATACTGATGTGGTAGTCAGAATAATGGCTCTTCAGAGATGATGCGGTCCTAATCCAGATAATTTATAAATTTGTTAGCTTACCTGGCAGGACAGACTTTGCAAATGCAATTAGAGTTAAGGATTTTGAAATGGAGAGACTATCATAGATTTTTAGATGGCCAAATGCAATCATAAGATTCTTTACACGTAGAAGAGGGAGATATAAAAGGAGAATGTGAAGACTTGCTCCTTCATTTGTAGCTTTGAAGGTCAAGGAAAGGAACTGTTATGAACTGAATATTTGTGTCTCCCTAAAATTAATCTATTGAAGATGATTGGCATTGTTCAAATATTAATAGATTATTTTCAATGATCTATTAATTGGCAGTGTGATAGTATCTGGAGATGGAGCTTTTGGGAGGAACCTAGGTTGAGATAATGTCCTAAGTGTGGTGTTCTCATGATAATGTTAGTGTTCTTATAAGAAAAGGTGGAGATACTAGACCACCTCCCACCCAACCACCCTTCTCTTTCTCTCTCCGTAAACATGTATCCAGGAAAGGCCATGTGAACACAGAGAGAAGGAGGCCATCTACTAACCAGAGAGGGAGTGGGCCCTCACCATGAACCAAATATACCAGCACCTTAATCTTGGACTTCCCAACTTTCAGAACTCTGAGAAATAAATGTCAGTTGTTTAAGTCACCCGGTCTATGGTATTTTCTTACAGTATTCCAAGCTGCCCAAGACAGGGAACATGCATCAAAGAATGCAGCTGGATTCTAAAGCCTGGGAAAGGCCAGGTCATGGATTATTCCACAGAGCCTATAGAAGGAATGCAGTCTTCCAATGCTTTGATTTTAAATCAGTAAGACCTGTGTTGAACTTCTAACCTGGAATACTGCTAGACAATAAATTTATGTTGTTTTAAACTACTAAGTGTATTGTGATTTTTATAACAGCCACAGGAAAATAATACATTTGGCAAATCAGTGCATGTTTCATGATGGTCAATGATATGCCCCAGGGTCCATCTTAGCCATGATTTCTATCCCTTCAAAAACCAAAACAAAATAAAAAAGTAAAACAAAAAGACCAATTTTACTATACTACTTGATTTTTAACAATATTTTATATGTATTTAATCCAGTATATCCAAAATATTGTCATCTCAGCATAAAACAATATTAAAATTATTCAGTTTTACATTTTTTAAACTAAATCTAGTTTGTATTTTACATATAGCATAAATCAATTCAAATCCACCATATTTCAAGTGTTCAATATCTACATGTCACTAGTAATGACTATAGTGGACAGAATTGATCCAGATTTCCAGGTGTATTGCTATAAAACTAACCATATTTTTATCTTATTAAAACAAAACAAAACTCCTCCATAACTATGTCTATGTTCCTTTTGCTTTTATTAACATTGAACATATTCTTGTTTTTAATCTAATTTTGTCTGTATTTAGGTCTATTTTTTGGTGGTGTTATTTCTTGTATGCTTGGCATCAACTTTTTTTTCAATTTCTTAGACTATCTAAACTATTATGCTCTGAGTTTAGCTCAATTTCAATCAGCTACTCACTTTGAAAGACTCATTTAACTCTCTTAAGCCATTCTCCACAAACATGAAAAATCTTCCTCTCACTCTTCCCTGCTGAAACACTGCAAAAGTATGTCAAAATGGTGTACTTTCTTGGCACAGGGTTTCAATAAACTTAGTTTTGCTTTAATAACAAATTATCTGAATATATTTCAGGGAGTTCCACTGGTAAAAGCATAAAATCATGTTAGTTCAGGTCATCTTTTGTAAAGTTATGACAGTGCCATAGTATCAATTCTTGTCAAAATTTATGACTTCAAAATCAACTTAATATGCATCAACATAGATATTTTTTAGTTAATTCTAGACTCCAGGTGCTCATTTAAATAATATGGGTACATAAGACTGAACAAAACCAGTTGCTATTGAATGTACATTTTAGAGAAATACTTCATACACAGCTCTGTTTTGTTAAATAAGGAACTTGATGACATAATCAATATCACGGCAGCATACAACTGTTTGGTTAGTATGTCTCTTTAAACAAGCACATACGCTCATTCATGGAGTGTGTATTTGTATCTGTGTATGGTCTGTGTGGTGAAGCAGCAAGCAACAGTTGGATGTCTTAATTATCTAACAGGAAAAAACACCTAAATAATCAGAAGAAATTTTGATTTATTTATTAGTTCGACTGAGCTTTTCTCTTGAATGTAACACAGATGGTCCCAGATTTACAATGGTACAACTTTACAGCTTCATCATGGTACAAAAGTGATAAACATTCAGTAGAAACAATGCTTTTATTACCCATATACCCATTCCGTTTTTCACATTCAGTATTTAATAATTTACATGTGATATTCAACACTTTATTTAAAAATAGGCTTTAGGTTAGATTTTTTTTTTGGACTGGCTAATGTAAGTGTTCTGAGCACATTTCTTAAGTGTATTTTTTTTTAATACTTTAAGTTCTAGGGCACATGTGCACAACTTGCAGGTTTGTTACATATGTATACATGTGCCATGTTGGTTTGCTGCACCCATTAACTCATTAACTACATTAGGTATTTCTCCTAATGCTATCCCTACCCATCCCCCCACCCCACAATAGGCCCCAGCATGTGATGTTACCCACTCTGTGTCCAAGTGTTCTCGTTGTTCAATTCCCACCTATGAGTGAGAACACACGGTGTTTGGTTCTCCGTCCTTGCGAAGGTTTGCTCAGAATGATGGTTTCCAGCTTCATCCACGTCACTACAAAGGACATGAACTCATCATTTTTTATGCCAGCATAGTATTCCATGGTGTATGTATGCCACATTTTCTTAATCCAGTCTATCATTGATGGACATTTCGGTTGGTTCCAAGTCTTTGCTATTGTGAAGAGTGCCGCAATAAACATACATGTGCATGTGTCTTTATAGCAGCATGATTTATAATGCTTTGGGTATATACCCAGTAATGGGATCACTGGGTCACATGGTATTTCTAGTTCTAGATACTTGAGGAATTGCCACACTGACTTCCACAATGGTTGAACTAGTTTACACTCCCACAAACAGTGTAAAAGCATTCCTATTTCTCCACATCCTCTCCAGCACCTGTTGTTTCCCGACTTTTTAATGATCGCCATTCTAACTGGTGTGAGATGCTATCTCATTGTGGTTTTGATTTGCATTTCTCTGATGACCAGTAATGATGAGCATTTTTTCATGTGTCTGTTGGCTGCATAAATGTCTTCTTTTGAAAAGTGTCTGTTCATATCCTTTGTCCACTTTTTGATGGCTTTGTTTTTTTCTTGTAAATTGGTTTAAGTTCTTTGTAGATTCTGGATATTAGCTATTTGTCAAATGGGTAGATTGGAAAAATTTTCTCCCATTCTGTAGGTTGCCTGTTCGCTCTGATGGTAGTTTCTTTTGCTGTGCAGAAGCTCTTTAGTTTAATTAGACCCCATTTGTCTATTTTGGCTTTTGTTGCCATTGCTTTTGGTGTTTTACACATGAAGTCCTTGCCCATGCCTATGTCCTGAATGGTATTGCCTAGGTTTTCTTCTAGGGTTTTTATGGTTTTAGGTCTAACATTTAAGTCTTTAATCCATCTTGAATTAATTTTTCTATAAGGTGAAGGAAGGGATCCAGTTTCAGCTTTCTACATATGGCTAGCCAGTACCATTTATTAAATAGGGAATCCTTTTCCCATTTCTTGTTTTTGTCAGGTTTGTCAAACATCAGATGGTTGTAAATGTTTAGCGTTATTTCTGAGGCCTCTGTTCCATTCCATTGGTCTATATCTCTGTTTTGGTACCAGTAAAATGCTGTTTTTGTTACTGTAGCCTTGTAGTATAGTTTGAAGTCAGGTAGCGTGATGCCTCCAGCTTTGTTCTTTTTGCTTAGGATTGTCTTGGCAATATGGGCTCTTTTTTTGATTCCATATGAACTTTAGTTTTTTCCAATTCTGTGAAGAAAGTCATTGGTAGCTTGATGGGGATGGCATTGAATCTATAAATTACCTTGGGCAGTATGGCCATTTTCACGATATTGATTCTTCCTACCCATGAGCATGGAATGTTCTTCCATTTGTTTGTGTCCTCTTGTATTTCGTTGAGCAGTGGTTTGTAGTTTTCCTTAAAGAGGTCCTTCACATCCCTTGTAAGTTGGATTCCTAGGTATTTTATTCTCTTTGTAGCAACTGTGAATGGGAGTTCACTCATGATTTGGCTCTCTGATTGTCTGTTATTGGTGTATACAAATGCATGTGATTTTTGCACACTGATTTTGTAACCTGAGACTTTGCTGAAGTTGCTCATCAGCTTAAGGAGATTTTGGGCTGAGATGATGGGGTTTTCTAAATATACAATCATATCACCTGCAAACAGGGACAATTTGACTTCCTCTTTTCCTAATAGAATGCCCTTTATTTCTTTCTCTTGCCTGACTGCCCTGGCCAGAACTTCCAACACTATGTTGAATAGGAGTGGTGAGAGAGGGCATCACTGTCTTCTGCTAGTTTTCAAAGGGAAAGCTTCCAGTTTTTGCCCATTCAGTATGATACTGGCTGCGGGTTTGTCATATATAGCTCTTATTATTTTGAGATATGTTCCATCAATACCTAGTTCATTGAGAGTTTTCAGCATGAAGGGCTATTGAATTTTGTCAAAGACCTTTTCCGCATCTATTGAGATAATCTTGTGGTTTTTGTCTTTGGTTCTCTTTATGTGATGGATTACATCTATTGACTTGCGTATGTTGAACCAGTCTTGCATCCCACGGATGAAGCCAACTTGATCTTGGTGGATAAGCTTTTTGATGTGCTGCTGGACTCGGTTTGCCAGTATTTTTGTTAAATGTACTAAATGCATTTTTTACCTAAAATATTTTCAACTTATGAGTATATCCAGATCCATCATAACACATCTTGGCCTGTGGTTATCAGGATGTAACTCATTATAAGTCGAGGTAGATTTGTATTATATCCCATGTACACACACACACACACACACACACACACACACACACACACACACAGACTTAATCTGTTTACAGAAATAAAAGGAATAAAATACCGTTTCTATTATACACCAAAACTAGCCATCTTGACAGATACTTCACTCTGAAAAATAACGTTTTATAGCTACTTTACAGATTAGTATAATAATTTGGTGTTTCTGTTTCAGAGATTCGATTTCACATTTCAATAAGTAGGCCGCTCCCTCTGCTAAGCCTGGGAATGTAATTCTTTTGAAAAACTATCTGTGCTGTAAAATTACATGTCATATTGGGAAAAGGACAATCGCAAACAGTAGTCACACATAAAATCAAGCAACACAGACATCCTTTTCACATACAGTGAAGACCCTTGTCAATTTTGAGATTACACAGGAAAACAGAATGGGGGACAAGTGTCTCTGACACATAGAAAATCCCGTGAAGAAGAACTCAGCTGACACAATCAAAACATACACAAAACTGAAAGAAACAAGGTGAGTGCTTTTTATATTAGTTCAGCTGTCAAGAAAGTGTAAAATAAACCTAACATTTTTTTACTAAGTGAGGATTTTCTTTTTTGAAACATCATCATTTATATTTATCCAGTTTGCAACTTCATCAGCTGAATCTCAGGATGTGTTCCATGACACTGAAGGACAATTAAATCATATCCATGACAATATATGAGAAGCTGACAGGAGAACATGGTGGCATTTGAATTAATGTCTATCATTAGATAGAATTTCTGATCACATAATTTAAGTTGTAGTTTTCCATACAATTTAATCAAGATAAGCACTTATTAGGTGAGTGATATACTTTGGCTCTGTGTCCCCACACAAATCTCATGTTGAATCGTAATCCCCACGTGTCAGGGGAGGGGTCTGGTAGGAGGTGATTTGATCATGGGGGTGGATTTCCCATACTGTTCTCGTGACAGTCAGTGAGTTCTCACAAGATCTGATGGTTTAAAAGTGTGTGGAACTTCCCCCCGGCTCTTCTCTCTACTGACACCATGTGAAGAAGGCACCTGCTCCCCCTTTACCTTCTGCCATGATTGTTAGTTTCCTGAGGCCTCCCAGTCGTGCTTCCTGTTAAGCTTGCAGAACTGTGAGTCAATTAAACCTCTTTTCCTCATAAATTACCCAGTAGTTCTTTATAGCAGTTTGAGAAGAGATAGATACAGAAAATTGGTACCAGAGAAGTGGGGCATTGCTATAAAAATACCTGAAAATATGGAAGTAACTTTGGAACTGGGTAACAGGCAGAGGTAGGAAACAGTTTGGAGGACTCAGAAGAAGACAGGGAGATATGGGAAAGTTTAAATCTTCCTAGAGACCTGTTGAATGGTTGTGAACAAAATGCTGATAATGATTTGGATAACGAAGTCCAGGCTGAGGGGGTCTCAGATGGAGATGAGGAACTCATTGAGAACTGAAGAAAAAGTTACTCTTGCTATGCTTTAGCAAAGAGACTGACAGCCTTTTGACCCGGCCCTAGAGATCTGTGTAATGTTGAACTTCAGAGAGATGATTTAGGGTATCTGGTGAAACAAATTTCTAAGCAACAGACCTTCCAACATGTGGCCTGGCTGCTTCTAAAAGTTTATGCTCATGTCCATGAAGAAAGAGATGGCTTGAAACTGAAACGTATATTTAAAAGGAAAGCAGAGCATAAAAGTTTGGAAAATTTGCAGCCTAACCATATAGTAAAAAAGAAAAACCCACGCTCTTGGGAGAAATTCAAGCAAAAATTTGCATAAGTAAAGAGGAGCCAAATGTTAATGGCAAAGACAATGTGGAATACGTCTCCAGTACATTTCAGAGACCTTTGAGGCAGCCCCTCCCATTATAAGCCTGGAGGCCTAGGAGGGAGAAATTGTTTAGTGGGATGGGCCCAGGGCCCTGCTGCTCTGGGCAGCCTCGGGACATGGTGCCCAGTGTTCCAGCTGCTCAGCTCCAACTGTGGCTAAAAGGGTCCAAGGCACTACTCAGGCCATTGCTTCAGAGAATACAAGCCTCAAGCTTTGGTGGCTTCCACATGAGGCTGGGCCTGTGGTTGTGCAGAAGGGAAGAGGTGAGGTTTGGGAACCTCCATCTAGATTTCAGAGGATGTATGGAAATGCCTGGATGTCTAAGCAAAAGTCTGCTGCAGAAGTGGAGCCCTTATGGAGAACCTCTACTAGGGCAGTGCAGAGGGAAAATGTGGGGTTGGAGCCCCCACACAGATTCCCCACTGGGGCACTCCCTACTGGAGCTTTGAGAAGAGGGTCATAGTGCTTCAGACCCCAGAATGGTAGATCCACTGACAGCTTGCACAGTGTGCCTGGAAAAGTCACAGGCACTCAATCCTAGCCTGTGAAAGCAGCTGTGGGGGCTGTGCCTTGCAGAGCCACAGAGGCAGAGCTGTCAAAGCTCATGGGAGCCCAGATATTGCATCAGTATGCTCTGGACGTGAGAGATGAGGTCAAAGAAGATTGTTTCAGAGCCTTAAGATTTAATGACTGCCTTGTCGGGTTTTGGACTTGCATGGGGCCTGCAGACCCTTTGTTTTGGCTAATTTCTCCCTTATGGAATTGGAGTGTTTACCTGATCCCTGTACCCCCACTGTTGTCTTGAAATTAACTAACTTGTTTTTGATTTTACAGGCTTATAGGCAGAAGCGATTTGCCTTGTCTCAGATGAAACTTTGGACATGGACTTTTGAGTTAATGCTGGAATAAGTTAAGACTTCCAGTCTGTTGGGAAGGCATGATTGGTTTTGAAATGTGAGAAGGACATGATACTTGGGAGGGGCCAGAGGAGAAATAATATGGCTTGGCCCTCTGTCCCCACCCAAATCTCATCTCAAATTGTAATCCCCTCATGTCAAGAGAGGGGCCTGGGTGGAGGTGACTGGATCATGGGAGCAGATTTCCACATGCTATTCTCATGATAGTGAGTGAGTTCCAAGAGATCTGATGGTTTAAAAGTGTGTGGCACTTCCCTCCTTGTGCTCTCTCTCTCCTGGTGCCATGTCAAGAAGAACCTTGTTTCCCCTTTGCCTTCCACCATGATTTTCTGAGTTTCCTGAGTCCTCCCATTCATGCTTCCTGTAAAGCCTGAAGAACTATGAATCAATTAAATCTCTTTTCTTCATAAATTACTCAGTCTCAAGTCATTCTTTATATCATTGTGAAAACTGACTACTACGGTTAGCAATCTTAAAGAATACTTGTGATTTTGAGAATCAGGCACATATTTTTTTAATAATCGGACTGCTTACAATTGTTTAACTCCTTGCAACTTATAGTTAGTGCCTAAAACTTTGATGACTTTCATTACATTTCAATGGCTCTGTTCCCTTATAGCAAACTACCTTTTTTACTGTACTTACTGTAACTACAGTGCATTTATTTTCAGCCCAAATAGTATTCAGTAATAAGCATTTCTTCCCACATAAGAATAAGTTATATTCCTATTCACTATATTCTAGAATTTCTATTTTCCTTCCACAGTGCCAGCTAAAATTAAAGTGGAATAATCTATTGGGGCCCTGTGTATTTAATGTTTGTTTTCTTAGTATATTATAAACACTGTGAAGGAAGGAAATCCTTGCCTCTTGTTTATACTTTTATCTCCATTATAGAAACACTCTGCATTATTTTCTTACTGCTGCTGTAGCCAATTACTACAAAGTTAGTGGTTTAAAATAGCACAAATATAGTGTCAAACAATTGTGTTTGTCAGATGTCTGCAATGCATCTTATGAGGCTAAAATCAAAGAGTGAGAACTGTTGTGTTCCTTTCTGAAGGTTTTAGGGGAAAATCAGTTTCCTTGACTTTTCCAGCCTCCAGAGGCTGTCCTGATTTGTTAGCTTATGGTCTTTCATTTGTTCAAACCAGAAATGCTGTGTCTCTCTGACCATTCTTTTGAAATCATACCACCTTATGTTTCTAGCCAAGAATGTTTCCCTAGTTTAAACCCATTTGATTACACTGAACTCAAAAGGACACTTTTTCATCTTACCATCCTTAACATTATAATACTTGCAAAGCCCCTTTTACCAGATAGTTAACATATTCACAGCTTCCAGAAATCAGGACATGCGGTTTTTTTTTTGTTGGTTTGTTTGTTTTGTAAACCATTATTTTGCTTACTATACTGTCTTAATTGGAGGAAGCAACTTCTTCGAATAGGTGAATTAATTTCAAATTGATAATGTGATTCTGAATGAACATTAAAGAAATCAACTATTACACCGAACATTACTTTATTGAGCTAAACAAATATTAACTGACTATATAAAATTCATTACACATTTGGAGATAGAATTTTGTACTCTTTAATAAGACTTTTTACATTTTTTGCAATCCTTTTTCTTATTTAAAAAATCAGTACTGTATTAGTACCCACAATATAAGTTTGTTCTAAGAATCAAATGAGATAAACATTTCAGACACCTATCATAGTATCAAGTTCATATCGTAAGCCTAAAATACCAGATGACTTTTATTATTTTCAGAATGTAGTCAAAATCAACATAAAGTTACATTAACACTTGGTTTACTGTATCATAATGCTAGCTTTGTGTCATATCTATCTAGAGAGTACACTGAATAGCTTAAACCAAGTAGAAGGTGATTTCTTGCTTACATAACAGTTTACCATAAGTAATTTTGGCTAAAGACGCATCTTTCCTGCAAAAAATAATTCAAGTTAACGAAGGATCTACTATTACCAAATTGTATCTTCCCAGATTACTTTGTATATATCACCATTCCAGAAGACAAAAGACTACTCATGAAATACAATTTGCACACTTCTTTATATATGAAAAATTCACTTCTCTTCCCTCTGTAAACAACTTAAAGTTTTGCCCAGTTACTGCCTACAACTTAGAGTTCAGGATGTTTCATGACGTGCAGTTCTCTCCCTCAGGCCACTATATGACTTAACGAGGACTAGTGTCCTATAAAGTCAAAAGACAAATTATCTGTAAAATCTAAGTTACCATGGTGAAGCTCCTATCAGAAGACAAAGAAGTCTGCAGAGCACTGACAAAAATATTTCTGAGCAGTACAAATATTTATTTGATGAAACCATAAACATGTCCTGTGGAAATAACTTTAAGGTCCATTGTCCCTGTGGCTCATAGATTTACTTTCTGAGGTAATTTACATTTTCTCTTATTCTCCATGCCTCCATCTTAAATTAGAACAATGAGTGTTTTCTCAGCATGACTCATCAATTGCACTGATTAGTGCAATTTGGGATGCTTGAGGATATTTTAAGCCTTAATTTTTTTTTCTCACAATAGGCTTATTGTACCTTTGCCAAGTAGTTATGTGGAAACCATTTATTTATTTATTGGATCTAGTTTATAACCAAACATACAGTTCTTTCCTAGGTATAATTCTAAAGTCTGCCTCATTTCCTTCTTTTTTCTCCTCCCCAACACACATATGCTTCTCTGACTGTAAAGATGACCACTTTAAGGTCATTTGAAATCATAGACTTGAAAGAGAAAACAACTTCCCTGATGAGTTCTTTGCTTCAGGGCTGGGTTCCTTGTTTTTTATGAACACAGTAGGATTTAATTTCTGAGCAGCTTTTTCAACCTAATCAGAAAAACCTGAGCTTTTCTGTCACTGTATAATTCCACCATTACTAGACTTTTTGTTTACAAGTGGTTTCCAACAAGGAATGACTTTGTTTCCATAGAACACTTGTCAGTGTCTGGAGACATTTTGAATTATAATGATTAGGTGGTGATGCTACTGGTATGTGGTGGTATAGCCTAAAGATACTATTAATATCCTACAATGCAAAGAATAACCTCCCACAGAATGCAGGAATATCAGGCATAAAATGTCAATAATGCTAAGGTTTAGCAACTCAACTCTATCCACTTTCTTTCCACTCTAAAGACAGGATATTTCTTTTTTCTTTTTTTTTTTTTTTTTTTTGCCTGTGTTTATCTATTTCTTGGATTATGGAACAGAACAAACATGAACACATTACCTTTTGCCTTTCCTCATTTCCCACACTCTTTCCTAGAGGTAATATTAAGCTTCCAATTAATTTTAGATGGTAGTTTCAATAATTTTTTTTCACTGGGTATTACAAGTCTTCATTTCAACCCTCTGAGTTTGGTTTACTTGTCCATTTAATACTAATTTAGTGGATACGTTTTAGGTGCTGTTATGGCAGACCCAACTCAAGCTGGTGATTTCTATATTACTTGGAATCGTGCTAGTTGCTTTGACAACTACACTCAACAACATATAATATCTTAAACAGAACAGAAGTTTCATTCATATAAACTGTTTTTTTAAGATAGGAAAAGCATTGCTCCTTTATGTCCGCATTCAAGAACATAGGCTACTAAGGTATTTAATCTGCAGTATGTTGCTTCCAAGACTACTGTAGAATTGGCCGTTCCAGTCAAGCATACTGAAAAACGTATACAGAAGAGTGCATGTTGGGATTTTGGAGACTTAATTGGATATAAAATATGTTATTTCTACTAATTTTCCACTATTTTGACTTTAATCCCATGCCCTAATATAAAGTATATAAGAATGAGAAACATAGTTTATGTATCTATCAAAATAGAACATAAATGTTTGTGAACATTTGAATCTGTCAGCTTCTCTTGCTCACGTGCCTGTAGTGCCTGTACTCAGGATGCTGAGGCAGGAGAATCGCTTGAACCCAGGAGGTGGAGGTTGCAGTGAGCTGAGGTCACACCACTGCACTCCAGCCTGGGCAACAGAGCGAGACTCCATCTCAAAAAAAAAAAGAAGTGACTCAACTGATTGATGTGTAAAACCTCATTGTAAAATAATGTTCTATAAATGAGACATTAATACAGTTAAATTTTTGGATTAAAAAAGTCTGCCACTTTGTGAATATGTTTTATTTAGGCTTGATTTAGTTAATTTTCTTTTTTCTTTTTCTTTTTTTTTTTTTCTGAGGAGTTTCACTGTTGCTGCCCAGGCTGCAGCGCAGTGCTGGGATCTCGGTTCACTGCATCCTCCACCCCGCCAGTTCAAGTGATTCTCCTGCCTTAGCCTCCTGAGTAGCTGGGATTACAGGCACCCACCCACCACCATACCCGGCCAATTTTTTGTGTTCTTAGTACACATGGGGTTTCACCATGTTGGCCAGGATGGTCTCGAACTTCAGACCTCAGGTGATCCGCCCACCTTGGCCTCCCAAAGTGCTGGGATTACAGGCATGAGCCACCGCACCCAGCCAGTTAATTTTTCTATTAACTAAGACCTAATTAAGATTGAGGCAGAAGAAATGGGTCCTTGGGATTTGAAAATTACTATTCAATTTGGAAGTTTAATTTGCAACATAGATTGTCTGTTATTAAATTACTAGATATAATATCACAAAGGTGGAAAGAAAGGTTGCTTAGTTAAAGATCTAAGTTACTAGTCATGGTGTCAGATATAGAGAATGATTGAAGGTTATCAGAGTCACACACCAGATGAGTAAATTGTTGTTTTCAAGGAAGAGGTTACATAAAGGTAAGCGGAGTAATATTTCAGCATTTTTGTTAATTAAAAATTTGTAAAGTTATTTCCATTTCAAGGAAATTACTCTCAGTAATTTTACGGGTAAAATGACAAATTCCAAGTTTAATTTTCACATGTAACACCCTCCTTGAGCACTTATTTTTATAAAGCTATTAATCTATTTTGGTCTCAATTTACCTTTCTTTAAAGAGATTTTAAAATTTTCTGAAAGAAGTTGACATCTGGAAGTGTAGCTGTTATATTTTTCAATTTTTAATTACATATTTAATTATCCTTTAATTACTTAAGGTTATTCTCAAAAGTGAAGAGATAGCTGGGATCACACTGCGTAAGATTTTACTCCTGAATGTAATATTCAAAAATGTTACAAAGTCTATCAAAGAGGTTTTCATTCTGTGACAATACATGGTCAATTTGACATGGTCAGGAAGCACCACCCCCACTGAGAGATACCAAATTATGGAGTAAACCACCGTAATTTAGGCAGATCTTGAGAGAGAAAATGCTGAGTGGATGCAGAGGCAGCAATGAAGCTGAGCTGAAGAGGGAGGAAGCCTGTGCAGGGAACCCAAACACTACAGCTAGTTCCCCAGAATGGCTCCTAGGAAAGGGCCTCTGCCTGAGAGAGACCTGTGGCCTAGAACACCTAACACAAGAAACACAGTGATTGCAGGAGACTCCCCCAGGGCCCAGGAGCACATCTGGTGATGGAGGCATCTCTCCCACCCCCACTATAGAGCACACCTGCAAACAAAAGGAAGTATAAAACAGCCATGCCACTGGGTATTAGGCTAGCCACTGGCCATCACTCTTAAGCACTATGCATTGGATCACATCCCAAACTACAACATCAAAATTTATCCTGCTACATATACACCTGTGAAACCAAACACAAGAATTACTCATACATAAAAATCCTGGACAGAGAAAGCCCTGACCCTTTGAAAGCATCCAGAAACAAAACCAATTGCCTATACTCAACATACACTACAGTTAAAGGAACACTAACCCTACCAGAAGAGAAAAAATCAGTGCAAGAACTCTGGCAATTCAAAAAGCTAGAGTGTCCTCTTACCTCAAAATTAGCCCACTAGCTACCAAGCAATGGTTCTTAATCAGTCTAAAATAATTGCAACAGACATAGAATACAGAACCTCGATGGCAGGGAAGCTCATGAACATTAAGGAGAAAGTTGAAACCCTAGCCAAGTAATCCAGTAAAGCAATCTAAGTAAGTGCTGAAAGATGAAATTGCCATTTTAAACAACAGCCACACTGAATTTCTAGAGCAGAAAAAATTCAGTATAAGAATTTTATAATACAGTAAGAAATATTAACAGAAGGTAGGCCAAGCTAAGGAAAGAATCTCAGAGCTCAAAGACTGGTTCGTTGAATCAACTGAGTCAAAAGAAAATTTTAAAAAAGAATTAAAAAAAGAAAATGAACCAAAGCTTTAAGAAATATGGAATTATATAAAGAGACCAAATCTACGACTCATTGTCATTCCTAGAAGAGAAACAAAGAGAAAAGGCAACTTGGAAAATAGATTTGAGAATAGAGTCTATGAAAATTTTCCTAACCTCGCTAGAGAGAGTGACATGTAAATCCAAAAAATACAGCAAACCCAGCTAGGCACTATAAAAGGTGACTATCCCTAAGGCACACAGTCATCATATTCACCAAAGTAAATACAAAAGAAAAAAAAAATCTTAAAGGCAGCTAGAGAGAAAGGTCATGTTTTCATAAAGCAAGAACTCCACTAGGCTAGTAGTAAATATCTCAGCAAAAACCTTACAAGCCAGAAGAGATTAAGGGCCTATGTCCAACATCATTAATGAAAATAAATTCCAGGCAATAATTTTATATTTCACTAAACTAAACTTCCTAAGTGAAGAAGAAACAAATTTCTCCTCAGATAAGCAAATACTGAGGGAATCAATTTCAACTTGACCAGCCTTATGAAAGGTCCTTAAGGGAGTGCTATACATTGAGTAAAAAGAATGACACCTGCTACCACAAAAACCCACTTAAGTACATAGCTCACAGGCACTATAAAGTATCTACACAATCAAGTCTACCTAAAAACCAGCTACAAACGTGATGATAGGATCAAAATCTCATGTATCAACATTAACCATAAATGTAAATAGGCTAAACACCCCCACTTAAATGACATACAATGGCAAACTGGATAAAAATGCAAGGCTCACCATCTGCAGTCTTCAAGAGACTCACCTCATATGTAATGACAGCCACTGGCCCAAAATAAGGGGATGGAGAAAATCTGCCATGCAAATGATAACAAAAAAGCAGGAGTAACTATTCTTATATCAGATAAAACAGACTTTAATCAAAATTAAAAAGAACAATTGAAGAATGAAGAGCATTACGTCATGAGAAAGTATATGATCAAACAAGAATACTTAAGTACCCTAAATATAAATGCACCCAACATGGAGCACCCAGATTCATAAAACAAGTTCTTTTTGGACTACAAAAAGACAGACGACCACCCAATAACTGTAGGAGACTTCAACACCCCCGCTGGCAGCACTGGATCATCAAAGCAGATAACTAAGGAAGAAACTGTGTACTTAAACTTCACCCTTGACCATCTGGACCTAATAAGACATCTACAGAACACTCCACTCAATAACCACAGAATATACATTCTTCTCATCTGCACAGGGAACATATTCTAACATTGACCACATGCTTGGTCATAAAGCAAGTCTGGATAAATTTTAAAAAATGAAATCATATCAAGCACACTCTTAGATCTCAATGTAATCAAAATATAAATAAATACCAACATCTCTCAACACTACACAAATAGATGAAAATTAAACAACTTTCTCCTGAATAACTTCTGTGTGAAAATCAAAATTAAGGGAGAAATTTTAAGAAAGTGAAATTAATGAAAATGGGAACACAAATTACCAAAATCTCTGGGATGCAGCTAAATCAGTGTTAAGAGGAACGTTTAAATGCCTTTATCATAAAGTTAGAAATACTTCAAATTAACAATCTAACACTACACCTAAAGGAACTAGGGAAGAAAAAAAAAAGAACAACCCTACATCAACGCTAGGAATGAAAAGAAACAACTAAAATAGAGAAGATCTGAATGAAATTGAGATGCAAAAATCCATACAAAAGATTAATGAAACCAAGAGTTGATTTAAAAAAAGAGATTGATAGACCTTTAGCTAGATAAACAAAGAAAAAAAAGAGAAGATCTAAATATATAAATCAGAATGACAAAAACGACATTAAAAATGGTCCCACAGACATACAAAATAATCCTCAGAGAATACTAGGAATAACTCTAGACACAAAAATTAGAAAATCTAGAGGAAATGGATAAATTTCTGAAAACAGGCAATCTTCCAAGATTGAATCAGGAAGATACTGAAATACTGAAGAGACCAATATGAAGCTCTGAAATTGAATAAGTAATAAAAAATCTACCAAGCCAAAAAGCCCTGGACTATATGGATTCACAGCAAAATTCTACCGGAAGTATAACGAAGAACTAGTACAATTCTACTGAAACTATTCCAGAAAAGTTGAAGAGAACGTACTCCTTCCTAACTCACGCTGTGAAGCCAGAAGCAGCTTAATACCAAAACCTGGCAGAGACGCAAAAAAAAAGAACATTCAGGTGACCACTGTTGACGAACATAGACTCAAAAATTCTCAACAAAGTACTAGCAAACTGAATCCATCAGCAGCATATCAAAAAATTAATCTACTATGACAATACAGGCTTTATTCCTGGGATGCATGGCTGGTTCAACATATGCAAATCAATAAATGTGATTCACCAGATAAACAGAATTAAATCAAAAACCATATGATCATCTCAACGGATGCCGGAAAAGCTTTCAATTAAATCCAGTGTCCCTTCATGAAAAAACAAAACAAAAAAAAACCCTCAACAGTTGAGGCTTCAAATAAGCATACTTCAAAATAAAAAAGAGCTATCTACAACAAACCCACAGCCAATATAATACTCAATGGGCAAAAGCTGAAAGCATTCTCCTTTAGAAATGAAACAAGCCAAGGACATCCACTCTTACCACTCCTATTCAACATAGTACCAGAAATCCTAGTCAGAGCAATCTTGCAACAGAAAAAGAGAAAAGCACCCAAATAGGAAGTAAAGATTAAGGCAAACTATCTGTCTTCACCCAACAATATCCTTCTATACCTAAAAAAGCTTAAAGACTTCAACAAAAGTCTACTAGAAATGATAAAGGATTTTAGCAAGGTTTCAGGATACAAAATCAATGTACAACAATTAGTAGCATTTCTATACAACAACAACATCCAGGTTGAGAGTTAAATTAAGAACACAATCATATTTACAACACCTAGGATGAAAATAAAATCCCTGCAAATACAACTAACCTAAGATGTGAACGATCTCCACAAGGAGAATTACAAAACACAGCTGAAATCTGAAGCTGGATGCAGTGGTTCATGCCTTTGGGAGGCCGAGGCAGGTATATCGCTTGGACCCAGGAGTTTTGAGACCAACCTAGGCAACATAGTGGAACCTCATCTATACAAATTTTTTTTTTTTTTTTAAATAGCGAGGCATGGTGGCACATGCCTGTAGTCCTAACTACCCTGACGGCTTGAGGCCAGGAGTTCAAGCCTGCAGTGAGCTATAATAACTCCACTGCATTCCAGCCTGGGTGAAAGGGTGAGACTCTGTCTCAAAAAAGGAAGGAAATAAGAAAAGGAAGGAAGGAAGGATGGAAGGAAGGGAGGAAGGGAGGGAGGGAGGGAAGGAAGGGAGGAAGGGAGGGAGGGAGGGAGGGAAGGAAGGAAGGAAGGAAGGAAGGAAGGAAGGAAGGAGATTTTGATAACACAAATAAATGGAATAACATTCCATGTTTACAGATTAAAAGAATCAATATGTTAAAATGGCCACACTGCCCAAAGCAACTTGTAGATTCAAGGCTATCTCCATGAAACTACCAACATCATTCTTCACAGAATTAGAAAAAACTATTCTAAATTTATATGGAACACCCCCAAAAGCCAGAATGGCCAAAGCAATTCTGAGCAAAAATAATAAAGCCAGAGAGGCGTCATACTACCCAATTTCCAGCTATACTATAAGTGTACACTAACCATGATACTGTTACAAAAGCAGACACTTAAGCCAATGGAACAGAATAGAACACTCAAAAATAAAGCTGCACACTTACCACCATCTGGATCGTGGACAAGGCCAACAAAAACAAACAATGGGGAAAAGGCACCCTATTCAATAAATGGTGCTGGGATAATTCGCTAGCCATAAGCAGAAGAGTGAAACTGGATGCTTACCTTCCACCATACACACAAATTAATTCAAGATGGATTAAAGGTTAAAATGTAAGACTTCAGATTATGAAAACTCTAAAACAAAACCTAGGAAATATTTTTCTCGACATTGGCCTTGGCAAATAATTTTTGGCTAAGTTTCTAAAAACAATTGCAACAAAAACGAAATTGACAAGTGAAAGTCAATCAAACTAAAAAGCTTCTGCACAGCAATAGAAACTATCCACAGAGTAAACAGACAACTTACAGAATGGGAGAAAATATTTGCAAACTATGCATCTGATAAAGATCTAATATAACAAATCCATAAGGAAGAAAAAATGACAAGCATAAAACAACCCCAGTTAAAAAGGGCAAAGCTAATACAGGAGCAGAAAATCAAACTCCGCATCTTCTCACTTATAAGTGGGAGCTGAACAATGGGAACACATGGACACAGGGAGGGGAACAACACACAATGGGGAACAACACACAACACACACTATAATTTTCTGTAGGGGGTTGAGGAGAGGGAGAGCATCAGGAAAAATAGCTAATGCATGCTGGGCTTAATACCTAGGTGATGGGTTGATAGGTGCCAGCAAACCACCACCACACACGTTTATCTATGTAACAAAACTGCGCTTCCTGCACATGTACCCCAGAACTTAAAATTTAAATCAAGAAAAGGCAAAGGACATGAACAGATATTTTCTCAAAAGAAGACACTCAAGTATATGAAAAAACACTCATCCTTACTAATCATCAAATAAATAAATGCAAGCAAAAACCACAGTAAGATGCCATCTCACATCAGTCACAACAGCTATAATTAAAAAGTAAAAAAATTAGATGTTGGCCAGGCTGCAGAGTAAAGGGAATGCTTATACACTACTGTTGATGGAAATGTAAACTGGTTCAGGTACTGTGGAAAGTATTTTGGAGATTTCTCTAAGAACTTAAAACAGAGATACCCTTCGACCCAGCATTCCCATTACTGGGTATATATTCAAAGGAAAATAAATTATTCTACCAGAAAAATATACATGCACTCGTACGTTCATCAGCATGTTATTCACAATAGCACAGACATGGAATGAACCTAGGTGCCCATCAAAGGTGGATTGGATAAAGAAAATGTGGTACATATACACTATGGAATACTATGCCTCCATAAAAAAGAATGAAATTATGTCCTTTGCAGCAACATGGATGGAGCTAAGGACATAATCCTAAGCAAATTAGTGCTGGAAAAGAAAACCAGATACCACACATTCTCACTTATAAGTGGAACCTAAACACTGAGCACACAGGAACATTAACATGGGAACAAGACATGCTGCAGGCTACGGGGGTGGGGGAAAGAGGGGAGCATGGGCTGAATAACTACCTACTGGGTACTATGCTCACTACCAGGGTGCACTGTACAAAAGTAACAAATCTGCATATGCACTATCTGTGTCTGAAAAAAACTGAAATTATAAAAACCAAGAGAATATGTTTCTAATGAACGTAGACTTTATTTGATGGACTGGATTAGAATATAATTTTTTTAAGGGGAAAGGCATTGGGGGATGCACAATGTCTACAGGTTTCTAAACCTCTCTGGTTTCTCACCTAATTCATAGTCTCTTATGTCATTTTCATAGTTTTCATATTCTGCCTTTCCACCTCTTCTTTTTAACAAGTAAAATTCCTCATAGCATACAAAAAAACAATTTTATAAAAAACCCATATTATAGATCAGGGACCTGTGGATTATATGCTATTAGAACTATACAAAATGTCTCTATATAGTTTTCTGTATCTTTGGAATATCTTTGGGTGAAGCTGCAGACCTTCTTGGTGAGTGTTACAGCTCTGCGCAGAGCCAAACAGTGAGCAGCAGCAAGACTGCAAAGAGCAAAAGAACAAAGCCTCCACACTGTGGAAAGGGACCCTAGCACGTTGCTGTTGCTGGCTCTGGCAGCTGCTTTTATTCCCTTATCTCACCCCACCCACATCCTGATGATCGGTCCATTTCATAGAGAGCTGATGGGTTCATTTTACAGAGAGCTGCTTGGTCTGTTTACAATCCTTTAGCTAGACACAAAAGTTCTCCAAGTCCCCACCAGATTAGCTAGACACAGAGCACTGATTAGTGCGTTCACATACCTTGAGCTAGACACAGCATGCTGATTGGTGCATTTACAATCCTCCAGCTAGACGTAGTAAGTTCTCCAAGTACCCACCGGACTCAGGAGCCCAGCTGGCTTTGCCTAGTGCATCCCGGCCGCGGGCGGAGCTGCCCGCCAGTCTCTGGCGCGCTGCCGCACTCCTCAGCCGTTGGGCGGTTGACGGGACCGGGTGCCGCGTAGCAGGAGGTGGCGCCCGTCCCCTCGGGGTGGCGCGCGGGAGCCTGCGGTTGGGGGGCGGGGGGCGGGGGGCAGGGGACGGGGGCGGGGAGGAGGGTGAGGGCTCCAGCATGGCAGGCTGCAGGTCCCGAGCCCTGCCCCCTTGCCCCGCGGGGAGGTGGCTGAGGCCCAGCGAAAATTCGAGCGCGGCGCCGGCGGGCCATCACTGTTGGAGGACCCAGTGCACCCTCCGCAGCTGCTGGCCCGGGTGCTAAGCCTCTCACTGCCCAGGGCCGGCGGCGCCAGCCGACCGCTCAAGAGTGCGGGGCGCGCCGAGCCCGCGCCCACCCGGAAGTCGCGCTGAGCCCGCGCCCACCCGGAAGTCGCGCTGGACCTGCGAGCACCGCAGGCAGCCCAGGTTCCGGCCCGCGCCTCTCCCTCCACACCTCCCCGCCAGCAGAGGGAGCCCGCTCAGGCCTCAGCCAGCACAGAGAGGGGCTCCCACGGTGCAGCTGCGGGCTGAAGGGCTCCTCAAGCGCGGCCAGAGTGGGCTGAGGCCGAGGAGGCGCCGAGAGCCAGCGAGGGATGCCAGCAAGCTGTCACCTCTCAGAAATACAGGAAGAACATCAATAATGTTCGAAGTTATAAAGTAGTAGGTTTCTATCAAGAGTAAAACATAAACGAAGTTATAAAGTAGTAGGTTTCTATCAAGAATAAAACATAAACGATCAAAGAATTCCTTATAAAAACATTTTTTATTTCTAGGAATCAAAACATAAATATAAAATTTGAGAGTCCACCAAAAAAAATTAGATGCCAGATTTCACTATAATTATCAGGGAAGCGCCCAAATGGGTTGTTTACGGCGCCTCGGGGAAACTTTCTGTTTCGTGTTAAGGGTCTTGAACCATGATGTTTAGAAAACCATGGGCTGATGCTTTCAGAACCTCTGTGATTTTTGCCTCCGACACTGCATCCAATAGACTAGCATGTTGATTAGGGAAAGCTAAATTCAATAAAAGACGACTGTAAGTGGGGTCACCACCTTGAGGGGTCATGTTAGAAAAGTAGATGATAAGGTGGTATTGATAGAGTATTGAAGTCTGGGCTCAAATGGTTGCCCGGGGCCTTTCAAGACCAATGACTGATAAGAATAGGTAATGTTCAGGACATAGAGTTTAGGATTGGGGGACACTGTGAGTTAAGGGCCATGACAGAAGTCTTCATAAGTAAACTGTTAATTGACACAAGCTGCTACCTGCCCAGGTGAGCAATCTGTTGGCCCAGAGGAGAGTTGCTTACTGACATAAATTGATTTGCAGAAATTTCCTGAAGCAAACAATAAGTTATTTATTGGTTTGCAGCCTTACTTTCCTGAAAAATGAATTGTGAAATCATGTTGACACAGATGGCCTCAGGTTTCAGTTCGGATAATTAAGCTGTGTAAATATAGAAAGTCGAAGGTTTCTGGGTGCTGTTGATTCACAGTATGCAACAATGATCATATTACTTTTATTTACTATGAGCTTCAGCTGAAAATCCAAAAGAAACTTTAATTTCAGATATTTAATGAAATCATTATAGCTGTGGTAATTTCCTTTAGCTGGGTGTGAGTGTGTGATGTGAGCGTGTGGTGTGTGTGTGTGTGTGTGTGTGTGTGTGTGTGTACTCTGGCAGCATATTCCAAATAATTTCTGTAAAATTTCAGTTTGAAATTAATAGAAGACATATTAAATTGTTTAAACTCTTTGTTATTTAAATTCTATATTACTTTAGTCGATTACTCTGTATTATTACGGCAAAGCTTTGATATGTTGCCCTGAATTTAAAGAAAAGGCTGTTCGGCCTAAAAACAGGAATATTTTATTACCAAAAAGAATTAACTACCATATGTCATTTACAGAAAAGAGTAAATTCTTCAGGGCATAGAAAATACACATTTCCTTCTGTTTGTGTGGAAATAAGCAAAATACCTGTTATAATAGATTCCTCACAGAATTTTGTGAAGCTTCAGGTAAACTTGAAAGAGAAAAATTAAAATGCTAGAGTTTCATAATTACAAATTGGGATATAAAAATAGAATAATTATTTGAATTTTGTATTTCTCTCCAGGGGATCAAAAGTAATATATAAACTTTTAATAAATATTGATATAGCTTCACGTTGACTCCATATGTGAGCAATTTGCTTTCTGTTAAATTCACAATTGCATAATTTTTTTCAGGCTGGAATGCACTTGGATGCCAGAGATTTTGATTTCTTCATGTGAAATAAGGTGATAATACATTCCAAAGTATATATTTTTTCAACTTTGAATATATCTGGTGTATTTGGAGTAATATCTGAGTAAATACACTTATATGTAAGAGAATCAAAGGAACAAGATATTATTTTATATCCAAGGAAATTAACACTTAGAACATAAATACGTATTGCATTACTTCATATTAAAGAAATGTTTTACAAAAGAAAATAAAGGAGCTTATTTTATAGCCCCATTTCCACAAATAATAGCAAAGGTACAT
Source organism: Homo sapiens (assembly GCF_000001405.40). NCBI lineage: Eukaryota > Metazoa > Chordata > Mammalia > Primates > Hominidae > Homo > Homo sapiens. The sequence continues at coordinate 822,291 of NT_187651.1, forward strand.
ACACATATCTAATGTTTTACACACTCATTATTGTTTCTCTTAAAATTTGTTGCTTATACTATTTTAAAAGGCAAGCCTATAGATTGTTGTGTGTATATACATATACACACAACATACATATATGTGTGTGTGTGTGTGTGTGTGTATATATATATATATATATATATATATATATATCAGCAAGCAAGAGAATGGGCCTCTTCCTGCTGAGGTTTAACATTTGCATGTATATGTATATTTTGATTCACATAGACTTATTGTTCTTTAATTACATGAACAGTGATTCCTGGTTACATTATTGGAAAATGGAAGCAATGCTCAAAGAGCATCACCTAAATTTCCATCATATTTTGCTCTCAATATATTTTGTACATCCAAATATATTGTGATTAATCTGCATACATTTTTGCTGTTCTAGGTGACGCTGGTATGAGGCTAGGTAATACACGACCTTAGTCTGCATGTTGTACTTGTGTAACACACATAATTTTACAGTGCTAACAGGTGCTATAATAACTAACTATAGTTAATGATGAATGAAAGAAGGAAGATGTTAAGATGTTAGGGAAGGACTCAAAAGATGCAGTGCTTGAGTTAGAATTTTAAGGGAGATTATGCAAAAGCAGTCACTTAAGGTGGGTCGGGATGATCTAGAATGTGGGAATGATGTATGCAAAGTCACACAGGAGAGATACAGCATGCATGTTTAGAAAATTGTTGATTACATATGGAAAGTTTGCAGGACTTGCATCCTAGAATGTCAGGATTTTAAGCTAAGTAGGGTTCAAATTAAATTTTTCACATACTTCGCTGCATTATAATAACTAGTTTATGTTTAACTCATCCACTAAACTAAGTTATTTGAAAAGAGATGCCAGTGTTCACTCAATCTAGTTGTCTGTCATTAATAATTTAAAAATAATTGAGATTTTAATTTTGGTCTGCTAAGCCTGTTTAATTAAAATTTGACGTTAAATAAGATTTTACAGGCCTCATTTTTTTTTCAGTCATCACAGTTTGAATATTAAACATTACTACTTTTATCTCCCTCAGTCAGCATAAAACATACTACTTATGGTTTTAATAACCAAATTCAATGAGCACCAACAAAATTTGATGTAACTATTAACTTTGAAATTTTGTTGAAATAGAACTATGCCTTGGGTATCATTCAAAGCATTTAATTGTTGCAATAAAAAACTTTGAGATAAATTGAAATGATGGACAATATGGGTCGAAAGCAACACTGGCTTGAGGGAATAGGCTAATGTTTGAGAACAGAATTGTTAAGGACAAGATTAGATGTTTATATTATTTTAGGAAAGATACACTCTAATGGAGTTTAATTCTAAAATGTTTAATATTATGAAAATATTATATGTTATATGATCATTATAGAAAATTAAAAATATAAGAACATCAGAAGCAAAATAGTCAAAGTCTACCTAAACCCAATTAGAAGTGAATACTATTAATCTTGATTTGCATGTTTCTAATCTTATTATTATCAAATTAATAAACAGCTTTCAGATATTCTGCTTCTCCCTGTTACTAGATCAGGATAATGTCATTTATGTACAGGCATCTCCTGCTTACTCAGTTCAGCATTGATCAATAAATATTTTAGACTTCCATTCAAAACACTTCCATTTTTCTTTTGCCCATATTCTTTTTATTCAGTGCTGCCTGTTTTCAAATACACAACACTTTGTCAAACAAATTCCAACATTAGATTGGATATAGTTGGTATCAAAGTAGTAATACACATTGCCATTCCTAATCCTCAGTGCATTGATCCTGAAAATTATTTGTAAGAATAGAAAAATACTGGATATTTCAAATTAAGTCTCATTTTGTTGCTTACCCATGAAAGACTGGAATTAACCAACATAACCATTACAAGGTGATTGAGCAAATGAATAGATGGAAAATATTATAGAAACTTTACTGCAGTTCATCAACCATTGTGGTCATTAGGCCGTAGGAAAATACAGTGTGACAGTACCCCTGTCTTCTTTTCCATTTGTTAAGTCTCATATCCAAGTAACAGTGGGTAGACCTTATGAGAACCCAAAGTGAGATAAAAATAATTTTTGGCTTTTCAATGTATCTTATTTGATCTAAGAGGTATTTCCCCGACTTTGATGCAATAATTCTTGTCACAAAATTTGACTTTACTGAAGACCGTTTTAAGGATCTTTGCAGCTGACAGCAGTGACTTTTTTACCTCCTACAAAGTTTCAACTGACAGTCTTATTGTCTCTGACTTTCCCAAATTAATGACATAATTAGTCACCAGGGCTTTGGCTGCTCAATAGGGATTTAGTAAGCAATGAGTCATATGTTGGGGAACACTTCAACAAACAAAATGTTGGCAGAGAAAGATGTATGAATCAGCTAGGAAGAAACACTATTCTATCACTGAGGATCTTTCTAATATTAGATATCACAGAAAAATTTTCATATAGATTACCATACGAGTGAGCCAAAACCTCTAGGAACAAAAAAGCTTAGTATAATTATAACTCCTTGCCATGATTTAACTTAAAATTTCTTTACTTATTTAGCAATTCTATAAACAAGAATCATTTCTGTTAAGGATACTAAGGAGAGTGTTCCTATTGAATCAGAACATTTAAAACAAATAATTGAGGGAACTCACACATGTAAAACGTCATTAACCAAACTAAAATAAAATGTGAGGGCATAAACTTAACCAGAAATGTTTAAAACCTATATATAAAAAAAACTAGAAAACACTTCTGAATGGCACAAATTTGGACTTGAGCACGGGGAAAGAAATTCCATGCTCTTGAAAAAGCCTTAAAATCATAAATGTGCCAGTTCTTTAAATAAACTTATATCTTCTGTGTCATAACAAAACGACATTTTCTAGAATTTCTTTTTCCAGATTTAGAAAAATAGACAAATTTACTTGGAGGAATAAAGAAGCAAGAATAGCTAGAAATATCCTATAAAATCAATGGAATTTGGAGTCAATACAAAATATTAAGCAATTCTTAAAGCTTCTATGATTAAAATGAGTTATAACTACAGATAGATGAAGATCATATAGAAAATCAAGACATTGACAGATATGGAAAGGTGGTATATAATGAAAACATTTCAGATCAATGAGGGGGAAATGTTAACCGGAAAAGAATATTAAAAAGGCAATGAACTCAATAAGACAACAAGAAGCAAACCACAGAAAAATAACTGGACTGGATTAGAAAGAAAATATCTTAGACACTTCAAAAATAAAATATTCAAATAACCAATGAACTTATTAAAAGGTTTTTATTTATATTGGTTACCTGAAAAAATAATTCAAACCACAATGAGATGTAAGTACTTGTCATTCAGAATCCTGAATTTGAAAGGAATATTTTAGAATTCTAAGTTGAAGAGAAAGTGCAAAGTATTGATGAGAATGTTGACTAATTAGAACACTCAAATTGATGTTATTGGCATAACTTAGTTCAAATAATTTGGATAAAGATATGTATTAGGCCCCAAAATTCTACTTGTAAAGATGGTTTCTCCAGAAATGCATGCATATATATAGCTAAAAAAAAATGTGTACTCATGAAAACACTTTTCAGAATAACACCAAAATAACCCCAAACTGTGGCCCAAAAGTGGACTAAAATACTTATAAAGAGTACAGTAAACAAATAAGTTGTAATATGATCACCTAATAAAATATTAGAGAAATAAATATAAATAGTTTCATTTGCAGGTCATATAGTCAATTCGTCTCACAAATATAATATTAAGCAAAAAAATGTGGTTCAAAACACTACACACACTATTTGATTCCTTACTGGTAAAAGTTAGAATAGTGTTATGTTAGGAGGGATGGGTGGAAATCAGGTGTGTGACTATTACATTTTCTTATTCTGGATGATCATAGTATTTTAAAACTCACTAAGCTTTAAACTTATGTGCATTTACCCATGTGTATACAATACTTTAATAGAAGCTTCAAATCAATGAGAAAACATGAAACTGTCTGATGGAAAAATAGCTTGAGGAAATGAACAGGTATGGCAGAAAAGAAGGGCTGCATATAGTTTAAAAACTTGAAGAGATGTTTAATCTCTTTGCAAATAGAAAAACATACGCATTTAAATTGAAATACCATTTTCATGTTCCAAAATTAAAATTATTAGAAATATGATGGTAAACAGTGATGGTAATATGGGAGAAAGGAAACATCCTAGGCAATTTGGCTAAGCTTTTCTGAGAAAGATTTAGGCAATATGCCATTAAAAGATTTAATGTGAACAAATGGGAAATTTGCCCACATAAATAAATGGAAAGATACTCTATTTTTCCTAATTTAATCTGAAAATACCTAAGCCCCTGATATTTTTCTAAAAACTGGAATGTCCCTGTGGTCATTGGGTTTTAGAGACATAATTTTCACTGCGATGGTCATAATTTTAAAAGGTTGCATCATCCATTTTTAGTTAACATATATTGTACTAACATCACATATCTATGTAACAGAAAAATAGAGTCAACTCATGTAGGGACAGACATGAAAATGACAAATACATATAGAGATAGAAAGGTATCTTGTGCATTATACTGAGAAAGACAATAGAAATAAACAATTTACATGGGTTGATTTATTTTGATTAAGATATATAAGTGGTTAGATAAATGTTAAATAGGTCAGTATGTAATTACAGAAAATGACAAATTGTTATGTATGGTACATTTGTAGGCATAACACAGACATTACATTTTGGAAAATTGTGTTCTATGCAACAGTGCCAAGTCTAATGAAAGTAAGAGGAAGAGGAATTCAGCCAAAGTACCAACCCCTGTTATCCATTCCTTAAGAAAGGAACTTCTTTATACACTCAAAAGAGGGGATTCTTTTTAAATTTGTTTCCAGAGGGGCATCTGCATACACATACACATACACATACACACACACACACACACACACACACACACACACATTTACATTATATTTAAATGTGTGTGCATGATATATATATATACATGTATTTATTTATTTAATATATATGTGTTATCTGGGTCCTATATAGGAACACACACACACACACATTTTGAATCAAACACTCTTTCGTATAATTTTGGTGACAAACGTATGCAATAAATGAGAATACTTTAACTTTCCAAAAAGCTATTCAAAAGTATAATTTTCAAATAAAATATATGTTTGTATGACAACAAATGATTTTTTATAAATAATATATTCTGCATTATCAATCTGCCACTGGTTTTTATTAAATAAAAAAACCTGTAAGTTTGTATGCTCTTAAAATACATATAACATTTGTAAGAATAGTTTTTGTGTAAAAATAATTATAGTTCACTATAACTATGTTAAAAATAGACATAGCCAGGCAAGTCGCTCATGCCTGTAACCCAGCACTTTGGTAGGCTGAGGCGGGCAGATCACTTGAGGCCAGGAGTTCAAGACCAGTCTGGCCAACATAGCGAAACCCCATCTCTAATAAAAATACAAAAATTAGCCGGGCATGGTGGCCCATACCTTGTAATGCCAGCTACTCAGGAAGCTGTGGCAGGAAGATTGCTGGAACCCGAGAGGCGGAGTCTGCAGTGAGACAAGATCATGCCACTGCACTCCAACCTGGGTAACAGAGTGAGACTCTGTCTCAAAAAAAAAAAAAAAAAAAAGAAAAGAAAAGAAAAGAGAAAAATAGACACAGATGAAGGGTGTCTTTGATTATGCAAATAGATTACCCATCTTGTACTCACTGTGTTTATTTCAATAAATGATCCACAGAATATGCTACTTTTGATTTATAGTTTTCTTCTCCTTCACCGCTGTGGACTGGGAAAATATTTCTTATTATTTCTGCTGCAGAGTAGCAAAAAATTATGAGCCAGAAGGAAGACCACTACAACAAGCAAAATCTCTGAGTAATCATAAAATGAAGAACTATTTCCTGTTGGGATTCACTGTGATGAATTTGATTTTAAATTCTTGATGTTGGCATTTTATTTTTAAAACTTAGCTTTCTTGCCTATTCTGAAATTGTCAAAAATTCAGAAAAACAATCATGATCATTTGCTTGCTGACCAGTGGAGACCTACTGATTTTTAGGCTGTGAGACTACAGTAATAAATAAATAAAAAAGTTCATACTTCCTTCTATCGAGGGAAATTGAGCATTTTTCTCATAGTCCTAAATCACCAGATCAAGGGATATATGTAATACTTGAGTGTTGACATTTTATTAATTTTTATATTTAACTAGAGCTGTAAAGTTGAAACAAATGGGTCAATGCAGTAGCCCATAAAATATTTTAAAAACACATAAAAGAAATATCACTAAAATTTAAACATAAAAAAAATACAAAAAAACCCTGAGCTATAGGAAGGGAAGTATCCTCTAAATGCCCAAGTTGAAGGTAGTCCTCTTAGAAAGGGACAGTAAGAAGCAGTGTTTGATGGGAACGTGATTTTTCAAGTATTTGAATTTTCAAACTCACCACATTAACTGAGTAAAATGAAAAAAATATATAAACTTCCTCTGAGGCAGAAAAAACATTTGGCATTTTCAAGATAGAATTATAATAAAAATATCTCGCCCCAATAGAATACAAAGAAGCATCCTTAAGCAAATAGAAGGCATCTACGGAAATATCACACTGAAGTTTGAACTAATAAATTATTCATTTAAGATCCAGAAGAAGACAAAGTGTCCTCTTTCACTATTGTTCTCTCTACTGTATGGGAGGAATTAACCAGTGAGACAAATCAAATAAATAAGTAAAACATACACAGTTAAGAAATGAAAAATACAATTCTAAATTTTTAAACAACTCCATTACCTACACATAAACTTCTAGTGACTGTAAAAATCAGCTGCTGGAATAAACTAGTAATTTTAGCCACATCATAGAAAAAATAAGTCAACCCATTAACTTATTTCTATATATTTCCAATGAGCAATTAATGATAAAAATCAAATCCATGTAAAATACTAATAAAAATAAAATATGTATATATGATTTTAACAAATTACATGCAAGATCTCTCTAAATAGGAAACTAGCAAAAGTGTTGGGAGATGTAGGAAAGTTCTAAATAAATGGAGTCGCATACAATAATTGATGGTTTTGATGTGTGTCCCTGCCCAAATCTGGTATGATGTAATCTCCAATGTTAGAGGTGAGGCCTGATGGGAGGTGATTGGATCATGGGGTGGATTTCTCATGAGTGGTTCAGCATCATCCCTCTTGATACTGTTCTCATAATAGTGAGTGAGTGAGTTCTCATGAGATCTGGTCATTTAAAAGTGTGTAGCAGCTTCCCCTTTCACTCTCTTGCTGTTCTGGCCATGTGACGTGCCTGTCCCCCTTTGCTTTCTGCCATGATTGTGCGTTTCCTGAGTCTTCCCAGAAGCTAAGTAGATGCCAGCATCATCCTTCCTGTATAGCCTGCAGAACAGTGGGGCAATTAAACCTCTTTTCTTCATAAATTGTTGAATCTTCTGTATTTCTCTATAGCAATGCCGGAACAAACTAATACAATAATCATGGCTTGAAAGTTCAGTGAATTTTAGTGTGTAAAAGGTTTTGGTTTTTCCAAATTAATCATTCTAGAAATCCTCACCATAATCACAAAAGATATTTTTATATAAATTGACACACTGATTTAAAAATGTACATCAAGAGAGCAAAAACAAATGATAGAAAGCTGAAAAAAAAGTTGGAATACTCACACTTCCTAACACCATGCAATAACTTAAAGCTATAGTCATCGAGAGAATGTGTTATTAGTATATGGATAAACAATTAGAGTAATGGAATGGAATAGAGTTCACAAATAGATCCATGCTTATATGAATAATATAATATCAAAGATACTGCAGTTATTCAAAGGGGAAAGATAATTTTATTTAACAAAGTGTGCAGAACTACGAGATAAATGTGAAGAAAACAAACCTCAAGTCCTTCCTCACAACAAAAGCGTGAATGAGTTCAAAATTAAAGGAGTCCAAAATATATTATGGAACAATGTGTAAAAGTGAAAGCATAGGCTTCAAATATAAAGCACAGAAAATGTCTTAGTAAACTACATGAAAGCATTTCTTTTTATCCAAACTGTGGATACATTTCTTTTTATTCAGAAAGCAATAATTATATAATGATAAACTACAGAAATGTGTAAATATATTTATACTTTAATGTTTATTTTTAATTACACAATTATATATACTATTTATTATGAATAAGAGCAAGAATATATAAATATAATGTACAACATAGAAACAAGAGAGCTATAAAAACTAACAGATGCTACACAAAAATGATATAATAGCAAATAAGCAAATGAAAAATTTCTTAATATCGTTAGTAATAAAAAATAAAATGAGATAATTATACACATCTACTAGAAAAGCTACTATTTTAAAAATTGTGTTACCAATATTTGGCATAGATGTCAAGAAACCAGACTCTAGAGTTTGCATACATTGACGGTGGGAGTGTAACACAGTACAGCTACTTTGGATAACTAAATCTACCTTACATGTACCAATTCTACCCCTAGGCATTTATCCTAGGGGGGAGAAAAGCATAAGTCTGTAAAAAGGCTTGCACAAGTACCTTTATTCATTATTGTCAAAAACAGACACCATGCAACTGTCCACCAAGAGCGGCGTTCTCAAGTTCAGCACTATTAGCTGTTGAAGTGGCTTAATTCTTTGTTGTGGGGAGCTATCCTTTGTGGAACCCTGGCCTGTGGACACTCTATCCCCTCCTCCACAAACCTCTGATAACCAGAAGTGTCCCCAAACATTGGAAATGTCCCCTGGCAGGTAAAATGTCCCTCATTTGAGAACCTCTGGTCAAGAGTTTAGTAAATAAATTATAGTGGTATGTCTATGAAATGAAATAATATGTAACAATAAAAAAGTGCTACTTCAACATGCAAGAAATTGTTGAATCTCAAAAATATTATGCTTAAGGAAAAAAGACAAAAAGAATTCATACTCTATAATTCTACTGATATATAATTGTAGAAAATAAAAGCTAATATATGGTAATAAAACCAGATTAGTACTGGATTGACAATGTGTTGAAAGTCAAAAGAAGAGGCTTGAGATCTCTTTCTAGTGTGATAGTTTTACAAGTATATACGTATGTTAATGTTTAAAAATTTCACACCTCAAAAATGTGCAGTATACCAGATGTTAATTATATCTCATAAAGCTATTAAAATTTTATCTCAAAATTATAGCTTTATTGCATTTAGGGCATTATCCAATTTTGAATCTAATCCAGTTATCATAGCTTAATGCAGTATTATGAAAATAATGCCTATAAAGGTCCAGTTCCTCAAACACCCTTGGAACCAATTTTGTCATCTATATTAGTTACCTTGGGCTGCTATAATGAAGTACCACAAGCTGTGTGTCTTTAAGCAACAGAAATTTCTTCCCTCACAGTTGCGGAGGTCAGAGGTCAGAAAACAAGGTGTCTGCAGGACCAACCTCTCCTCTGGATGCTCTAGGTGAGAATCTTTTCCATGCCTTTCTCTTAGCTTCTGATGTTGCCATCAGAACTTCAGATGGTGTTCCTTGGCTTCTGTCAATATTAATACATAAATCCTTTTCAGTCTCAGCTTCTCTCTTCACATGGTCCTCTCCACATCCTATCTGTTTCTGTTCCCTCTTCTTATAAAGACAGCCCATGTTATTTTAAGTCCCACCTACAGACATAATTTTAGCTTGATTACATCTGCAAAAACTTTGTGTCCAAATAAGGTTTCATTTACCTTATGTGTATAACTAGGGGTTAGGGCTTGAACATACGGGTTTGGGGAGGGGAACACAGTTCAGACCATGACACTCATTGTTTCACTCATTAATGAGTTAAGGGTGCTTTGATATTATTACATTTGAATGAGAGTGGTCTTTAAAATTACATTTTGTCGTGTAGTTTGTTCCACCCTGATGCTTAAAGGGAGTCACCTGCCTCAGCCAATTAAACTGTGTTGTCTCTGCAGTGCGTTTTATCACAAGAACATGACCTTTAAGCACAAGAACACCTTGTACTCCACCACTAAAAACAGAAATGACATCTACCTTCACTGCTTCCCTATTTCTCTCCATCTTTACTGACTTGGTATTTTGTTGTTGCTGTCATTTCTGGTTGTTGGTCAATTTTCATTTCTGTTCTTATTTTGCTGATAATTCTTATAAATCAGTGCTGAATTTTGTCAAATTATTTTTCTGCATCTCTACAGATGATCATTTTATGTTTTTGTCCCTGTGATAATTTAATGAATGTCATTGATCAATTTTTAAATAATGAATATCTTTGCATTTAAGATAATATTTTTCACTATTAATGTTATCTCTGAAATGAAAGCTAAACCTAGTCAATAGATATTAGAGGTGCATGATTTTTAAAATTGTATAAAATTAGATAAAAAATACAAAGAAATATATATAATTTTAAAACTATGTAAAAATGTAAATGCCAAATGATAGAGCACTAAATGAAGCTTGTAATATTAAATACAACCTTTAGAAACTCTTTTGCAGTGCAGGAAAAAAATAGAACTGAAAACAAAGCAGAAGAAATCACAGATATAAAATTAAAGAGGATAGAATTAAGCACCTGAGTTCCCACATCTAAAGTGAAAATCTAAGAATTTAAATATCATTCAAATACAGACTAAAATACAATATAAAATAAAATTTCCTGAGCTAATTTTTAAAATACTGCTTAATTTGTAGGTAAAAATGCAGACTAATTTTCTGACTATATTACTATAAAAACCTTCTACAAATATTTTTTAACTAAAATTATAAGAAAAACATCCGCCATAAACACGTAAGATTAGTATTTTCGTTTCTGAAGTATAAAATGTCTGGATAGACTTGAGCTTGTTGCTTTAGTTTTATATGTGAAGACTGGAAAAATTCTGTTTTGTTTTGAAAAATATTTTGAGCTAAAAATGTTGTATTCCACATTTGTTAGGAATGGAAGTCTTTAAAATATGAAATATTTCCAATTGAAGAAAAATAGTGAAAATGAACTTTATCTGAATAAGATTAATGAAAATTACATGTTGAAAAAGTAAAATAGTTATGTGTACTAACAGTGACTACTAACCCAACAATATAAAATTAAGTAAAAATATTATTACCATGTTAAATACAAATTAAAATTAATTATAAAAAAGTTAAGATCTATGATTAAAGTATTAAAATAAAATGAGACTGTATTCACAAATCTAAAAGCAAATTGGTGAATGACATATTTTTTGAAATAATAAATTCTTTGGCATATTTTATATTTTTTATTATAAATGAAAATTATTTATTTGAAATATTTAAAGGAACAAAATATTTGCAGCTCTATTTTATTGAGAAAGGAATTACAAAACAAAAACAAGGAGCTTTTGTAATTACAAAAGAATATATTAATAATATTATTTAGAAGCACAAAACCAGAAAAGCTTTATATTATTTCTAACAATAAATGTAAACCATCTAATTTTCTGAAAAGGGGTGGAAATAAATATTTAACAAAGAAGATGTTATTCTTAAATTGTAATATGTACATTGCCTAAAAATAAAAAGGTAGTTGAAGATATATTGTGAACAACAAAAAATGAAGAGCTGATAATATTAATGTGCGAAGGAAACTCATAACATATTGTACTAATTATAAATCAGTGTATTGACAAAACCTGAGTCCTCAATTATTATTGACTGTCATTGACATGTTAATGATAGAATATTAAATATAGAATATAATAAAGCAATTTAGAATAAAAAAGAGAAAGCGATAGACATGAATAGAAACAAAATGCAACTGTTCAATATTAAAAGCCTTTCTAAATTGCTTGTGTTTTTCTAGTGACCTGTTTCGCTATGCAGTGTAGGCTCAGGTGTCTAGATTTTAGTTGCAGATAAACACAGGTAGTGTTTTCCAGATCTCAGAATGACCAGTTACATAAAAATAGGCCATAAACCATATATTTCATTCTTACGGTTGACAAACCTCTAATTCACCTGAAAATATTAAAAAGAAAGAAGACAGACGTGACAGTGGTTGGAAGTTGAGGATAAGAAGAAGTTGGCAGAAATAAGCTTTCTTCTTTTGGACAGCAATGCATGATAAAAAAAAATTAAACTAAAATCAGTTCATTTCCACTAACTGGGACTTATTTAGAAACTTTAAGAAAGTCTGAAGAATTTCAATTGAGGAGTAAATAAGGGCCAATTTATTTCATAGTGTGGACTCTCAAGACAATATACAACAGTGCTTCTCAAAGTTAAACAGTGTATGAGTGACCTGGAAATGAAGATGCAGATTTAATAGGGCTGGAGAGAAGTCTGAGATTCTCAATTTCTAATGAATTAAATTACAAAGAGGAGAAAATAAGGTTATTGCTTACTTTATATACATTCACAAACACAGGCTAATCAAATAATTGTTTAAAGTATTGCTCTGATAAGAATTAAATTACATAGTTCATAGGAAACATTTTCTTTACATTCGGATTTTATCTATTATTAGAATAATAATAGAATCTTGACTTTATGTAACTCTATGTTCCAAACAACTAGAAACTTTTCGATAGCAATTGTTCACCATTTAATAACATTTTTCCAAGATACCTAATGCACTCAAGGACAAAATAGCTGCCTTCCAGTGATTTCCAATTTATTCAATTTTCAGGCCATCTGTCTGCCCACACAATGACAGATTATAGTTACATTCTTGCCATGCTCTGAACAGCTAAGCCAATTGTTTTCAATCTTTTTTCTTCAGCAACTCCATCTCTTAAAGTACTTCAGAGTAGTTCCTGAAAGGATTCCTCTTTAGTTAAATGGCTATACAGCTCTCCCATCATCCAAAATAATCAGTGGAGAGATAGCAATATTTTTCATTACATTAGGCCAAGTTCCATTGCTTCCTTCATCTTGTAATCTGATCAGAAACACCACTATAGATTCAATAATTGAGTTTAGAGTTTCAGAGAATTTGGGGTCACAGAACATCTATGTCTATTTTGTAAAGATTATTGCATATTACTGAAATAGCTTGTCAAACACTGCAGTCTGCTTAAAGTATCAAAATAGAAATGTTGAATGCTGTGTCTGCACAGAGTTCATTTAAGCAAAGAATCTACTAGGCTCTTAAGTCTGTTAATGCAAATTCCTGAATACAGCTGACCCTCCATACCCCCATTGTGGGTGGATTTAACTAACCATGAATCAAACATATTTGTTAAAAGAAATACCAAGAATAATTTTTAAAAAGAAATACAACAATAAAACAATGCAAATAAAAAACAATCCTTATAACAATTATGTGCATAGCATTTATATTGTATTCAGTATTATTAATGTAAGTAATAATCTGGAAATGATAGAAAGTATACAAGAGGGTTGTGTAAGTTATATGCAAATACTAGGCCATTTTATATAAGAAACTTGAGCATCTCTGGCTTTTGCTATGAAGGGATGATGGTGGTAGGATTGGTGGTGGTCCTGGAACAAATCCCCAGCAGGTACCAAGGGGGACTGTAGACCCCAAAGCTGTTTAGGAATGGGTCACAGCAGCAGGACTGAGGCAGGAATGCTCCCCACAGAAAACATCAACCACCTGTTGATTTTTGAATCTGCTCCTCTCAGGCATGCCTTCAAATGCTATAACCTGGAGATTCAACTCATTTTCATGCTGCTAAGTAGGAATAGGTGATTCAATTCCCCAAGAAAGTGACAGAGGTCCCTGAAATATAGATTTAAAGTTACATAGTGTCAAATGCTAGTCATTTTCTTTTTGCTCGATGGTATCCTCTCAGAAAAACCTTTTATAATATTTCTAATTCATTTACCAGATTTATAGAATCATCAAATTGTCTATCCATGTGTTTTTCAAATATTTTGTGAAGTGTCTAGGGTAACAACCTAGTGTTCGAACGTATTTTGTGAAGTGGCTAGGGTAACAACGTAATGTTCGAACTTATGTTCGTATTTAAATACAAATGTATTTTGGTTGAGTGATTACTCAAGGTCACTGAGGAATCCACAAGGTTAACCTCCTGACTCTAGAACCATTGTTATATAGAGATATATAAATAGCTGATTTAATATTATAGGCTTAGCAAAATATTTAATAAATAAGGTCTTAGTAAAACAACACACATGTATTTATCCACTTATTTAATTTTGTTTTTCCATTTCTTCTGAACATAAGTTCCTGAGGACACGGGCCTTTTTTCACAGTTCATTTTTGGATTCCAACATCTAGCCAGTACTCTGCAAAGAGCACTGAATTTGAAAGAAATTTCTCAGTTAATGATTTGAATCATATAAAATATTTAGTAAATTTGAAAACTAGTAACCGTGTAAAGCGATTAAAACAAACATACTAGAGGGTAATAATCCCCCGCCCCTTGCCTTCTTCCTTTACATCCACTTCATTCTTATTCTTGTCTACTTCCCCTGCCCCACCCAGGGAACGTGGTTAGCCCATCAGCTGCAAAGATTGTTCTCATATAATATTGTTCTGATGGATAATGAGACTCTGAAAGTGGAACATAAACAGATAAAACAAAAACAAACAGAAAAGAACCCAAAAACCTAAACTCAACTTCAGTTAAAGCAGAAAATATCTGTCCAGCCTAAACCAGGCATACTCCACAGACTTCTGTTAGACGCCTGATCCTACTTCAGTCTGGAACCACCTAGTCTTCAGGTTTGCCTGGTGCTCACCAGCTGAAGAAATCCTTTAACGACCTTTATTCAGTCAAGTAAATCGTTTTCTTTTGGCAACTTGCATGTTATTTTTTAGGTTTTCATTTATTTATTTTTTTATATTTAAAGTCATATTTTCTTCCTTTTATTCACTTTGCTGGTCTTTCTCACTTTGATTTTTTTTTTTTTGCCTTGTTTTGCATTTGTTTACTTTAACATTTTTTGTAACTTATCTCTTTTATTTTGGAAATTATTCACATTATCAGTTTTCTTTTGCTAGGCAATTTTGATATTCTAATAAACATTATTAACATAAAATATAAAGTTTACTAACACCAAGCCCAAACAATACAAAGTCTTAGGGCTCTTTAATTGCAATTATTTAAAAATATTTGCTACAAATTGTTCATTATTTTATATTCATGTTGTTTTTCTTATTCCCACAAATCACATATTGTTGGTGTGTTTGTTAAATAAAATTGTGACTGCTTATATATGTTTTTTCACATCCTTTCTTCTTCTAATATTTTGGAATTTACATCCAGTTAATTATCCTTTATTCTATGGTACATACTGTAAAAGTTACTATTCTTGGTAGTAAACTCTCAGTTTTTGGATTGTCTGAAGATGTCTCTATTTTGATCTGCTCTTGAATTCTAAATCTAATTGACATAAAATTCTAGATTTGCCGTTATCATTTATTAGCACTTCAAAGATATTCCACAATTTTCTGACTTTCAATATTTTTGTTGGTAAAAATGGTGATTGTTAATTGGCTTGCATATTCTGTTTTGGATATTCCACTGTTTCCTTATAATTTGTTTATTTATAAGGAAACTTATAAACAAATTATAAGGAAACAATAGAATATCCAAAATAAAGAGAATAGTTATGGGTTCGTTTAGATAATTCTTCAGAATCTACTAATTTGTGTCTTTCTTCTTTACTTCTGTAAACTTTTCAGCTACTATATATTAGAATATTTCTTAACTTTTTTATATTCATTCTGAAATTTCTTGCTGAAATTTGTTCAGAAGGTGAGTTAACGGAGCTATACATCTTTAGTGTCATGTGCTCTAAATTGCAAAATACATGTATTTTTATTTCAGACAACTTGAGTAACATTTGTGCAAATGTTTTATATACACGGACTTAATTTGGTAAATTTAGGCATGTGGTAGACAAATTTAAAAATGTATAAAAATCATGGGCAAGCATATGAACATTCTATTTTTGCTACTATAAAAAAATAGCAGACTATCCAACTATTTTATGATACTCAACGATACATCTTACTAAATGGTCACGACTCTTGCCTCTCAGGGTCAGAGTTTGCAATAGTGAAAGCAAGAGAAAGCCACGGAAAAAAAAACAGGGAGAGGGAAAATATTAAGCTCTAGAATATGTACATTGTTTTGCTTGTATAAATTTAGAACATTCAACACATGTTTACAATGAATACATATAAAATACCAATGACATGAGGAGAATTAGAATAGAAATAAATACAAGGATTCTTTCATGATAACTAAAAATATCAGTGAAGGTTTGTACATAAAATTTAGGGATTTTATATTATTACCTAATACAATTCTGGCTATAACATCACTAAAGGATTGTAAACGTCTGCTGGGAAACCTATGGGAAAAAAATGCAAGTGGAACTGGTGTCATACAAACACATTTTCTAATGGGAAGCTTAACTGGTGAAATGTAAGTTGGAAACATTACTCAATTTAGGTCTATGAAAATGTTTTCCCAAATACAATCTTTTCTTGTTTGATAGGAGGTTTTACTGTGATGTATTATTTCTGACAGCCTCTTTTTTTTTTTTTTAAAGGAAACGAGTAGAATTAAGTGAATTGATTATCATATCTAACCTGTAAGTACAAATTACTTTCCCTTGGAATTACATAATTGATAATTGTACATCCTCAGATGTGTTTGAATCTGAGATTTACTCTAAACTCAGAGGAAAAAAAGTGAAATTTTGTTTCCATTGTGACACCTTTGTTTCCTTTTTAAGTTTTCAAAATTTCTTAAAAATTATTTTTCCCTTTCATAATTTATTCAACAAGTATCTATTGTTAGGTGTTGGGAACACAAGACCTAAAACTCCTGACAAATATATTCTATTTCTGAGGTCAATTTGTACATTAATAAATGCATATATAATACCAGACAAGATTGTAATGCTAACCAGTTTGACTTTGAGGCACGGTATTCAGAATGTAAATGCCCCTGGAAAAAACATTGAATATAAATGCCCCTGGAGAAAGAATGTAGTTGGAAAAAACATTCTGAGGTAAAATTATGCAATATTGGTATGACTAATTAGAGTGACCAGAGGTTCACACATTTTTGTGACATGCCATTGGTAGAAAAAGAGCCATAGCTGAAAAAATATGGCAGTCATAAGATGTCAGTGGAAATGAAGACAAGGATACCTTTTGGTCAATTTTCTTGAAAATATTGGCTTTTTCAACAGTGTAGTTTATTTAAAATTTAGTCCCAGTTCTTAGCAATTATTTATATACTGATGGACTTATATCCAGGGTCTTCTTGAATTAAAAAAAGTCAAAAAATAATTTTATAAATTTAAAATATTATAAAATTATGATATATACAATTCTTGCTCTCTCTGTCATATTTTTCCAATTTTTTGTCTGTCTTGTTTTTTCTTGCCTTTTCTTCCCTGTCCTTTCCCTTTCGTTTCTTTTCTTTTTGTTTCCTTTGTCTGGCCTTGCTTTGAGTTTCTTTTCCAAACGAATTCACTGGAGGTGGTATTTTTATGCATAATATACACAGCAAATGTCTAGGGCCTCTCATTTTTTACAAATCTTTGTAAGAAAAGGCTATCTATTAACCCAATGACATTGTCATAACCTTTTCTAAATTTCAATGATATTCAGTTTCTCGCAGCTATTACATTACAAAGTATACCTCAGTAAAAATCTAGTAAGTCATAGGGCTGATGTTGCTGATTGCTCACTTGCTCAAGCCAGAAGCTTAGAATACATGCTTGATTCTTCACTTTCCTGTGGGTTTATGCCAAATCAATTTCAAATCTATAGATCTTATCCTCTAAATAACATACAGCATGCCTACTTTTTTCTCTCTCTCGACTACTGTCACATTAATTCAAAAGAAAAAGACTGATGATTCCTAACTTCCTGGCTTCAGTAATTGGCAACGATGACATCACTACTAAGGCTTCACTTCTCACCTCTGCTTCCATATGAGTGTAATGTTATTTTCTCCTATGACAGATAAGTTTATTTTTCACCATTAAAAGGTAAGAAACTCACTCATAACCAAAGTTGGAGGAGACAGTTATTTTTTTTCCCCAGCTTGCCTGTTAAAACCATAAGGAATGATTAATCTGCCATGGTGCTTGATGTGGCCCAGGGATGTGCTCAGACTCAGTCATGTAGGGGCAGGTGGTATTAACATTAGTTCAAACATGGAACCATGGCATGTGTTAGAAATAATGGCTTATATTAGAAACTGGACATAAAATTGTCGTGAGCAAGAAAGTTACCTCAATTTGAGTCTACTAGAAGTTTCAGAGTGCCATTTCACATGGCCACAAAGTTCAAAAGTTCCAAAAGAAGCAAAAGTTTGACCAAGAAATCAGTGATTTTTTAAAAAAGAGAAATTGAGCTCAATCATGTTTTTTATATCTTCTACTGTACTAAAAGTTTTTTTCTCAATAATTGACTAAAAGTTCATTAACTACTGCACAGACTTCAATATTTAGAAATGTAATACGGGCTTGCTAACTAAAAGTGAAGTTATTTTATTGTCGGAACTAGCTATTGTTAGAAAGACTCATTTGCTTTTTATAATACAATTTTACATATGATTTATAGATTGACAGATTATAACAATTTATAGATTATTACCTCATTAATTTATTGAATAACCTGACTAAATTACTTAGTCACTGAATTAAATACAACCCAGCCTTAATACTTTGGGTCAAGGAACATTGACCAAATATGTATTTATGCCACAGATTCCTTGAAATTTCTTACCAAAGTAAATTGTTTCATGAAAAATACAGAAATAAATTGGTAACTAAATAAAACATGTTCTATATTTCAACTTGAAAAATTAAAGAAATTAATAATTCTTAAAATCAAAGCAATGATCATTTGTTTCCTAATTATTATTATTGTGAATGTACTTAAAATTTTTGCTATGCTTTTAAGAAAGATGTACTTCTATTAAAAATTATTAAAATAAACAGCAGAGAGACTGACTTTTCAAAATAGTTTATCTGGGAAGAGCAATGAACTGCAATTTGGGATATGTGTACCGTACTGAACCATAGGCACATTTGAAAAAGCTGGGGGAGCCGAAGCTTTTTTAAGGGTAAAAGGTGAAGTTCCCCATCAAACTACCGTTGGCATTCTTCACAGAATTAGAAAAACCTATTTGAAATTTCATATGGAATCAAAGAAGACCCCATATAGCCAAGACAATCCTAAGCATAAAGAACAAAACTGGAGGCATCACACTACCTGACTTCATTACTGCAGGGCCTCAGTAACCAAAACAGCATGGAACTGGTACCAAAACACACATATAGACCAATGAAGGTGAACATAGACCTCAGAAATACACCACACGTCTACAACCACCTGATCTTCAACAAACCTGACAAAAACAAGCAATGGGAAAGGATCTCATATTCAGTAATAATGTGGGAAATCTGGCTAGCCATATGCAGGAAACTGAAACTGGACCCCTTCCTTACACCTTATACAAAAATTAACTCAAGATGGATTAAAGACTTAAATGTAAAACCCCAAACCATAAAAACCCTAGAAGAAAACCTAGGCAACAACATTCAGGACATAGGCATGGTGGGCAAAGACTTCATGACAAAAATGCCAAAAGCAATTGCAACAAAAGCCAAAATTGACAATGGGATCTAATTAAACTAAAGAGCTTCTGCACAGCAAAAAAAAAAAAAAAAAAAAAAAAAAACTATCATCAAAGTGAACAAGCAACCTACAGACTGGGAAAAAATTTTTGCAATCTACCCATCTGACAATGATCGAATATCCAGAATTTACAAGGGACTTAAACATGCTTACAAGAAAAAGACAAACAACGCTATCAAAAAGTGGGCAAAGGATATGAACAGACACGTCTCAAAAAAAGACATTTACGTGGCCAAAAAACATACAAAAGAAGCTCAACATCACTGATCACCAGAGAAATGCAAATCAAAACCACAATGAGATGCCATTTCACGCCAATTAGAATGGAGATTATTAAAAAGTCAGGAAACAATAAATACTGGAGAGGATGTGGAGAAATGGGAATGCTCTTACACTGTTGGTGGGAAAGTGAATTAATTCAACCATTGTGGAAGACAGTATGGGCATTCCTCAAGGATCTAGAACTAGAAATACCTTTTGACCCAGCAATCCCATTACTAGGTATATACCCAAAGGAATATAAATCATTCTACTGTAAGGGAACATACGTATATATATTTATTGCAGCACTATTTACAATAGCAAAGACATGGACCCAACCCAAATGCCCATCACTGATAGACTGGATAAAGAAAATGTGGTACACATACACCATGGAATACTACGCAGCTATAAAAAAGGAATGAGAGCATGTCCTTTGCAGAAACATGGATGAAACTGGAAGCCGTCATCCTCAGCAAACTAACACAGGAACAGAAAACCAAATACCGCATGTTCTTATTCGTAAGTGGGATTCGAACATTGAGAACAAATGGACACAGAGAAGGAAACAACACACGCTGGGGCCTGTTGGAGGTTGGGGGGTGAGGGGAGGGAACTTAGATGATAGGTTGAAAAGTGTAGCAAACCACCATGGCATACGTATACCTATGTAACAAACCTGCACGTTCTGCACATATATCACTTTTGTTTGTTTTTTGAAGAAGAAGAAGAAATAAAGAAAAAAAAAGGTGAAGTTCATGTAAATTATTTTAAAATAAACCTCTTTGGCCCCAGAAGCTTATTGCTTGGTATGGACAAATACTCATCGGTGATACTGGCTATTGCTGGGAAGATGTCTTCATAGAAGCGTCGTATCTAAAATTTTTGTAGTTTTCAGGGAGTCCTTGCAATAATTCTTTTAGAGACATCCATGCATGAAGGGCCTTCTTTTATACTCTCCCAGCTCCATTTTGTTGTGGTTTGACTTCAGTGAGTCAACTTCTTTGCTTGTAACTTTAACATTTCCCCCCTTTGACCAAGAATTTTTTCTGAAAGCATTGCTGATTAATCAGCCTATAGTTAGGTTTTGATTGTTTCTTGGTGCTGGAGTGGACCTTTCCTAGTCAGTCTGATCCTGCATCAGAGGTGAATGGCCAGCAACTAAGAGCAGATGTCAAAACCCTATTAGTCACATTTAAGAAACAAAGAGGTTCAGAAGGAGTGGCTCTCAGGATAAATCTGCCTGGAGTTCATTGCTAAGTTCAATTTTGTCAGTTCCATAGGCATTGACTACCATTTGGAAGTTCTGGACCAGTGTTACTCTGTTAGATGCATCATTTCTGCAGAGGTTGGACAGGAAACAGATAAAAAGTTTAAAAAGAATGATGCGGTACAAAATTAATAGTAACATGAAATATTGTCTATGAACATGGACCCAAAGGCAGCCAACTAATGAATCAAAAGTCTATGTGAGACTGAGTGAGATCTGTTGTAGCCATAAAGCCTGTCTTGCTATTTTATGCAATTAGGTCTTGACTTCCCCAGAGAAATATATTCAGGTACAGCATGTAGTTATTAGCAATGGCACAGACATTCTTGTTCAACCAGTAGATAATTGAGAGTTATCTCATCCTGTCCTGTTGTGTTATCTACGGCTACTCAGCAAGATACTTTAATGAGCACTGCTGGGCGGCAATAGCCTTTGCGGTGAAGCCTGCAACGAAACCCAAGGTGGCAAATAAATTAGGGATGTTGCCATAGTTACCCACTGGGTGGACTAAAGGATCCCTTAGGTCATGTAAAGATGTGGGTTTGACACGACAGATCCAAAACTTCATTCAGTTACGGAAGCTACTGAATGTGAAATTCTAACCACAGCGTTATTCTGCCAAGTGAAAAATGTAGGCATAAGCAAGAAAAAAAAAAATAAGAAGGATAAGAGTCCAGTTTTGTTACAATGTCTTGGGAAAAGCTTTCCACACTGTGATGTCATCAACTTCTTACTCTGGTTTGTAGTTTGAATGTTCCTGGGTATAGCATGGGGCATTTTAGTCAATTCTCTTTGTAGCCCACACAATAGCCATGAGATTTCTCTCTTGAAATTTACATGGAGTTTTCTGGCTCCAACTTGTAGGACTTTAGGAACAAGGCAGTTTATGTTCTTAGTTGGAGAATCATAGCCAGACGTTGGAGGAAATTAGAATAATTAAGTGCCCTGTCTAATTTAGAGATAGATGACAAAAACTTGAAAACAACAAAGAAAACTACAATCTACTAACAGGTGTACTGCAGTTTTTCTTCAGAAACATAATTTTTCTCTGTACAATCATCCCTATTTCTACTAAAGATAATCAGAGTAAGACTAATTTGTCTGCTGAATAAGTTTAGTCTCATTAAACTTGGCATGATTATTGACAACAGTATAGCAAGAAAAGGGATGAAACATGGGCTGTTTTTAAGTTTATTTTGATGGAACTTTTGATAAGAAATCTCAGATTAGACTTTTAAAAGCCTTTCAAGGGTCAGAAGTCAAAGGAGGGCGAACATCAGACTTTGGCTGCAGTATCTAAAAATCTGCATGAATTTCTCTCTTCTTGAGGTCTCCAATATATCTGGAGGTTCCTGGCCTGTCAAGAGGTAAAAATGTTTATTCACTCACTGTGAGCTTGGGAATCCTTGAAGCTAGGCATCCTGTGCATAGTCTCAAATATCACATTCAAGTCAAACCATTTATAATATAACCAATGTTTGTAATTCTATCCTGTTACAAAGAGAATAGATTTTTATTGAATTAATGCAAATAACTATGTTGCCATAAAATAAAAATATCAATAAGAGCTCTCTGAAGACTGCAGCCGCAGGTAGGAAGAAAAAATAAATATTTCCATTTTTATTTATAAAAGTATACTTTACCAAATTGCTGTATGCTATAGATAGCTTTTTAAAAGTTTTCTCAAATCTGGAAAACAAAAAATTTAAAAAAAACAGCAAAATGTTAAACAAAAAGTCACTCGAAAATATTGCCATCAGTTTGTTTAGTCCCATTCATTAAACTTATTCTACTTGATCTGGGTTAGATGTTTTAAGAAGCCATCGTTTCTTCATTAGAGTCCTGGAAATTCTTTCCCAGTCCAGTGGTATAATCTTAAACTCATAAGAAATCTAAATTCCAGCATACTTGTTAGAGTCCTTTTCATGAACCTCCTTGAAGAGGAAGTATTTTTCTTTATTCATTTTAATTTATTCTCTACAATACTTCATTAGGGAGTTCAATGATTTGCACTCAGAAGTTAAATAGCCAAGAGGCAAGCAAGTATAATAAACTTCAGAATTGGACTGAGGTTGTTGCACTGAAGGCCATGTAGTCTTTTGCTTCAGGGAAATAACAACAAAAATAACCAAAATGAACACATAGCTCCCTAGGCTTCTGAATCTCAGTAGAGAATAACATCAACATTTAATGAAATTGTAGATATTAACACATCATGGGAAAAAAGATACTGTGCAAAATATTATAATTAACACTTGGCACTTCTTATGTCTAGATTTTTATTATAAACAATAAAATATATGTAATATCTTAACTACAGACCTTTCATGTTGAAAGGGCATCTAACATAACTTGTTTTAACATTATGAAGGGAAAAAGTTTAGAAATTTCAAAGTGGAAACAATCCAACACTAACAAACTATAGTGATCAAAAGTATTAACTTTTAAAGAAAAACAAGGACAATTCATAAAAGTAGAACTACCATTTGATCCAGCAATCTTACTGGTTATCTACCCAGAGGAAAAGAAGTCATTACACAAAAAAGATACTTGCACATGCACGTTTATAACAGCACAATTAGCAATTGCAAAAATGTGGAACCAGCCTAAATGCCCGTGAATCAATGAGTGAATAAACTGTGGTATATATTTATGTGTGTGTGTGTGTGTGTGTGTGTGTGTGTATGTATATGTATATATATATGCATATGTATATATATATATATGCATAAATACATATATGTAATGGAATACTATTCAGCCATAAAAAGGAATGAATTAATGGCATTCATAATAACCTGGATGGGATTGGAGACTATTATTCTAAGTGAAGTATCTCAGGAATGGAAAACCAAACATTGCATGTTCTCACTCTTAAGTGGGAGCTAAGCTATGCAGATGCAAAGGCATAAGAATGATACAGTGGACTTTGGGGACTCAAGGGAAAGAGTGGGAAAGGCATGAGGGGTAAAAGACTACAAATTGAGTTCAGTGTATACTGCTCGGGTGATGTGTGCACCAAAATCTCACAAATCACCACTAAAGAACTTACTCATGTAACCAAATACCTCATGTTCTCCAAAAACCTATGGAAATAAAAAATTTAAAAAATTACAGAAAGGGAATGTATTATGAGACAAGCCACGTTTATAGACCAAAGCATGCTCATAGCTAGGGATGAAACAAACCACAAACCAAGCCAGCAAAGTTGGGTTGATTCCTTGAAAAGAATGGTTACCTATTGTCCAGATTGAGTAGCCCAAAGACAGAGGAAACACTGAGCGTAAAACATTCCCTTTTTTTTAAACCTACCACTCACACCACATGCACTGATCACTCTCATCACTGCTTTGGTAAAGCATGTAGGATGCAGTTCAGTTTCAATTTGGAGCTGTTACCTCCCCAGGCAAAGCTGCCACACAGATGATCCAGGCTTGGTGTTTTTCCTGAGAGCCACCTGCCACACATTTTCATAAGGTGACCATGACTATGCACATCCAGGCTACTTCCTGACTAGGCCCTGTTCAGGAAGCATCCTGAGG
Organism: Homo sapiens; assembly: GCF_000001405.40. Taxonomy (NCBI): domain Eukaryota; kingdom Metazoa; phylum Chordata; class Mammalia; order Primates; family Hominidae; genus Homo; species Homo sapiens. Next base: position 847,051 of record NT_187651.1, read on the forward strand.
TGTCCATTCCTCGTGGAGCCAAATAGTTCCCTTGGTTGACTCCTGAGTCCCCTTGGCAAGCCAAGCAGAATTCAAGCATTTCTACTGCTAGCCTTGTGTGGGAGCATGAGCGAATGTAAAGGGAGCAAGGCTCTTCAGTCCATAAACCACAGCCTACTTCGGGGTGGTGCTGGACCAGCCCTATTCTTGGGTACTGAATTTCTTTTTCTCATTTGTTGGGATTTTAAATTTTCTATTTATTTTCTTAAATGGCAGGTATCCTACTGCATCTTCAATAAAATAAAATATATACATATATATGTTGTACACTGGAGAAAACAAATAGGGGAACAGTTTGATAGTTTAGCCCCATTTTTTGCTTTTATTTAACCTTTAGAAGAAAACACAATTATTAAAACAGAATGCTTGAGCAGTAATAAGCGTAGCCCTATGTATCAATATTATTGTACAAATTGGATGTGGGTGCTTAACCCAGAGCTGACCACCCTGATAATAATCCAGAAAAAAACCATTGTTACATCTGTTTGTAACAAGACATTTATTATTCTCAGCACCAGGACATCATAAAATGACTCCTTGATCTTCATTTACTTCACCAAGGGAAACGTGGCAGGCTACAGAAACTCAGCACAGCAGTTAGTGGGGCTGTGCCCTGGGTGCCCTGATGTCACCCACATTTCCCTTGCATGTCTCAGGTCCTAATAAGCAGTGCAGGACAATGTTGAGCCAACCTACTCACCCGTGCCCATTCCTTCCCAGAAACTTAAAGGTGATCCCTATAATAGCACATATGTCCTTTCCCAAATTGTGTCTTTGCTCCCCTAACCCCATTCTTGGCAGAAGAAAAAACAAAACATCTCTTGACTTGAATATTTGCTTATTTTAGAAACCGACACAATCACCATAAACTTAAAAAAAAAATAAATCAAAATGTTGTTTTCACTGGGTTGACAGCTATCTGCTTCAAGAATTCTCTAAGCATGTTGTTGAAAACCAGTGTAACATCTTTAGGATCTTTCTCCCAACTGACCAGTCTTCCTGTGAATCATTTCAGCAGTTCCTTTGTGGCAATGTTTACAAAGCATCTTCTAAGTCCTCTAATTCTATGAGCTTTGCTATCAAAATAGTGAAGAATAGGAAAGGGGGAGGAAAAAACTAGCTGACAGCTGTTTGGAAATCAGCAACAATGTGAAAGAGAAATGTATCTCATGAAAGTTTGAAAGACATGGAATAAATGAGCTCTTTGGAAATTTGCCCTGGCGGAGTGAAGATTCCCACTTTATCTTCTTAGGCAAGATAAAGATCCACCTTATGTAATTACACAGCTTTGTTTAAGCATCCTGTAAAAGACTGAAAAATCAACTGTCTTCCTAACTCTACAGGCAAACTAGAAAAAGGATCTCCCTGCTTACTGGTCCCTCAGGATGTTTTCCTGAAAAGAAAACCAGCTTAGAGATACTGGATTTTCTTCTATGACAAAGTGTCCTCTTAAAGTCCAACCGAAACTTGTTTGCACACTTACACTTCTGAAAGCCTAGGTCCGACTATAGGGCTGATACCGGGAGAGAAGTGAAGTAGCTGGGTGGTGAGGAAGTGGTCTCTCCTTTCACATCTCTGTGCAGTCATGATATCAAGACCCCTTGTGGACATCTCTATTCCATTCCTCAGTCAGTGACACCACAGAGCTCTGTTTGATACCGGGAGACTTAATGCAGTAAAAGTGACAGAAAGTGCAACTGATAGTAGGATGAAAATTATAATCTTCAAGGATTATTGAGCCATGAGATCTGCAATGCTATCGTAGGGTTTCTGATCCTGATGTGGGTCTCTGTCCAGGATCCTTGAAGAAATTATGGCACCCACATCCAACCCTAACATAGCTTCCACTTATGAAACAAGGAGGTTGTAATCAACTCTTGGTATGTAATAAACTGGAAGTTCAAAAATGTAATTTAAAACAATCTAAAAGAATGTAATGTTGGTCTCCATTGCACAGACTGCTAGGGGAATATATCAACTTGATTTGGGGAGGCTGTAGAGGTATATAGAGGAGTATATGGGTTAAACCTTAATGGACCATCAGTTTCAGAGAAGAAGCAATTTTTTATTGTAGCTGATGGCAAATGCTTTTAGAAAAGAATGAAAGCAGTCGGTCCCTGTGGATGACAGACTTAGAGCGGCCATGGTTAAAAATCTCATGGAGTTTATTATAATAATAATGTAATTGACAAAGAAATTTGTTTATTTCTGTGGCATACAAAACTTGAAGATAATAACCAAGATTATGACCGATAACATATCAGATTTTGAAGAATTTATTTTGTAACACATATCAATAACATTCTGAAATACAACTTAAAGAAGGTTTAGCACCACTTAGTATTTGACAATACTCCCTATATAATTTAATATATCAAGTAAGTCTCATTAGTTTAATATATCTCTTTACAATGTGAGATACACATTCTTTGATCTTTCCAGGGGTCCAAATGAGAAATATCAAAATTAACTTGAGGGCAAAAAGAGTTAATTTAAAATATTATTTTGGGAAGTTTGTCAAAAACATCAAACAGTTTAAAACACTTTATCAGAGTACGATAACAGGTAACCAAAATGAAAATTAAAAGATTTCAAAAAATAAATGTAGAAATTTACATAATTGTCAACAAAAACATAGCTTTTTAATACTGAGAACATTTACTTTTCTCTTTTTTTAACTTTTATTTTAGGTTCAGGGGTACACATGTGGGTTACTTACGCATTTATATAGGTAAATTGTGTGTCACGGGGTTTGGTGTGTAGATTATTTCATAACCCAGATAATAAGCATAGTACCCAGTAGGTAATTTTTAAATTTTCATCCTCCTTCCTCCCTCCACTCTAAAGTAGGCCCAGTGTCTGTTGTTCCATTTGTGTCCATATGTACTCAATGTTTAGCTCCCCTTATAAGTGAGAACATATGGTATTGGGTTTTCTAGGATAATGGCCTCCAGCTCCACTCATGTTGCTGGAAAAGAGATGATCTCATTCTTTTTATGGCTGCATAGTATTCCATGTTGTATATCTACCACATTTCTTCATCCAGTCTACCACTGATGGGCATTTAGGTTGATTCCATGTCTTTGCTATTGTGAAAAGTGCTGCAATGAACACACACGTGCATGTGTCTTTATGGTAGAATGATTTGTATTTCTTTTGGTATATACTCAACAGTAGGATTGATGAGTTGAATGGCACTTCTGCTTTGAGTTCTTTGAGAAATGGCCACACTGCTTTCCACAATGGCTGAACTACCTTACATTCCCACCATCACTGTATAATCATTCCCTTTTCTCCACAACCTCACTAGCATCTCTTATTTTTTGAGTTTTTAATAATAGCCATTCTCATTGGTGTGAGATGGTATCTCATTGTGGTTTTGATTTGCATTTCTCTAATGATTAGTGATGTTGAGCATTTTGTCATATGCTTTCTGGCCACATGTATGCCCTCCTTTGAAAGTGTCCGTTCATGTACTTTGTGTACGTTTAAATGGGATTGTTTGTTTTTCACTTGTTGATTTTTTTAAGTTCACCAGATGCACTGTGCTGGGGTTCTGTGATAGTCCCTAATTGCTGTGCACCCTCCCAAGCCTGAGAGCAGCAGGAGGGAGGGTTGCGAGACAGCAAAAAGGTGGACTGCCTCTCTCTTTGGGAGCTGCATGCCGGAGAAGTGTAGAGCTGCTCCCAGCTGGAGAACTCAGGAGGACTAGGGTGGCCTCACTAGCATCCCAGGCTAGTGGGCCTTATCCTACAAGGTTCAGTGGTGGTGAGGTCTGCAGTCTATCACTGCTCAGCCCCATGGACTTGGCCCCTTTTCTGGGGAGCGTGCAAGAAAACTTGGCCTTCCCAATTGCTGGAGCTGCAGCCCCTGGTTTTGGGGTACCCAGGGAACAAATGCTACTGGGACTCCACACCTACCTAAGAAGCAGCTCTACCCAGACTCCACATGGCTCTCTGTTTTGGTCTGGAGACCCCAGCTGGGGTATCTCCTGAGCCCAGGGATTCAAAGGTTCGTGGCAGAAATATGCATCCCACGGGACTCTCACTCACTCACCATTTTCTTGTAGGGGGATTCCCCTGGGTCTGTGCCACTCCTGGGTGAATGGTTGATCTGTCTCACTCTTCTCCGTGATCCGAAGGTCACACTATGTCACTGATGAATCCTTATGTGTCCACCTGGATGTTCCGGTTGAAGAGCTAGTGTCTCACCACTCTTCCTGCTATTTGTGAGAGTGGCACACACTAGCTGCTTCTAGTCAACCATCTTGGCCCCACCTCACTCACTTTTCTCAAGTAATCAAAGACCTAGTAAAAGAGAGCATAAAGCATAAGAAATTACCTTGATAAACAAAAAATCTTGGTTTATTAGGCCAGTTATCTAAAAGGTAGAGAAAACATTTCACTATTGTCTATTAAGAGCAGGTCAATACTCAAAGAAAAGCTTGTTGTTTCAGCACAGGGGACAAATTTCAAGTTTTCCATTCCTGTACTTTTGATAATAATGCTCAAGTTTTCAGAATATTTATAAATAATTTCCTTTTAACTTTAGCCAACTTGGTCACACATAAAATTCTTTTCACAAGATTAATCTTCCACAAACTTTCTATAAATTTGTCATCCAGTTATCTTATTCAGTTTTTGTCTATATTTTTTCTCTTTTTCTTTTTGGAACAGTAAGACATTCTACTTTTAGACAAAAAATACTCTCTTTTTCCCTTAACAAAAACACAACCTCTTACTTATAACTTTCTGTATGTGTTTTCCTTCCCTCACGTACAGATTTGTTTCCCTTCATTATTTCTAGTTTAAATTACTCTAATATTAATTTTAATTAACTCTTAGTAACCTTAATTTCTAGTGAAAATTAGTAAGCATTTTGAAGTGCATCATGTTAGTATTTTGCAGATGAACACCATCTCATAAAATAATTTTTATGCCTTTAATTAACAGGCCCAAATATGTTTAGCTTTTCCATAACATGTGAAACCAAGATGCCAAATTACGTATATTTTAAACTTCTGTTAAGCAATTGATATTTCAGTATTTTCCTTAGAAATGACTCAAATATTAAATCAGTAAAGTGTTACTTAATTTAATATAACATGATTTTAAGATTTCAAGTCACACTAAATTATTTTTGAAATTCTGACAACTTTATTATCAACCTTTTGTCAATTTATATTCACCTAATTCACTTGTTCTTAACAATTGTGCTTCAGTTCCTCCTTAAACACAAGGATGAGTGGATTTATAGCTTTAAGACATTCATTATACATCTCAGTAATAGCAAGCTTGTTTCACCAGTAACTTTAGGTTTAAAAACTGTATCTGTACATTGTAATTAATGCTGACAATTCTGAAAATATTTGTTTTTATTTTGCCAACAAATTTTAAAACTAGCTTTGTCTGCCAAAGATTATTTCATCACATAAGCCAAAAGGCAATTGAGTTTCTGTTTTTCTGAGAGAATTCTTAGTTTAAACACTTATGTTTTCTCTGTAAGCCAATTAAGTAGAGCCGTTTATGAATTTTGGTAGAAAAAATTGTACATACGCACACACACACACACACACGTAGAAAAATACAGACAGAGGAAGAACTTACAACTTGCATTAAGAATTGTTATTTGCCTGGCTTGCAAGTAGTTTTACTCCCTCTTTCAGACTATCTGTCTTTTAATGATCTGTTCAATTGGCCCATAAACAAGTGTTAGTTAGGCCACCCAAAATTTGTACTTCCAAAGAGATGATTTTTAGGTGAAGGAATGTAGAAAATTTAAATCTCAAAGGTACAGAACTTAAACACCACTATTTGTTGAGATGAAAAAAAGCATATATAGGAAGCCTTCAAAATGAAATGGTCAAGGGTGAGTTTACACAGATAGATAGATTTAGGTCTCTTCCTTTTGCTTTGTGAAAGCATCTAGTGTTTTAGGTGTCAGAGAGGGAGATATCCTTACAAAGCAGAGATTATCATTACAGGTTTACATTTCTTACAAAGAGTTTCAAAATAAACAGGTAAATGCCAAAAACGTATATTTTGGAGACGGATTAATTCACTAGTTGGTCTATTCAACTTAACTTGTTTCCTAATGAGATTAAATTCATGCACAAATAACCAAACCAAAAATTAAACCAAAAGAATACTCACCAGAAAGGATGTCCTTTACAAGAGCAGATCCCCCAAAATGTAAGAGTTCACTGAAAAGGTGGGAGCTCAAACCAAGAGAGGACTTATCTCGCAGCATAAAGACAACTTGTACAAGTGAAGATCACAATAGGCTCAGGTGAGTATCATACACAATTTCAAGTATCGCCAGATACTTGAAAGCCTTCCAAAGGCTTTCTTTGTTACTGTTTGGATAACAGTGCTGTAACTGTAAGTAACAAAGAAGGCTTGGAGCCTTTGCATCTTGCTTCTGACATTAGATTATGTCAACTTAAACAACAGAGATACTGACTCTCTAAAATAAAGAGTGTATTCAGGAAATAGCAGTAAATTGCAATTTGAAATACACATGCTATGGTGGACCTTAGGCACCAAAGAAGCTGAGGGACTGTATTAGTTTGTTCTAGCACAAAGAACTACCTGAGACTTGGTAATTTATAAAGAAAAGAGGTTTAATTGACTCATGATTTCATAGGCTGTACAGGAAACATGATTGGAGGAGGCCTCAGGAAACTTACAATGATGGCAGAAGGCAAAAAGGAAGGAGGCACGTCTTACATGGCCGAAGCAGGGGGAAGAGGGCAAAGGGGAAATACCACACACTTTTCAACAAGCAGGTCTCATGAGAACTCACTATCACAAGAACAGCAAGGAGGAAATCCACCCCCATGATCCAATCGCCTCTCACCAAGCCCCTCCTCCAACATTGGGGATTACAATTCGACATGAGATTTGGGTGGGGACACAAATCTAAACCATATCAGGAAGGCAAAAATCTTAAAAGAGAAATTTTATGTAAGTTTTGTAATAAACCTCATGGGCCAGAGAAGCTTGTTACAAGAGTTGGCAAATACTCATTGATAATATTGGCTGTTGCTGGAGAGATGTCTTCATAGAATTATCATATCTAACATTTTCGTGGTTTTTGAGAGAACCATTGCAGCAGTTCTTATTATAGACATATGTACATGAAGGCCCCTCTTTCATGGCCTCCCAGCTTCATTTTTTTATGGTTTGATGTAAGTGACTCCATTTTGGTGCTCACAACTTCCACATTTCTCCCTTTTGGTTGAAATATTTTTCTGAAAGCATTTCACACTTAAAAGATATAGATTGGCCGGGCATGCTGGTTCATACCCGTAATCCCAGCACGTTAGGAGGCGGAGGTGGGTGGATCACCTGAGGTTGGGAGTTCGAGACCAGCCTGACAAACATGGAGAAACCCCATTTCTACCAAAAATACAAAATTAGCTGGGCGTGGTGGCACGTGCCTGTAATCCCAGCTACTCAGGAGGCTGAGGCAGGAGAATCACTTGAATCCAAGAGGCAGAGGTTGCAGTGAGCTGAGATCACGCCATTGCACTCCAGCTTGGGCAACAAGAACGAAACTCCATCTCAAAAAACAAAAACAAAAACAAACCAACAAAAAATGAAATAATTGTAAAAACCAACTATAGTTCTCAGTAATGATAGTTTCATTACCGTCAGCTATTAGTAGAGTTAATTAACTCCTATCAACCTCACATTTTCCATTTAAAAAATGCAGGAGAAAAAGTTTGATGTGGGTTTAATGAGAAAATTTATATAAAATAGATCTAACTACTATATTTATCACAAAACAGATGCACAAACTATGTTTTTTTCCTCTCACTTGTTCTTATTTTATATATCATTTTAATTGAGGAAATCATTGAGCATAATGTAACAAATATTTTCATAAGTTATTATAAAGAGGGTTGAAGGACTTGTTAGAAAGTGTCTGGCAGTGGAAAAAACATCTGAATAGAAAATGAAAATAGCATGTGAATGCTGAAATAGCGTATTAAATAGCTGCAACTCTAATATAATTTACATTTGGATTTTAGTATAGACAGAATACTTAAATTTATTTCTGCAGTCTTTTCAGTTGTTAAACATTTTATTGAACTCTTCATGTGCCTTTCAGATGTATTGTGCTTCAAGTGTGCTTGTACCAGCTTTTTCTGTTTAGAAATGCTTGAGTGTCTCCATTGTCAAAACGATCAGAAGGCAGTAATTGTATTTCCAATGTGAGGACAAACAATACTAGATATCCTGCGATCCTACATTGTAAAAAATATTCCCATCAAATGCCCCAATGGATAGCCACGTAAGTGATCATCTGTAATTATTTAGTCAAGAAATGAATATTTTACATGTAAATACTTTGAATGGCTTAATACAAACTAAATTTTTCAGAATGCAACCACTATGGAAATTGAAGAGAAAAAGTCTTTTTATTGTAGAAACTTCCCAGAGTCTTTCAATATTTACAAAAATTATGTTGCCAATGGCAATACCTTAGTTATTTGAATCACCAGTAGAACACACTATAAAAACATGCATTGTCACATCTGTACCCTGTCACATCCAGGATAACGATAATATTGAGATATATAACTATTTAGCCCTTATTTTAAAACATCAGGTAACAAGCATCAATCAATTTCTATCAAATGTTTCAACTTGGGTATTACAGCATAAGCAGAAATATACTGTTACCAATATCCCAGCCAATTTCTTTTCCTAATGAAACAATAAAACTGAGAATATAGAGACCATTTAGTAAAGCTGATATATATATATATATGTTTGCATATGTGTGTGTGTGTATATATACATATAAATGTAATTAATACAGTAGGTGAGGTCAAAGAAGCAAGTGATACACAACTTTTAATTTGGATGGGATGTCCTTGAAGATTCCTGTATTAGTCCTTTCTCACATTCCTATATGAAAATACCTGAGACTGAGTAATTTATTAAAGAAAGAGGTTTAATTGACTCACAGTTCCCTATGACTGGGGAGGCCTCAGGAAACTTACAATCGTAGTGGAAGGTGAAAGGGAGGCAGGCACTTTCTTCACAAAATGGCAGGAAAAAGAAGGATGGAAGGAGGAACTTGCCGAACAGTTGTAAAACCATTAGATCTCGAGAGAACTCACTCACTGTCATGAGAACAGCTTGGGAGAAACCACCTCCATGATTCAATTACCTCCACCTGGTCTCTCCCTTGACATGTGGGGATTATGGGGTTTACAATTCACCATGAGATTTTGAGTGGGGACACACAGCCAAACCATATCAACTCCTAAATCTTAATACACTTTATTACTAGCTGATATGATTTGGATCTGTGTCCCTTACCAAATCTCATGCTGAATTGTAATCCCCAATGTTGGAGGTGGGGTCTTGTGGGAGGTGATTGGATCATGGGGGCAGATTTCCCCCTTTGATGCTGTATCATGATAGCATCCTCATGAGATATGGTTGGTGAAAGTGTGTGGCACCTTTTCTCTTCCTCTCAGTCCTGCTTCTGCCTTGCAAGATTCGTGCTTCCACTTTGCCTTCTGCCATGAGTAAAATCTCCCTTTCGCCTCCCCAGAAGCAGATGCTGCTATGCTTCCTGTTCAGCCTGCAGAACTGTGAGCCAATTAAACTTCTTTGCTTTATAAATTACCCCATATCAAGTGTTTCTTTATAGCAGCAGTGTGAGAACAAGCTAATACACTAGCCTTCTTGAATACATCTTAGCAAGCTCTCGAGCAGCGTAACCACATAGATTAGAGAAGGCCAAAACTGACAGATTCCCATCTTGACCAAAGTTTAATCATTCTTCTCCAGTCCCTCTTCTCAGGCCCAGTTTAACAAAGACGCCTGCTAAGCCAGTTCACTGAGAATCACTTCGCCCTGGATATCTTATCACTTTGGCATGCCTTTAGCAATAATGCAGTTTAGCAAGAACCCCGCTCCCCGCCACCCCACCCCCCGCCACCCTTAATATCTAATTAGTTTCTATCCACTGACTCACTCCCTCAGCTCTTTGCTTATAAATTTCCAGCTCCATGCTGGGAGAAATTTTAGTTCAATCTCTCTCTACTATAGCTATATTATTCCCCCATTGCTATAGTCCTGAATAGTCTTCCTTGCTATTTTTAACAAGCATCTAGTGTACACATTTCCTTTTGACAAAACATAGTGTCCATATGTAGAGGGAAGAGGAAAGCTAACAAAATATAAAGTCATCCAAACCACACACACCTTGGACAAGCTTATCATGTGTGGGAATAAAATGCTGGAGGTGGGTTTGGCTTCCCCCCCAAAAAAAGTGTGTAATTTGAAATTTCATATCAAGAACAGTTAAATTCCCAGATTCTTTATCATTACTGAATACCTTAGTAATTATTCTTCATTTAACACAACAGGAAATAGGAGATTTATTTTCTGGAGAGACTTGTCCAATTAAAGTGGGGATATGGTTGCTCCGTTGAGCAGAAATTTGGCTTATATAGACCCAAAGCTCAGAAAAAGAGTTATAGATCTAAAATGACAATCATTGAGACAATAAAGTTCATGGAAACCACGATGGGAAGCATCTACGTGGAAATAAAAAGTTGGATTTTCAGTAGAGAAATTGGTAACAATGTAAATTTCCTCTTAATGTCAGGTGAGAACTAATTCTGAAGTCAGAGGAGGAAAGTAGCCTACAACAAAGAGTAAGATCATCTTGACAGGATCAGGGAGAAAGATAATAGTTGCAAATGGAGACAGGTATATTGATTTAGTGCCAGGTAGTTGAAAGACTATGAGTATAAAGACTTATATTTTCTCTGTGTTGCAGTAGCAAAGTCATCTGCAGAGAGAGAGAAGTGAGAAGGGAGAAGAGAGTGTCAGAAATTAGAGGATTGTAGAGATTGAAAAAGTTATGTCAGGCACAATTGAAAACCCGGTTTCCAATGGTGATCATCGTCTTAAAATATTATCAGTTTGTTTTCTTGCATGACATTCTTCAGCAGCAGTCATGGACTGAGAAATATGCAGAAATCAGATAGTTGAGTTCATCTAGAGAAGAGGTTGCAATGTGCTTCTAAAAAGGACAAAACCAAAAGCAACCGAGAGAGAGAAAGAGAGAGAGAGAGAGAGAAAAATGAAGATGTGAAAGGGGATAGGTCAAAACTCAGTAATTTTTTTTAAGCAAAGGGCCAGATAGTAAATATTTTTATTTTGTGAGCCATATTGTCTCTGTAGGAAGTACTCAGTTCTCCCATGTTCTGCAAAAGCAACCATGGACAATAAGAAAATGTGGCTGCGTTCCAATAAGAATTTATTTAAAAAATAGGAGATGGATTGTATTTAGCCCAAGGGAAGCAGTATGTCAATTCTGGTTTTATGTTACTGGCAATTACATTTTAAAATATTCAGTAATTGAATCTACAATATCGATTCCCAACTATTGCTGCATATTAGTATCATAATAGAATGCCAGGTCCCAGAGACACTGGGTCAGCCAATCTCAATTGGGGCCAAGGCACTCATATGTATCTTTGGAACCTCCTCAGGCAATTCTAACATAAAGCCAGTGTTGAGAAGAGCCATTGTTAGTTTGCTTGTGGGAGTAACTGACCGCAGGAGGATCATAATGCTATAGGCAAAGGCTGAGGCACCAGTGGATTGAAAGTCTTAGTGAGGCAGGAGAACAGCTGCAGTGGGAATTGTTGCCACACTGAACAGACAGGAGATTGATCAAAGAGTGGTGTGCTTATTTAGTCATTTAAGAGGAATATCATGTTTTGTCATTATACATTTCATGGGTTTGGTAAGCAGCCTCTAAAATTGCTCCATGTCACTTGTACCCCTGGTAGAGGTAACTCCTTGAGGAATCTTCTACTCTGTTGTCCTAGTTGAATTTATCTCACTTCACTATCAAATAGACTGTGGCAGAAGTGATGGATATCACTTCCAACATTAGATTGCACAAAGACTGTGGCTTCTGTCTTGGGAATCCTCTCTCTCTCTTTCATTGTAAGGGAAGCTGACTTCTATGTTGAGCGCTGCCTATTAAGAAGTCCACATAGCACGGAGCCAGTGTCACCAGTCACAGCCAGCAAGGAAGGACCTGGGGACTGCCCCCAGCCACATGATTAATCTTAGAAGTGAATCTTCCCTAAGTAAGGCTTTTAAATGATGGCAGCCTTATGAGAGTCCTTGAGCTAGAGGGCCTTACTAATTCTGATATAGTTCTTGACCCAGAGAAGTTGGCATAATGAATGTTTGTTGTTTTAATCCACTAAGTTTTGGAGGTAATATGTTAAGCATCAACAGATAACTAATAAAAGGAGTGATTCTGAGCAAGAAAGCCTTAAATGGAGGGAAGCTAAGGTCAAATAGTTTATGAATATCATCCTGTAAGAATACAGGGCTTGGAGCTTTGAAGGTGGGAGCAGAAAAAAATTTATGTAAGCTTGTCATTAACAATATGACTAAAAAAGTTCATTATACTGAAGGATAAATGCTTACATGTGCCTCAGAGAATAGATGTTTTTATTCCTGGGAAGAAAGATAAACTTTTTCAAAAAACATAAAGATTAAGTAGGATGCAGTTTCCAGCTTTGGATTCTGACATTCAGGACATGGGGAGGGTGATGAGCTTCTCCTGGAGGACTGAATTTAGGACACAATCAAGTTCATGATGGAAGCCCTTATGAGGTAGAGAGGGAGTGCATCTCAGCTCTTTCGATTAATTAAATGATTGCTTGAATTGGAGAAGGTGTGGGTATTTTGTGTTGTTTGGGTGAGTACATTGGAATGGTTTTCTAGCATTCCTTTGAGATTTTCCACAGTATAAGTTAAGGTAAAAGAACATTTTTACTTGTTTCAGAAAGCATACTGAGGAAGCTTTAATGTTACTATTAAGTAGGTAGGGAAATGACCAATATTATAAACGCAGATTTCCAGCCTCTCCTTTTAATGCTTTCAGAATGATTCCACAAGAACCTTGAAAATGTTGAGTATTTATATTTATTTTATGCCCTTTTATTGTGATTTTTTTAATAAATAACATTTTTTTGGTAAATACTGGAAGTTAATATTCTATAGTTCAGAAAAGCAATTTTGAACACTCAACTAGTGAGCCCATATAAAACTACATAACGGCACAGAATATAGTAAAATAATAATATAATGAACTGGGAGACAAACTAGGCACTGTGTGCCAAGTTTTTCAAGGAAGATACAATTTCAATACCAATGAAATAAACTCCCACAAATTGATTTTTCTTTGTGTGCACTCATCAGTGTAAATACAATTAAGTAATAAAGCCTGTACTTGTTCAGGAAAGATGTTTTCTATTCATAGTCTGATATCTGGGTGCTTTGGTTTCTGATAATTTGTTATGTAAAAACCCTGCAAATTAAAAAAAAAAAAAATCAGCAGCTCCAAGTTCATGGGCCCTTATCACAGAGGATTTAAAACCTGTGCATTTTCTTTAAACTGAGAATATTATTACATTTTTTAATCCAGTGATGAGACCATAATAGTTTTCTGAAATAATTCAGAATAATTATATACCTAAAAGTTAATTTGCATGTGCTGTAATTTAAATAAAAGGACAGTTAATTTTTGCATTACAAAACATGAAAAATAAAATCAAACGTTGCATCTTTACTTTTATTACATAAATTCCTTTACATTGTAGTGCCCCCTAGCACCACGCAAGTTTATAAACTGCTTTCAATATTAATTATGTTATTATAATAATAACTAATTTAAGAATGTATTATTAAAGTCAGTAATTTAATAATAATAATTTCAATAATATATGTGTCACAAAAATACCTGAAATTACAATTAGTATGTCCGGTTTACTGATGGGAATACTGTGGCTCAAAAACATCATCTCAGGCAGGGTGTGGTGGCTAACTCATGTAATCCCAGCACTTTGGGGGTCCAAAGCAGGTGGATCGCCTGAGATCAGGAGTTTGAGACCAGCCTGGCCAACATGGTGAAACCTCATCTCTACTAAAGTACAAAACCGGTCCGGCATGGTAGTGCACACCTGTAATCCCAGCTACTCGGGGGGCTGAGGCAGGAGAATCACTTGAACCCATGAGGAGGAGGTTGCAGTGAGCCAAGATCACACCACTGCCCTCTAGTCTGGGTGACAGAGCGAGAGTCCTTCTCAAAAAAAAAAAAAAAAAAAAAAATCATCTCACCCAAATCATGTAGCTACAAAGTTATGGTTTAGAATAATTCAACTATTTTACTGAAATCAAAACTTTTACTATTAACCAATCAGTTACACTCAGCTTTGTGTAACTGAATACCAAATAACATCATGTTCCAGTAATTTTCATTTGAGTGAGAAGGGAGCACACTGGTACCCTGGACACACCCAGATACACTAAATCAGAATCTCTAAAACTTGGTGACTGTAAAAATAATTTTATTCTGAGTCTGAAACATATGCTCCGTGTTTCTTAGCAAGTTTCTGCAGCACAGGAGTCAGGTGAGGGAAGGTAGCGCCCCACTCCTGGTTATGGAAGGCAGAGGGTGAGTTCTGCTGCACATATGAAGCTATGGAGAGAGCAAGACTGCATAGGAGCAGGGTACAGTCTCTGGATATAGAAGACAGATAAACCTGGGTTATAGTTGACCCAGTGGAAAATTATAGGCCAAGAATAAGTTTCCAGATACCTTAATAGGACTGGGCATTTGATAAATTTTGAAAGTTCTCTGATAACTCGTATGTGCAGTGTAGGCTAAGAACTCATGGAAACAATATAGACATTTTTTGCCTCTCAGGGATATGCAGACACCCCAGTTCAGATATGATGTCTTCATGATCATCAGAAATCCAGATGGCTATTATCTTGTTGCTTTGCACCTCCAAGTACTGCTGCTTCTCATGTTGCCCCATGGCTGCCCCAGATCTAGCCATCAGAGCTGCCTTTCCAAGAAGGAAGAAAGCACAGAGATAGGACATGCCCCCTGCATGTAAGTCAGCTTCTCAGAAGTTACACGCGTTACTTCCCCTTACACAACATAGGTCAGAAATTGGTCACATGTGTCATGCCCTATGTTAAGAAAAGATTGGGAATATAGCATTTATTCCTGGTGATCATGTGTCCGGCTAAGCATTAGAGGACATTTTTACTGATGGCGAAAGGGTCAATGGAGATTGCAGTGAACCAGCCATCTCTGTCCAATAGGCACTTTATTTGGTGACAATAATTATAGGAAAGGTAGCACTAGACAGTTTTAATTCATTGAAGTTATTTTGGGTTTTTCTTGTTACTTTGTTTGTTTGCTTATTTGTTTTATCCTTCAGAGAAATGCTAGAAATTTAGTAATTAAATTAAATATTTCATTGAACACAAAAGCATAACATTATGGAAAAGAGTAACTGTTGTTTGGTTTTATTTATATATGTTAGTGTTTATACTGACTAATCTCACCAATGGAGACAGACAATTTCTAAGATTTATTATAGGCATTGTGTTTGGATCTTTCTTTCAGAAAAGTAAAAATCAGCTTAACCCAAAAATTATTTTAATAATAATTGGCATATCCAGCTTCATCCATGTCCCTACAGCGGACATGAACTCATACATTTTTATGTCTGCATAGTATTCCCATGGTGTATATGTGCCACATTTTCTTAATCCAGTCTATCATGGATGGACATTTGGGTTGGTTCCAAGTCTTTGCTATTGTGAATAGTGCCGCAATAAACATATGTGTGCATGTGTCTTTATAGCAGCATGATTTATAATCCTTTGGGTATATATCCAGTAATGGGATGGCTGGGTCAAATGGTATTTCCAGTTCTAGAAGCTGGAAACCATCATTCTGAGCAAACTATCGCAAGGACAGAAAACCAAACACCGCATATCCTCACTCATAGGTGCAAATTGAACAATGAGAACACCTGGACACAGGGTGGGGAACACGACACACCGGAGCCTGTCGTGGGGTGGGAGGAGGGGGCAGGGATAGCATTAGGAGATATGCCTAATGTAAATGACGAGTTAATGGCTGCAGCACACCAACATGGCACATGTATACATATGTAACAAACCTGCACATTGTGCACATGTACCCTAGAACTTAAAGTATAATAAAAATAAATAAATAATAATTGGCATATCCAGAACCCTTTGCTGTCTTCTGCTACATTTGCACAAATTCACAGCTATTTGAATACCAGTCATTGTCAATCCTGGTCAGCTTTGAAAATACTGTTCCTTAGTTTTGCTCTCTGCCTAATTTACTTGGATTGAGGGGAAACCCAGGAATCAGTTGATTTGAGTACGTAGCCAATGTTGTAAAGAACTAATTGCTTTAACTTCTAATAGAAAAATATCACTATTTTTTTTAAAAAGTTACATAATTCATGTGTAGGAACATAATCCTTTTAGCCTAGAAGTAAAAAATGATATAGTCTTGCCCTATAGCACTGATCATGGCCATATATAATTTATAATAACCAAAATAATGACAATATTTTGGTACAGCATGCTCTATTAATTTGAATGCTCACGAGTTAACACATAATTCAATGTGATATGTATTAGGTTATAGAAAACCATGAGGTAAAAATCATAGGCTGCATTGAACTTTCTACTTCCCCAACTTTGCCTCATTATAGGGAGGGATGCAGCCCTAGAGTTCAAGAATTCCATAAAGACCAACCTGAAATTCTGGTGCCTGGCATCTTGTCACACCTTCTTCCAATACACAAACATCAAGGAGTGTAGAAGTTGAACATGGTCTGTTGTCACTGCCTCAAAGAATCCACTTCTAGCTTGTTCACACTAGGGTGTGAACATTTAAAGAGGGTAGGGAAGAACCACCTGGGTGGATTTTCACTGGGGATCTTATAATAAACTCTCAAAATCCCAGATTGAGACAAGGGAAGGGATGCTCAGTCGTATGTAATTAGGAAAAAGAGAGGGATTTTGAACCCACCCCTGCATCATCTAAGTCAAATAGAGCCAGTGTAACTGTTGGGACCGTTGCAGGTAGGGTGTGCTAGGTACCAAGCCGCAGTTAGGTAACCAATGACTTTTACAAGCTTATTTTCATCTCAGTACACCACATGCTTCATGTGCCACGTGCATGTATGTAAGTTACACATCTAAGATTATATTATTGGGTTACACTACCATGAATTATCTAAGGAAAACAGAATGATCATCATTGTGTGTGCAAAGACGACTTCTGAAATTAATACCAACAAGAGATTTCTTCTTTGCATATTTTCAAGCAGAAAGTGGACTAAATTATATCATTGGAGCATGACGTCTCAAAAAATATTTATTGCCAAATAATTCTTTACTGCTAAAAATTATTTATTGCATGAAATAGAAAAGATCTGAGACTGAAACTTCCATTTAAAAACATGATTTAAAAAAATAGAGTAATTACATAACAATTATGAAACTCAGATGCCAGAGTCAGAAATCAAGAAATTAACTATGTCAAGCAATTACAATATGATTACAAAGGCCCTTATATATTCATACAAGCTTTTTGCATTTTTTGAGCTAATTTTATGAAAAACATCAAAAGCCAGAAAACTAATGCTTAATGTATATTTTAAGGCCAAGAACAATATAGAAAAATTAATTTTCTCCTTAAAGTTTTTTAAGATATTTAAAGTAAACATTTTAAAAATTATTTAATCTGTGACCCAATTTGAATCACTTTGCTCTTCAGATTCCGATGTCTCCACAAAAATTCCGATGTCTCCTTGAAATTAGCTGATACATTATAAGAAATGAATGACTGTCCTGTCCTATTTGGGATACATATAAAAGTTACCCCAAAGGTTTAATTAGACAGTGAAGTACAAAAATACAGATTTGTAAAATATTAAATATATAAACAATATAAATCTCTATTTTGACAAGTGACTTGATAAACTAGGTTAAATAATTGTTAATAGAGTTGGGTAAAGGCAGTGATGTTGGTAAACTAGTGATCCAAATGAAAAGAAACTCGGCTGGGCACGGTGGCTCACGCCTGTAATCCCAGCACTTTGGGAGGCCAAGGCGGGTGGATCACAAGGTCAGGAGTTCAAGACCAGCCCGGCCAATATTGTGAAACCCCGTCTCTAATAAAAAATACACAAATTAGCCCAGCGTGGTGGCATGGTGCCTGTAGTCACAGCTACTCAGGAGGCTGAGGCAGGAGAATCGCTTGAACCAGGGAGGTGGAGGTTGCAGCGAGCTGAGACCACACCACTGCACTCCAGACTGGGCAACAGAGTGAGACGCCATCTCAAAAAAAAAAAAAAAAAAAAAAAAACCAGAAAAAAAGAAAGTCTTGATACATGGTGTATGCTGCATGTATGTAATTTACACTTCAAAGAGTAAGTCCTCCCACCATAGCTGTTTTCAAGTTATTACCATTTCAAGATACTAACTCCTGTGAATAGGAGGGTGAAGTCTTTAAATTACAGGAAATTGCAATAAAAGCCTGAGGCAAAGATATTTCAAGGGTTTTGGTTAAACAAAAGACACATTGGCTGGCATGAACAAGAGGAATCCACTATTGAAACCATCTTAGTCAATGGCAGGAAGACAGTGTTATGAGTCTACTGGTTACAGAAAATCTTTGTTTTAAAAACTCAGGTTTATCGAATTAAAATTTATATATGCCAAAAGTCATCTTTTTAAGTATGCAGTGTGTTGAAAACATAGATGGTTATATAACAAATACCATCCTCAAGATATAGAACAGTAACATCACCTAGAAAAATTCCCTTTTGTGCCTTTTGAATCAGTATTTCTGCTGCCCTCAGTCTTTGGAAATCGCTGTTCTTTGTCCCTATGGTTTTATATTTTCTAGAATGTCATACACAAGGGAGCAAACAGCATCCTGAATAGGCCTTTAAATCTGGCTTTTAAAATAGCATAATAAATCTGAGACACATTCATGTTGTTATGTTATCAGATTTGTTTCTTTTTCTTCCTAATGTGATATTAAATAGATACAGTATATAACTTTTTGACTATTCACCAGTTTTTGAAATTATGAATCATATGGTTAAAGTCACCAACAGATATACATATGTATATTACATATATGTATAATAATGTATGTATATATAATATATGTATATATACATATATGTATATAGTATACATATAAATCAGTGGATTCTTCAATTTTTTTATTGTCAAAATGATTTTTCCATTATAATTCCTTTGCTTCTCTGTTGAAAGTTTTAGAATGAGCTTGTTTGTTAGTTGCAAATATCCTGTTAGGAATTTTAACTGGATTGAACTTTTGTATTGAATTTTTTGTTTGGTTTGAACAGAATTAATTTATTGTCAATATTGGCTACCAAGCTCTTTACTTATTTACTTCTTCTTTGATTTCTTTTACCAGTGTTTTTTTAGTTTTTGTTACCCTTTCTCCATGTTTTTTTAGATTAAGAATTTAATGTTTCTTGTGCTACTTTAAATGTAACTTTAAAAAATTCTAATTTCCAATTGTTCATTAATAGTGTTGTAAAGTAGCGGGTCCCCCACCAGGGAATTTAAGGGCATATGTTGACTGCTTGAGTCCTGAAGGCTAGATGGTGAGCAAAGTTCATGGTGCTCAGCCGAGGAGCAGATGTCCCTGAAAACCAAAACATCCGGGAGCATATCTAGGTACATACCAAGAAGAACAGTTTCATCACATGTAGTAAGCAAAGAGCCAGAAAAGTAGCTTTGGCCGGGCGCGGTGGCTCATGCCTGTAATCCCAGCACTTTGAGAGGCCAAGGCGGGCGGATCACGAGGTCAGGAAATCAAGACCATCCTGGCTAACGTGGTGAAACCCCGTCTCTACTAAAAATACAAAAGATTAGCCGGGCGTGGTGGAAGGCGCCTATAGTCCCAGCTACTCGGGAGGCTGAGGCAGGAGAATGGCGTGAACCTGGGAGGCGGAGCTTGCAGTGAGCCGAGATCCCGCCACTGCACTGCAGCCTGGGCGACAGAGCGAGACTCCGTCAAAGAAAAGAAAAGAAAAGAAGAAAAAAAAGAAAAGAAAAGAAAAGAAAAGAAAAGAAAAGAAAAGAAAAGAAAAGAAGAAAAGAAAAGGAAAGGAAAGGAAAGGAAAGGAAAGGAAAGGAAAGGAAAAGAAAAGAAAAGAAAAGAAAAGAAAAGAAAAGAAAAGAAAAGAAAAGAAAAAAGTAGCTTAAAAGCAGCTTAGAGGAAGATGGTGGGCAGCAGGCGGATCTCTGGAGTTATCCCGCTGCCCTTTACGTAAGTCCTAATAAACTCATCTTCTCATGAAGCTGGACTTGTCTGAGTCCTTCTTTGTTATTTCAGCACTATCTCTTTGGCAGAGGGATGTTCTTCTACACAGGTCTGGGTTTTTCCTGCAACAATTATATATAAAAAATAATTCTGTATATTAACATTATAGTGTTATAGTGCATAGTGTGAAATTACAAAACTCACAATTTATTTCTAGTAGCTTCACTTTTAATAATTTTAATTATTTTGTACTCACAATTTATTTCTAGCAGCTTCACTGCTAATAATTTTAATTATTTTGTACATAATGGAATACTGTGCATAGACCATCCACGAATCAAATAGAGTTTTATTTCTTCGTATCCAATTTGTATGCCTTTTGTTTATTTTTCTTACTTTAGTACACTGGTTAAAATTTCCAGTATACAGTTAAATAGTTCTTGAGGACAGGTTTCCTGTACTTCTTTTCTTCGTGCCTGTGTATAACGTATATTTAACTATATAATACATACAACACAACTATGTTTGTCTTCATATAATTTTTTACCTTTTTTTTAGTTTGTTTACGTAGCCCCTATATCTCTAGAAATGTTTCTTGGATTTACGATTTGATTGCCTTCACTTCTTTTGGAAAATTCTCATTCATTTTGTTTTTAAGTATTTATCATCCTTGTTCTCTTTCATGAATCCGTTCAAGTTAGGCATCCAGAGCTGTCCTTCAGCTCTTGGATGCCATGTTCTGCTATTTATCACTCTTCTTGTTTCTTACTTGTATTTGTTATTCAATTTCTATGTTTTTTATCTTCAACTTTACTGTTCCATTCTTTATTCATATCAAGTCTTCTGATGAATTACTTCATTGGTGTTTGCATTTTGAGGTAGATACAACAGTATATCTATTGAGACATTAATTAGTGCAATTAAACCGAAGTTTAACACATTTTAAGTAAAAATTTATCCCACTATCGCATAAAACTTGTGAAAGTTAAAGTCATCAGCACTTAATATTGTCTGTCATGCGAGGCAATCGGCACTCAAGTGGCAAATGCACTCATTTAACTCTAAATTGGTACTTTAGTTAATCTCTCATATTGATTTTTTTAACCCTTAAACACTGGCAAAGAGAAGCATACACCTAAAGAGAGATTTTTTACATTATTGTTTATTTAGTTAGTTTTTAGAAACAAGGTCTCCTCTCTCTCCCAGGCTGGAGGGCTGTGGTGCAATCACAGCTCACTGCAGCCTCAAAATCCTGGGCCCAAGCATACCTCCCACCTCAGCCTCCCAAGTAGCTGGGATTACAAGTGCCTGCCTCAGTACCCGGCTACTTTTAAAACATTTTTTGATACACATAGAGTCTCAGTTTGCTGCTCAGGCTGGTCTCAAACTATTGGTCTCAAGCAATCCTCTTGCCTCAAGCTTCTGAAGTGCTGGGATTACAGGTTAACCAGGACACCTGGCCTAGAGGTTATTTTTTGTTGTTTTAATTTCTTTATTTAATAGTCTGTGTATTTAAATTTTGTTGACAATAATCTTAACAGCAACAATAGTATCTACTTGAAAGGTATGCATTCTATATATAATTCCTTAGATATAAATTTAAGTATAAATATTTGAAAACTCTTTAATTTTTTAATATTGTGTCCCATTTCTTAAAAAGGAGAGAAGCTATATTAACTTTTGAATTCAGTACACAGTTAACAGTTCTTTCATTTAATATGTGATAATATAAATTTAACAGTGAAACTTTCAAATACTCATATTAACTTACCCTGATAGATTTTATAGCTTTAATATAAAACTTCTCATAAATGTAAAATTTGACAAAGCACAATATTCTCCAGGAAGTTAGAAAAGTAATATAATTTTCTGTCTCTCAGAATGTGTTTTCTAACCTCTAAATATAAATTGATGGACTAATCTTTTAAAATTCAGAATCAAATATAATTGCTTTGGTTTGATCATTGAGAATTCTTTTTCCATTCCATCATTTTATAGTTTTTGCCTAAATAAAATACTTAAGGAAGTTATTGTTATGTTGTATTTGAAAGATGCCTGATGGAGAAACATTCATAGTTCTTTTCTATCCTTATGAAAGGTTATATGAAAACATATATATATGTGTATATATAAACATGTGGATAAAGTACAGAAAATCCTATCATTGCCTCTGACTCAAATGGTAATCTTTAATATAAAGATTTGAAACTTTCATGGAACAGTATATCAGAACTTTATTTCCAATTTGTTTATGTATACTTAACGTATATCCTAAGTATCAAGAAATCACATTCAATTAACATATACATTATAAAACAATTCCTATATGATAATTCTAATAAGTAAACATGATTTTAGTGGTAGTAATTATTCAATCAAATATTCATATTTTAAAGATTAAATCTTCATATTTTAAAGCACATTACATCAGTTTACAATTCGATATTGACTACTGGATAGAATTTATCAATGAAATTTTGAATATGGCATGGTTAATGCAGATCATGTGAATTAAATTGCAAGGCAGAGAGCTTTTAAATTAAAAAAATAAGCTGGTTTATAAATCCAGTGCTAGACAGTTAATAAAAGCAATACATATAAATCTCCCAGACACCTCCCAATCTTGGTATTTTGAAATATTTTCCTCTTTTTAATATTATTTAAATAAAAAAATTATCTGCCTTTAAGCAACAAAACATGAACTCTTGGTAGAAAATTCACTAATTGACATAGGTATCTAGACTTATAAACCTGTAAAAAATGTGAAATAGAAGGCATAAAGTATTTGAGTCAATAAATTACTAACTAAATCTTTTTTTTTTTTTTTTTTTTTTTGAGACGGAGTCTCGCTCTGTCGCCCAGGCTGGACTGCAGTGGCGGGATCTCGGCTCACTGCAAGCTCCGCCTCCCGGGTTCACGCCGTTCTCCTGCCTCAGCCTCCCAAGTAGCTGGGACTACAGGCGCCCGCCACTACGCCCGGCTAATTTTTTGTATTTTTAGTAGAGACGGGGTTTCACTGTTTTAGCCGGGATGGTCTCGATCTCCTGACCTCGTGATCCGCCCGCCTCGGCCTCCCAAAGTGCTGGGATTACAGGCGTGAGCCACCGCGCCCGGCCTTAACTAAATCTTTTGATTAAATCAGCTTTATAAAAAAAGTAAACGTAAACACATAAGTCTTTGTATAAGCACCCCTACATTTTTAAAAGTATATTTGCCTTTTCATAAACTCAGTTGAGTAGTGGTAACATTCATCATCACAACTTTTTAGAGGCAATGAAATTGATGTCATTTGAGGTCTTCATCTCATATTTATCTTTTATTTTCTTATTTTGTCATGTTTAGCAAAGGATAGTAAAAGTAGAGGATCATTCAACCCAGAAATACAGGGAAACTGATCCTTGTAAATAGCACCCTTTATAGACTAATGGATATTTTAAGAGCAAGATGTGCTAGAAAGGAAAATAAGGCAATCTCTTAATGCTGTGCCTTTTCTTCCATTACATTTTTAGATTATATATTATCCCTTGTTTATTGCTGTAGCTGGGGAAAATATTTTTATTGAAATAGATTGTTTTTTGAAGTTTGCTATATTAGGTAAAAATAAATACCAAACTTCTCTGTCTTCAGTTTAATAGAAAAAAAAAAATCCCTTGTTACTCTGTTTCTGCCTTACTGTTAGTAGAAAGATTTATGATTAAGTAATTTTAGTAGGACAACATTAAGAACAAAAACATGAACCAAAATACTTTTTAAAATAAATATACACATTTTTACTATATATAGACACATATATAAAAGTATATATACATATATGTATATATGTGACTTCAATAACAGGAAAATAGATTTTCCAGATGAAGAATCTAAACATCTCATCCATAACAAAAGGTTAGGCTCTATACCAATGCTTGAATGAAAACTGTAATATCATCCATTTAAAAAAATGCCAACACATGCATAATTTTAGGCTGTAAAAATGAAAATATTTCAGAATTGATTAACAAATGGTGGAAGTTAAAGTTGTCTCTTCCCGACCTGCACTTTGTTTTCTGTCTCTTGCCTTTTCTCACATTTTATTTTTCCTTCCTATCTCAACAATATACCCCACCTGCAGTGTGCCCAATGTGGACACATACCTGCTTTTTTCAGGCACTGTTTTGGACAACATTTCCCTACTGAGCATTAAATCACTTTTTCTTAAATACGTACTAAAGATTTCCATGGCTGAAAAGCTAGTTCCACATACATTAATAATCCTTGAAGAATTAAATCAGATACAACCTCTACATCAGCACAATATTTCAAGGTGGTAAGGGAGTGCTACTGCTGGGTTTGTCTTCACTTAATAACTTTATTAATGATGTGGATGAGTGAACAAATATGAAAAGAAAATTTATAGGTATTACATACGTAGATTCTGCAGAAACAAATAGGCTGGAAGGTAATGACTGTAGAATGACCTAGAGAGGTTAAAAAAAGAAAATAGTAGTCCAATATTATTCCACTTTTAAGTAAATGAGACCATTAAGCTCTTTAAAATAACCAGTAAATAAAAACTCAAAGCAATGATAGCTACATCAAAAAGTGAGGGAAGAGGGGAAATTATATGTTGCAATGTTACAGAGTACATTAAAGCATTCAGTATATTTCCTGAAAATTTCATAAGCACAGTTCTTAATGTTTATTCATAAATAAACAAAACCAAACCAAAAGCCATAGTTCATTTGTTTCTAACTAAGAGTACAAATTATTTATGCGGAAAAGTACATATAAGCTCACATAAATAACACGAATAATGTTTTCATTGTGAAGATATTCATAACGTTCAAATGACAAGGTCTTAGGAACTCTGCACCTTCATTAATTTTAATCAATATTTAACAATCAAGATTGTTTTCAATAAATCATGATCTAATAATGAAAGGGGGAAACTATTTGTTTTAACTTTCATTTCAGTTTTACCCTTTACTCACAAGTTGAAATTCATTCTCACTCTTTGCAAACTATTTTGAAACACTTCCAGGCAAAATTCATATAAATATTTTATTTTTCCTAATTTTTGGAAAAATTTTAGACTATTACAATCTGAGTTAATAGCCTAGTTCCTTTGTTGATCCAGTGTAAATAAATATTTCTCTTTTCTTGCTGTATTAAAAAACCCACAGTCTCTATAGCCAAGTCTATATCTATATCGATATCTATCTGTATCTGTATCTATCTATGTGTATCTCTATCGATGTATGCATACACAAATAATATCTGTGGAAGAATTTTTTTTCATGTAGTGTAATATCCACAGCTCTTCTACTTTAACCATAACTCAAGTTAATAACATTTTATTGTCTTTTGTTAGTTTTACCTGGAAAAGAAAGCACATCATATACAATATTATAAAATAGAAATAAAACTAAATATAGCGTTTTAGAAGGTAACAAAGTTTTATGTTTAAGGATATTAAATAAAATCTATTTCTTCCAGTATATTTTTTCACAATCTGTCTTAAATGGAATCTTCAGATATCTTAACAAGTTGACTACTAGATTTTGTAGTGTATTCCAATCAGATATCTATCTGAGGCCACTCTTTTTTTTAATAATCTAGGCTTCTGTAGACAATGTGGAAACATTTTTAAAATGATGACGCCCTCCTTTTCCTTCGTAGCTAAATTAGTACACAAAATTCTAAATATTTCCTTAGTTTTAATAATAATAAAGCAATATAAGATTCACCCTCTGTATTCAATTCTTTGTTACCAATTCTGCTACAATGAGAATTTTTGAAATTCTTAGTTATAACCTTTATTTTTGATAATTGCATTTAAAATGCAATGATAAAGCAAATAATTAAAATGCTAGGAATAAAATTGTCCTTTATTAGTTTATCATAAAGTTCCATAAATTTCAGCTCTCCTTGATTTCTCACTATTCTAGTTCATCAATTTTGTAATTAATCATTAAACATTATTCTTTCTCTATATTAAAAATATTAGCAATTAAAAAATCCCTATTTAATATTATATTCATTGTTTTAGTTTGATGCTTTTTTTTTTTAGTGATATGTACAGAAGACAAAAAAATGATGTGCAGCCTTTGTGTTCCATTTATTGTTGCGTAAAATAAAATTTCATCAATCTTGGATAAAAATTCTTAGGCCTATGATTATATTTGAAGGAAACACTAACTTCTGACATGATTATTTAGAACACACATTTTCTTAACTTGTCTTCCATTTTAGTGGAGCTATAAATAGCTTTGGCAAATTTTTCTGCTTTGCTGTTAATTTAACTCAGTAGATTTATTGAAATTTTAAGACACCACGTTACGCAAGATTTAGGGTATGTGACTACTCTTTCCTCCTGTGTGGAGGTCGACATTGCCACAGTCTAATATCATAGTTCCCCTAACTGGTCCCCTCCCAGAAGTGAGTTGCAAGTTCCTGCTGACTTTCAGAATTATTTCTCCATGTTTATGTCATTTTGATGCAAGAGAGGTCAATACACAGGTATGTCATCAAAATAATATTTAGACTATGTCATTCCCACAAAAAACAACTTATATGCCATGTTTTACTCACTACCAAAGTCTTGTTGAATACTACTTGTTTCATTCCTCTAGCCAGGAGACAACCTGGCAGGTATACTGCCTGAGCACCAAGAAGTTATCATATAATTTGCGTTTCACTGACCTCTCTTACCTTGTCAAATTACCCACAATAATTTTGGTAAAGTTGCATCTAACTTGGTATGGACTAAAAATACTTGCGTCGCCCCCAAAATTTGTATGTTAAAACCCTAATTCCACTGAGATGATATTTGGAAACAGGGCCTTTGGGAAATAATTAGGTCATGAGTCTCTCTCTCTCTTTCTCTCTCTCTCTCTCTCTCTCTCTGTCTGGTCTCTCTCTCTGTCTCTTTATGAGGACATGACAAGGAATGGAGGTTTTACCTGTAACCATTGACTGGCACCTTTATCTTGGACTCTCAGCCTCCAGAACTCCGAGAAGTAAATTTCTATTGTTTAAACCAGTCAGTGTATGTTGTTTTTGTTGTTGTTATAGCAGCTTGAATTAAGACACAATTTTCCTAAAACTTAAAAATGTCGGATTGGTGGATAAAATTGTATTTCATTGTGCTTTTTTCTTCAAGCCTTATACCTCTGACTCCAAACTCATAGTAACCAGTGTAAGACATGGTAGAATCTTTCCACTAGTGCTTGGGACACTATTTATAGTATCTACCCAATCTAATTTTAATGAAAAAGTTGAAGGTTGGTATAAAAAAATGTTTATCATCTAGGAGTTCCAGGCTCAATTCAACATACTTGTGATGGTCTCATGTAGTAGCAGTGACAGTCAACTACAAATGGTGCCTGAACAGGGACATTTCAGAGACTATCAGGGACATACAGAGACCTGAAAGGACCTGGAGGGACCTGAAGAGGTCTGCAGGGATAAACAGAGATAAGTAGAGGTAAGTAGAGAAAAGTAAGTAGAGATAAGTAAGTAGAGAAAAGTAGAGATAGGTAGGGAAAGACGGGGACTTGCAGGAACTTGCAGGAACTAACAGGTACCATAGGGACAGACAGAGACAGATAGGAATAGATAAAGACTAGCAATATAAGGTCAGTGCCCTGAAGAGGTACTGGTCTGTGTCCTAAAGAGGTACAAAAGTAGAGACTAGCAAAGACTAGGAGAGATTTGGAGGAACAGACAGGGACAGATAGGGACAGATAGGGTCCTATAGGACTAGAGCGAGGAAGGTCTGCTGGAACAGAAAAAAACTAAAACCAACTAGATGAACGAGAAAGCCCATTACAACTCTGTTGGCAGCGACATAAGGTTAGTGCTCTAAAAAGGTACTGGTCAGTGCCCTAGAGGTACAAAGAATGGGAAGTTTTTAAAACAGGGAAACGAGGAAGAATTTGGCTATTTCTTTTCTCTTTTTTGTTTGTTTGGAGTTTTGGTATGTACCATCTTTTTGTTATTTAGAATTTTTTGCCCCACCTACAGTGCCTATCGAAAATGGTGAACAGAAGAGGGAGAATGAAAATTGCCTTGTATCGTCTTCTTTGGTGGCTACAGAAAGGCTAACTTTAGCTTTGGCTTTCATGGATTGTAAACGTGCACTGGCACCTGTGAGATGTGCAGAGGACTTGGGAGGCTTTCTCAGAGCTTGTCAAGATGTGGGAACTGAGCTTCATTGCTCTGCAGTATTGACTCAGGCAATAGCAAATTTGGTGGCTGACAGATCTAAAAGAAGCCAAGGGTCAAGCCCTAAAGTGGGAAAGTGTCATAAGTGTAGAAAACTTGGACGTTTCAAAAGAGAATGCCGTCAGACCTCTGTGAACAAGAGATCTTGTAACATAGTCCCCCTCTTAACAGAAAAAAAATGCCGGACTTTGCCCTCGATGCAATAAAGGAAATCATTGGGCTAATCAACACCACTCAAAATTTCATCAAAACGGCACCCCCCTGTTGGGAAGCAAGAAGGGGGCCTGGACCCGGGCACCTCAAACTATGAGGGCGTTCCCTGTCCAGGCCACAACTCCGTTTCAGGGGTGGGTTTCCAGAGGCACATGGATTCCCTCTCCCCAGGAACACCTGGAAACGCAGGATTAGATCTCCCAGAGAACCAATTACATTAAATGAAAGAAACAAACTCACTAAGATTCACATTGGTATTTGGGGATCTTTGCCAACAAGATACAAGGGATTGATTTTGGTAAAAGCTGTCTTAACTTACAGGCCCAGGAGTTGTTGATTTTGATTGTGAAGGAGAAATTCAGGTAGTGGTAATGTCACAAGATCTTTGGGTTTTTGAACTGGGACAATACGTTGCTCAATTTTCGCTTCTTCCCTGTAAATTGTACCCTTCTCCACATAAGAAGAAGCGAGGTGGTCAGGGATTTGGAAGTGCAACTAGGAGAGAGATTTATCTATCACCACCCATAGCATCTAGTGGACCCACCTGTACAGTGCAAATTGAAGGTTTAAGGATTGCTTTTTGCTATACTGTTTTACGAGAAGGATAAGCCTCGATTTGCTTTCTCTGTGCCGTGTGTTAATCAGAAAGAGCCTGCTTCTTGTTCTCAGTGGAAAGTTTTACCCCACGGCAATTAACCAAAGAGGCAGAAGCTGAGTTACAAATGTTTCAGCAATGGCGTGCCTCCCGGCTACAGCAAAAAAAATAAAAAATAAATAAAAAAGAAAACACTTTTGATTCTGTTTGGTAGATTTACTAACGTGGGGACGAGGGTATACTTACATCTTTGCAGAAGATGAACAAACCGAGTGGGTGCTCCCAAGGTGTGTACGACCGTTGAACAGGAGACTGGAGGGACCCATGGATCCCAACCATGGACCTTGTTCCCCCAGTATGAACCATGAACCAGTTGAATCTGAATGCAAAGATGGAATGAGGACCACTAGAAGCAGGGAGCTCTCTTCTTCCCCATGCTAGCCTTTCCTTAAAACAGTTTCTTTTGTTTTTTGTTACCATTTCTATGTTCGTCTCTTCATTCAGTCTAGTAATGACGGTCTCAAGTAGTAACCGTGGCAGTCAGCCACACTTAAATCTTAATGCTTTTGAATTCTAGAAGGAACTCAAAAAGAGACAAACAAGTCAGTCATAGTAGTAATACATGGAGAATGAATTGTGAAATCTAAGAGACTGAATATCATGTCAAGCATAAGCTTTTTCAAAGCAATTAAACTGGGCTTTTAATGACATTACTTAGACTTTCCAGACAAAATGTGTAACAATACAGCTAATTTTAATAAAATGACTTTGAAATCCCCAAACTCAAATATAATCTCATGAAGTAATTGTTTGTGATAACACCTTAATATGTTTTATACCATCATTATGAAAAACAGTGCAAGAGAAAGGAGAAAAAATTCTTTATTGTGAGTTAAAAACTTTGAAACCTAAGTCAATCATTTTTATTGTTTCAAGAAATATTTCCCCACGGCTACTTTAGTAGCAAAATCAAAGTCAGGAGAGCCCAGGCTTCTGTAAACAAAGTTTAATTGTATCCCCTCCCCCTTTCTTCTCTGTCTCATAATTTTCTCAGTACTTTTTAAGGAGCGAGAGGCATCCCCATGAATGACACTGTTATAGGTTCTAAGGCAGAGGATGTGATGATGATGATCTTTGGGAAACGGTGAGGTGAATGTTGTCCACGAAGCTGCTTTCTAGTAGGGTGTCTGTGGGAAACTATACCCTTTCTGTGGGGTCTTCTGAATGTAGCTAATACTATTTTTGTTTGGGCTGGAAGTTTTTTATTATTATTGTTTTTACACTTTAAGTTCTAGAGTACATGTGCATAACGTGCAGGTTTGTTACATATGTATATATGTGCCGTGTTGGTTTGCTGCACCCATTAACTCATCATTTACATTAGGTATTTCCTCTAATGCTATCCCTCCCCCATCCCTCCACCCTACGACAGGCCCCTGTGTGTGATGTTCCCCGCCCTGTGTCCAAGTGTTCTCATTGTTCAATTCCCACCTGTGAGTGAGAACATGCGGTGTTTGGTTTTCTGTCCTTGTGATATTTTGCTGAGAATGCTGGTTTCCAGCTTCATCCAAGTCACTACAAAGGACATGAGCTCATCCTTTTTTATGGCTGCATAGTATTCCGTGGTATATATGTGCCAGATTTTCTTAATCCAGGCTATCCTTGACGGACATTTGGGTTGGTTCCAAGTCTTTGCTATTGTGAATAGTGCCTCAATAAACATATATGTGCATGTGTCTTTATAGTAGCATGATTTATAATCCTTTGGGTATATACCCAGTAATGGGATGGCTGGGTCAAATGGTATTTCTAGTTCTAGATCCTTGAGGAATCGTCACACTGTCTTCCACAATGTTTGAACTAGTTTACACTCCCACCAACAGTGTAAAAGTGTTCCTATTTCTCCACATCCTCTCCAGCACCTGTTGTTTCCTGACTTTTTAATGATCGCCATTCTAACTGGTGTGAGATGCTATCTCATTGTAGTTTTGATTTGCATTTCTCTGATGACCAGAGATGATGAGCCCTGTTAAGTTCTATCCTCTCCATATGTCCATGGGGCTGTTGGAAATATTCTTTTTCTGGGCTTCATGCTGTGCCCAGAGCATTTCCTTTTTCCTTCTCCTTTTTAAGGCAAGGATGCATCTGTTTTCATAAGGTTTGTGATAAAACAACACTCAAGTTTTGCAAGTTACATGATTGTCATCATCATCGCACTAATTTTTTGTGAAATATGCATTTTAATTACTTCCAAGAGGGTTTATTTCTAATGAAAAAAATTAAACAATAAATAATTTTAGACTTACCCCATGCAAGAAATGACAAATTCACTGAAGCAAACATGTTTAGGCTACACTGTATGCAATCTACAAATTGCCTGCTCAGTCTCAGTTTCTTGCATATATTTCTCATACATCTAAATGTTAATTTCCACACTTCTGTCTCTCTGAATCCCTGGCAAATGGCAATGGCTAGTGACTTTGCATTCACCTATCAGAAAAACATGAATCCGGACACACTTCCGGGAGCGTGGGACGTGGTAGGAATTTACTGGATAATAGGAACTGATATGTTATTTTGAGAGTGCTAAAATTCTCCCAGTGAATGTAACTTTGCCTATATTTTATATAACTTATTGGTTTTGGTTTGATAATTAAAAATATCAAAATTATCCTGGGGCAGGAGCCAAGGATGGTATTATACAGTGAGAAGTGAGTCCCACATGTCAGTCTTGTCATTTTCTTCCTCAGATAAAGTGCAGAATTTTGTCATCAGTAATATGAAAGAGAGATTTTACAGAAAAATTGCCAATTTTTGTCCATGAAGATGAGGGCAATATGCTAAGTATCAACGGACTAAAAGATGGCATATATTTTTTAGTGGGACATCCATGCAAGACTGCATTTCTTACCTGTTGACTATTACAGTAAATAGAAAATAATTATTTTAATTAAGCGACTACAATTTAGGGCATTTGTTGTAGAGATTTACAAATGTTTCACATTGCTTGACTTCAGGGGGCGCCATTTTTACATCATCCATTTCTAATAGCATGGCCAAGAGTATACTCCAAGTAACAAATGAGGTATAGCATATGAGACAAAGTAGAAACACTTAAAGGGTTAAAGAAATTTTCACCCGTATCTCTATGATGCAAAGTAAAGCAAAAGACAAAGAAACAAGCAAAAAAGAACAAGTGGTCGCCAAGCTGGACTGCAGTGATAAAACCATGGCTCACTGCAAACTCCGCTTTCTGAGCTCAGGCAATCCTCCCACCTCAGCCTCATGAGTAGCTGGGACCACAGGTGCCCACCACCACTCCTGGCTAATTTTTGGGTTTTTAGTAGAGACAGATTTTTGCCACATTGGCCGGGTGGGTCCCAAACTCCTGAGCTCAAGCAATCCACCCACTTCGGCCTCCCAAAGTGTTGAGATTACAGGCATAAGCCACCACACCCGGCCGCTGCATTTTTTTTTAATGGGAAATAACAAGCATATTCATTACATATAAAATGATATATTTAGAAATTTTGTAGGCTTTATAAATTCTGTTGGATAATGGAAAATTTTTTATTGTATTTTTTGTGTATGAGAACATAATGTTATAAAGTAAAATGTACATAGAGGGAAATGGGATTGTGAGGATAGTAACCATAGGTGAGGAGATGGATGAAAGAAAGGTCTTACACTGCTGTAAGGAGCTGTTACTATATCTTCTTCATATTTTTATAAAACATATCTTATTAGAAGACTTAAGTTACTTATTTTTTTCTTGTATGTATATATTCACCTCCATTTTGAAGGCTATTAGTCTGGGAAACCTACAAGAACATTGCCGTAGGGAAGCTCAAGTATGTTAACAACAACAAAAATAGTTCTGTGAATGCCTTTACATAATATAAGGTCTACATATTCTCTCTAGATCTGTGCGCCGTAAGACTGGATTTTGAAAAGCTGAGGCATAGACTGATAGCTCTTTACCACACTTGTTTTTTCTTCTTTCTGGATACATAGCTTGGCTATATTTCCATGCAACTGTGTCCCGGTTAATGTGTACCACTTTTAGAGGGTGGTACATATAAATGTTTCTTCCAGTTCTTTCAACATGTGTCATTTGAAAAAGGAGAACTCTGAAGCCCTCTAGGAAGTTGGAGCTACAATACTGGAGGCCAGTTTCCTGAATTACTCCCTGGTAAAAGCCACCCAGACAAGAAATGCCTTTATTTGAATGTTATTAATGAGAAACACATTTTAAACTTTCAGCCACTTTAACTTTGAGGATTGTTTGTTAAAACAGCTGGTGTTACCCAAACTGTTATAGGAGTCTACTAAATATCATTTCATTTTTTTCCCTTCTCAAACTCAGAATGAATTGGGAGATAGCCGTGGGCATTAAAACTGTTTCAAGAAGTGCAACTTAGCGTTCAGGGCTGACCTCATGAGCTTCCAGAGACATCAGAGTAAGTGACCCTTTTTCTAGTTTCGAAGCTCTGTTCTAGTTCTAAGCATGCAAATAAATTTTAAGCAGGATTTCTTAGCCTGCAGGAGCTGAGGATGATTAATAAGTCCTGCTGTTATGCATAAATGCACTGACCTATACTGTGCCCTTCAGTCAAATTGTATATTGTTTAATCGTGATAAATGAAGTGCACCAGGCACAGATAAGCTAGTCCCTGGAGTATGTCCAGATACACCTGAAAGAAGAATGACTCAAGCTGGGTGTGTAAAGCTACACTTTGGAGGATAGAGCTTCCCACAGGTGCAATGGAACTCTCACTTCTCACTTGCTCAGAAATTATGATCTGCAGTGTGAGTCTCCCCTGGTAAGGAAACGTGTCCAGCTCCTTGAAACATGTTCTAGAGAACAGCATTCATTACCCTCCCATGAACTTAAACATGCTTCTTGGCTCCTGTGCATTTTAGGTAAGTAAGCTTTGATTTCCCCAGGTGGTGTCGGTGTCTAGTCTTTTCATAAACTTGCACTTACTATTAACATGGAGAGGACATCCACAGGCCGAGATACATTGCCATGTCTTGCATTAAAAGCAAATGAACCTGAAGTTTTTTTGTAAACAACTTACGAAGTTTCATTTGATTTGATTTGATTTTTAATAATTCCCTGAATTGCTGTGATAATTAGAGTAGTGAATTCATTTCTGGTATGTTTTAAAAGTAATTCAAGGAAAATAATTTTGCAGAATCCTGATTTAGATAATATGAAGAGTGAATAGGAAAATGATGAAATTGTTGCTGCTTTTTACAGAGGCTTAGAATCATGGAAATCATTTGCTTTCAGGTATAAAAGGGAATAATTTCATTTTCTACTTTTTACTTTAAATTTCTGTTATCTATGTCTACATGCTTCTGTCCATTTCTTCATAGTTTGTTTTTTAAATAATATGCTTCTACCATTCTCTGAAAGCTATTTTAATTTTTCAGCTTGAATATAAATTGGTTGATACTGGCTGCAAATTATTTTTGGTATTCTAATTTGTCTATTTTTCTTTTTCTTGAAATGGAATAAATAAGCTTCACACACACACACACACACACACACACACACACACACACACAAAAACCCTAAACAAACAAAAAAAATCACACAGCACCAGCAAACTACTAGGATTTACTGTAGGATAAAAGCTCTACATGGCCCTGCATACAAACTTTCTGCATACTTCTGCAAATTTTTATGCATTACTCAATCCATTAAAAATCACCTTGGAAGAAACTGCAAACACAATAGAAACTAAATGAGATAGTCACAGAGAACAACAAAAATAGTAATTTAAGCTCCCATACAACATCAAGTGTGTTCAGTCTATTTTTGGTTCTTCGGGTTCTCTTTAAAATTGAATTGAGTTTGTATATGCATATGTATGTAGGAGTGGAGGATGGAATTAATTATCCCAAACATCCTACACTCACTCCTCTAATATTTCTTTTGTTAACATGCAAATCTGTTCTCTTCATTACGGTGATACTGCATTTACATTACAACACAATTAGAGATCATTAACTTTCTCCTTTATAATCAGCCATTTTCACAGGCCTTTGATATACAAGCACCTATAATATATTCTTACTCATCTCACACTTTCATTTACCAAAGTGTCAAAACAACATTTTTACATCATTGATATTTGTTTTAGTTTCTGCAAGCTGGCTGTTAGAAGATGATTACTTCTCTTAAATTACCTCTTACCCTCATCTTGCTATCTTTTTAAAAGGAAAGAAAAAGCACTATAAAAATCAGACACTTTGGGTTCTGAACCTTTTATTTTGTGTGAAAAGATACTTATTTATGTATGCTAAATCACACTGATGCGGAAGACAAACTGGCTCTTCGTTATTTTTTTTTTTGGCACTTTATAGAGGAAATGTGTGGAGAACAGATCTTTCCTAAGGTATTATATTCATGTGCCTTAAAGATTAAGAATACTCAATGCGCCAAGAAGTGCTATATACCAGAAAAGTTTGTATCAATTAATGTATCTAAATTAAGTTAAAGTTTCTTTCAATTTAATGTGCTTGCAGATGTAAAATTGCATGTTTAAGTTTTGCAGTTATGTACTAAATCTGGTGCTACACTTCTAATGTCTAAAGGTTTTATTCAATTTCAATTTATTTGTTTTATAGTTTGCCAGAATGTGCTTATGAAAGGCACTCTCAGTCATAAAAATAAATTATAAGCAGACTGGCACGTAACTATTTTTTTAAATAATAAACTTTCTGATTTTAGAGACTTGTATTCTTTTATAGGTCCTGGTTCTCTTTCACTCTCTGACCTATAAGAACCCATACAGCGTGCATTGCTGTGTATGGAAAAGCAGTAAAGGGAAGTACAGCCACCTTTTAGGTCCCATGAATAGCAAAATCTCTTTGACTAATCTCTTGTTTCAGGGTACGTCCACTCCTTGTTTAAAGAATGTAACTGGCTGGGCTTGGTGGCTCACTCCTGTAATCCCAGCACTTTGGGAAGCCAAGGTGGGCAGATTACAAGGTCAGGAGTTTAAGACCAGCCTGGCCAATATGGTGAAACCCCATCTCTACTAAAAATACAAAAATTAGTTGGCCGTGATGGTGGGTGCCTGTAGTCTCAGCTACTCAGGAGGCTGACTCAGGAGAATTGCTTGAACCCAGGAGGCAGAGGTTGCAGTGAGCCAAGATTGTGCCACTGCACTCCAGCCTAGGGGACAGAGTGAGACTCCATCTCAAAAAAAAAAAAAAAAAGAATGTAACCACACTCAATAGTCACTAGCACATTGTTCTGAATAGACTATATACTGAAAGATATCTGCTGGATATAGAATGACCTCAGGAAAAAGTCTAGACACTATAATCCATCTCACTTGCCAGCATTTAGCGACCTTTCAGCTTCATTACTGACTTTCACCCAGTGTCCCTCAGGTGAGTGACTTGAGTCCTCTTTCATAATATTTGGCAGGAGAAAAGATGAGGTCATTGCTCCATCAATCCCGTCATGTCATGTCTGCTCATGTGTCATAGCTTATAAATAGTCACATGGTTCTGTCCAAGTGCAAGGGGGGCATTGCAGGTAGAGGTCCGTCTCCATGTGCCTTGAAAAGAAAATAACCAAATATCAGGGGAAAACAATAATATGAGCCATAGTGCCTGATATATACTATGACATCATAGAGATTTAATGAGTATTAATCAGGATTCAATGGCTGCAGGAGACAAACAGTTTCACAAACGAGGGCAATTAACTGGCTCATAGGCAATATCTCAAGAAAGGTGGGGTATTGTTATACTTCATGTGTTGCAGAAACATAGATGCTCCAATTTTACATGTTCTTTCTGTGTATGTAACATTCTTTGCCTTCTGGGTCTCAGCTTTATCTCTCAGGTTAACGTCTGTCACAGCTGTAGAGATAGTCACTGTCAATTCCTAGTTTCACAGTCTCCCATTTTCCAACGGAGTCTTACTCTTTCTTTGTTTCCAGTTCAAATGTATTATTGAAGAATCCTGGTTCTTAATTTAGCTTCGGGACCTATTGAATCAGTCTGTGGAAGCTGGAATAATATGATTAGGGCAGCAGAAATGAAGAATGCTTCTTTAGACCAATCACTATGTCCATGAGGCAGACTAAGGACTACATGACCCTAATAAATTCTAATTTCTAGAGCTTCTTATCTGGATCCTGAAGCAGTTTCGGCCTTTATACTATGAGAGACTGAATACACTAACAGACAATGGTGGTTCCACACACAGAAAATCAACTCTGACCTCTGCAGCAACCAGTCTGCAGCGATTGGTCCAAATGCTTAGGAATTGGTGGGTAACTTCCAGCTTCCCTAAGTGTTTCCCTCCAGCTTCCAATTTAGAACCAACCAGAGAATGCTAATTATGCAGCTTCACCCATCAAATAGGATGTTTTGCTTCTAGTTATCCAACCTTTAGATTCCCCATGACAATAATTTCCAACCAGGGCATTCCTGCAGCCTTCTGGTTTTCCCACGATAAAGCTTTCTCACTGCCTGCCTGCCTTTGATTCGTTGCCATATTGCAAGTGATGGTGGCCAACTCCCTGGCTACAGCAAGCTCTGACTGAATAACCTGTATTTCTTTTCATTTGAGCAGTCTTAGCTTATTTTTATAACTATTGAGGAAACGTTGTAGCAACCCTTACACTAAATGAACTTAATTATGCCAAACCTTTACTTACTACTTAAACAAATACTCTTCCAGACAATGTTACCAAACAGTGTCCCCTTTGTTGTGAAATCTTGTAGATACTGTTTAATTAGTAGAATCCTCTTACTTTCTTTTCCCTGTCAGTTTTACAGTATCCAACTGGTCCCGTGTATGATAGAAAACATTTCTATAAGGTAACACAGTATATTTCAACCCACACTATTACTATTGATGAGATTACTTTGCTATTCACATCTCATAACATTAGCAAAAATGCACAAATCTTAAACTGCCTTCTTTTTCCCCTCCAGGATGAAGGACAACCACATATTTAGCTGACAGTGATTCAAACTCTCATCTTGTCCAAAACTGACTTAAATGGCATAACTTTAATTAACTCTGATCTTACATTATCTGTTGACAGTTTTCACCTAGAATAGAGAAAATTAACCTTGTTTTGGATATTCTCTTATCTCTGAAGACTCCATCTGCCTGGGTTGCTGAATCAATTTTTGTAACTGGAACTCACAATCCAGCCTGAGGCAAAAAGTGAAGAGTATATGAGAGAGAGAACATTTATGTAGATAGTAGACAAGCACTAGAAATTGTGCATGATTTTGGAATGAAGGGCTCTTAGGTTCATTTTCGACTCTTAGCTGCAAGTATAGAAATTAAAAAGAAAATTAATGTTTTATCTGACTCCTTAAGAAATTATAAGTTAATTTAAACATATCTACTCCAGTGAAATAGAAATGAAATCTAAAGTTAATTCTCAGGCATATTGCTTTGCAAGAAATGCTCCTCTTCATAGAAAGCTGCCCAAGTAAACAAAATACTCCCTTACTGTAAACATTTATTCCTCTTTATGAAAAGTTACTTGTAAAAGAATTTTAACTAGGTATTGAGATTTATTTGACAGTTCAATGATAGCCACTCGGTGGCTCCTAAATCCGTACAAATAACATTAGCAATCACACTGTGTGGATCTACCTAAAATACTAAAGGTAACTCAGAATCAGTGTTACTAAGATATCGTGGATGAGTTTGTCTAGAGAAGAGCAAGCATGCCTTATCTGGAAATTCTGTAACCACCACAATGCTGATTAATCTGTAAAAGTGGGTCAAAACTTTCAACCACTATCACAGGCACTTTAACCCCCTATAAATGGACATTGTACAAATACCTTAGTCCCAAGGAAACCAATATGTCCTGGAGATTGTTTGTGAATGTCCCTAGTGGAGCAAAGCCTAAGTATAAGAATCTTTTTGGTGTGTTTTCCCCACCTGGGATCTCCTGTCAACCCTGTCAGCTGAAGGAAGGGCTCATTTTACAAGGAAGTGTTTTTGACGATTTTGCATGGTTGTCTTTATCTCTAAAGCATAATTACACTTATAATCTGAAAAGTATATAAAAGATAGAGATATTAAGTTGTTTGTTAAAAATAAGTAATCTGAATGTTCAGAATGACTTCATCTCCCTTGTTCTATAGTGCTTCTTTCAGTGTTACTAGCCATGTGATCCTCAGCTTTAAATCTTACAGGCTTTTTCTTGTGAAGTGGTAACTGTAAGAACCATGAACTTGGATCTAGTTACTACATTCGCCAATTCTTCATTTTGTGGTAGTTGTTGTTATTTTTCTTTATGAGACAGGGTCCTGCTCTGTTGCCCAGGCTGATGTACAGTGGCATGATCACGGCTCATTGCAGCCTTGAACTCCTGGGCTCAAGCAATCCTCCAACCTCAGCCTTCTGAGTAGCTGGAACTACAGGCATGCACCACCATACCTCACCATTTTCTTTTTTTGTATATATACATTTTTTTTTCGGTAGAGAATCAGTTCTTCATTATTAAGTTTATAAAATACCAGCCAGAGGCCAGGCGCAGTGGCTCACGCCTATAATCACAGCATTTTGGGAGGCTGAGGCAGATGGATCACTTGAGGCCAGGAGTTCAAGACCAACCTAGACAACATGGTAAAATCCTGTCTCTACTAAAAATACAAAAAAATTACAAAAAATTAGCCAGGCATGGTAGTGCCTGCCTGTAGTCCCAGCTACTTGGGTGGCTGGGGCATGAGAATTGCCTGAACCCAGAAGTCAGAGGTTGCAGTGAGCCGAGATCATGTCACTGCACTCCAGCCTGGATGACAGAGAGAGAAGCTCTCAAAAAAATAAAAATAAAAATACAGCCAGAGATCGATTTAACTGTTAACTATTATTTGATGTAATTAGCTACATACCTATCATATAATTAAAATTCAGTATTGAGATGGTTGTCATAGGGACACTTCAAACCAGATTAAGTTTATTTTAAAAGTGAATTGAGAGATTTTACTTTATAAAAAAAAAACCAATTTGGTTAGTTTGCCATTTAGGCTTCTAATTTTGATCTGAGGCCTGCTAACCCTGGAGATTACACAAAGACTTTGTGAGGCGTACTGCGGCCAGGCAAAGACTTTTAAAGAACAGGTTTCCAGGTGTCACATTCGAATACTTCTTTCATCATTCTTGCTGTCCCTCTTTCATTTCTTCTTTTTCAAAAGAATTCTTCTCCCACAATGTTTCTTTTTTTAAAAGAGAAAAATATATCTCCACTTTTTTTAACTTTACCTTGGTGCTTTGTCCCCAGGTGTTGAAATTTCCAGGATGCAAAACGAAGGGGCAATTCAAAACATTCATCTCCACTTCTCAAAAGTAAGTCACCTTGATGACTGGGTAACAAAATCTTGCTAATCATTTGTGTTTTTTGTTTTGTTTTGTTTTGTTTTAGATTTTTAATTACTTTTAAAAATTTGAAGAAATACCTAGTTGAATTGTCAATGGACATCTGCAATTTTTGTTGTCATTCTTCAAAGGAGTTCAAAGAATCAAATGTCATTGTTATAACAAAGCCCTTCCAATCCTATCCACTTATTTCTGAGAACAAGATTTCTCAGTTCTTAGATCTTATAAAAATAATGATATAGGAATAAGAATGATGTGGAACCTGCCACCTTCTAGCAATAAAAAAGGTTCATTTATAAAAACATGAATTTATAGGCAAAACATTAGGAGGTAAATTTCAAAAAACGCTTTTGCAAATAATTAAATTTTAAAATCTGTCACATGTTTATGTTTTAATTCAACTTTTAATAAAATTTGAATGTATGGAGGCATTTTTTATTTTTTCCTCCTTATCACTCTGGGCCATAAAGCTCCACTTCTTTCAGAACATGTGCATGAGATATTTATACAGCTCTTCAGGTAAGGTTACTAATATGCAGCCCTGTGATGCCACCAGTTATAATTCTATTACTGCATTACTACTCTTTCAATTAAAAAGAAATAGTAGAAAAAACAAAGCAAACAAACAAACAAAAGGCAAAATAATTGCATTTCAGAGGATGTCTGTTCCCGTGTAAGGTGCGCCTGTCCTTGCTTCAAGGGGAGTGGGTTACTTTTTTTTAAGTTTTTATATTTTCAAGATTTGGGGTTTGATACAACCATTTTTTTTTTAACTTTAAATTCTGGGATACATGTGCTAAACGTGCAATTGTGTCACATAGGTATACATGTACCATGGTGGTTTGCTGTACCTATCAACCTGTCATCTAGGTTTTAAGCCCCACATGCATTAGGTATTTGTCCTAATGCTCTCCCTCCCCTTGCCCCCCACCCCCCGACAGGCCTTGGTGTGTGATGTTCCCCTCCCTGTGTCCATTTGTTCTCATTGTTCAGCTCCCACTTATGAGTGAGAACATGTGCTGTTTGGTTTTCTGTTCCTGTGTTAGTTTGTTGAGAATGATGGTTTCCAGCTTCATTCATGTCCCTGCAAAAGACATGAATTCTTTCTTTTTTATGGCTGCATAGTATTCCATGGTATATATGTGTCACATTTTCTTTATCCAGTCTATCAATTGATGGGCATTTGGACAACCATATTTTTTGTTGAGTTTTGTTTCTTTAGTGGCTTAGCCATCTCTGCTGGTTTTAGTTAGTTCCAGCTGAGTCAATGGCTCATCTTAGACTGCATTTCTACCACCAACCTCTGCAAGGAAATACTCCATAGGACTTCTGGCCTAGACCTGAGGTTGCCATGGATTCATATTGAGCAAGTGAGTTCCATGTACACATCCCAGTCTTTCCTCAAGTAGCCTGCACGCCCTGTCTCCACCCTCAGTTTAAGAACACCAATGAGGTTTTTGAGATGTTCTTCTTACTTTCTGCCAAAGCAAGATATCTGATAGAAGGAGAAACCCTGTATTGACTCCCTGGCTTTTTGTTTATTCCAAAATTATGCTCTGTCTGGCTGACACATTGTGAAATTTAAGGGGAAAATTAGACCTTTTCCTCATTTCACTTTCATTGTTTTTTTTTTTTTAAATCTATTGTGTATTTCATTCATTTTGGGGGGGGAACAAATTCTACAAACTGCTTTAATATTGTCCTTTTTTTCTAATATTCACATTAACTTTTTATGTAAAACATACCAATGCTTTTAATAAAGCTTACATAGGAATAAACTATTATAGACCTGCATAGATATAAGTACCCATGTATTAATCTACATTAAAATAATGGATTTTATTCTGCGAAGACTCCAAGTTGCTCCTGGGTGCTAAGTGAAGCACTTAGGGAAATGTGTTCAGTCTTTGAGGTCATAGGAACATTAGATTATATCAAAGGAAACCTGGAGCCATCAGCTAAGTGGCCCTTCTGTCCTGTAGATACATAAAAACTAATGTGCTCCGCTATGCGGCTCACTTTCTGCTATTAGATACTATGAGGCACTAAGAAAAAACTACTGCCTGCATCATATCTTTCTTCGGTTTGAGATAAAGAGAATGGCCAGAACTGTATACAAGTCATGAAAGGCCCTGGTGTACATTTTTCAAAGTAGTGCAGATTGTGTTGAAATTATCAGTTTATCTTGCATATAAAAAAAACATATATACACTTTGAGTAAAATATAAAAAGTGGTAAATATCAGGAAAAGTTTGTTTTACTGTAACCATTTCTTGTTCTATTCTATTTGAGTATTTGCTCTATATATTTGATATACTTCCAGAATGCATCCTATTCA
Organism: Homo sapiens; assembly: GCF_000001405.40. Classification (NCBI taxonomy): domain Eukaryota; kingdom Metazoa; phylum Chordata; class Mammalia; order Primates; family Hominidae; genus Homo; species Homo sapiens. The sequence continues at coordinate 890,044 of NT_187651.1, forward strand.
CAAAGCAGGCAATTACTCTATCAGTGAATACAGTTGCAGAGTCTCTCCTCTATTCAGCTTCATTTGTACCTCCACTCCAGCCACTTGCAGAAATGGCGGATGCATCAAAAAGACTGGTTACAGGCCTTGCACCCTCCAAGCGGCTAATTACCAAGATGTTAAGTAAATGACCATTGCTCTTTATCATCCCCAATGGCGTATAAAAAGGATGTTAAACAGGTTGTCTCATGTTCCCTATACATTTATTCATTCCCGTGTTAAAATACGTCTTATGGGAAAAACAAAATTCACCAAAGAATGAGGAAGCGAACATGTGTTAACAGAGGGACTTCTGGCTAATTTTACAAAGAAGGATAAAAATTCTCAAAATATGTGTGGGGTGGATTGCGGGGGTATTACATATTCATAGCATGCCGCAGAAATCATTTTAAGTCTATCAAAAACAACTATATTGTGCATTTTCAAATAAGCACATATAAAAGATGAGCTATAAGAAGAGAGAAGGATGCTAAAATAAATAAGTAAAAGAGAAAAATGGCTGGGCACGGTGGCTCAAGCCTGTAATCCCAGCACTTTTGGGGGCCGAGAGGTCAGGAGTTCAAGACCAGCCTGGCCAACATGGTGAAACCTGGTCTCTACAAAAATACAAAAATTAGCTGGGCATGTTGGCTCATGCCTGTAATCCCAGCTACTCGGGAGGCTGAGGCAGGAGAATCCCTTGAACCTGGGAGGCGGAGGTTGCAGTGTGCCAAGACCGCATCGTTGCACTCCAGCCTGGACAACAAGAGTGGAACTCTGTCTCGAAAAAAAAAAAAAATAAAAATAAAAGAGAAAAGTAGGTGAAAAGAAGTAATTAAATGGTAAGGAAAGAATAGGTCAGGACAGGAATCCAGGATGACTTTACTATATTTGAACCATAGAACATTAACCAAAATCTTATTTTTCTTCCCCTCAGTAGTTTGAAGTTGAGCAATATCTGTGTCTTTTGCATCACACTCTGAAATTGCAAATTATTTCTTGTCCTTTCAGATAAATGATTATGCAAAAGAAGCCCAGAACTGGCACAATTTAGAAGGTTTGAGGTTGCTCTCATGTGTTTGTAGGGTATGCTATCATCATCCCATAGCCTAAGGCTGTAGTATTGGACTCTCTGGAAGCAGCTCTGAATGTGATAGGATGGAGATAATTGAAGATACAAGCAGCCATTATGTGTCTGAATATTGGTTTACTAGAAGAGCTAGATGTGTAGGAGCACATCCTTACTTGACAAATGTCTGACAGAATGACCTGGCACCATTACTGTTTTAAATGTGTAATATGCTATCTCAACTGGGACATTTTATGAAAGCTATAGGTTGTGACCTACTGTTCATTACACTTAGTTTCTGAGGTGCCAAAGACTGATGTGTGAGCCAAAGTTCATTATTGTTCTTCACTGGATCTTTGCATTTATTAGTCTGATGTTAATGGGATTCACTCTTGAGTTGGATTGATGTTCAAGGTTAGAGCCACAGATGAGCTCCTGATCTTGACCAGAAATGATTTGCCCATTGCCAATTAGAAGAAGAAAAGGGCAAGGTGGAGGTTGAACTTGGAGTTAATAGGAATAATAGATGCTGAGGGTACAAGATGAAACTCAGTAAGATAATACACTCTATTCTTAGACTGGCAAATTTACATAGTAAAGAGAACTTTTATCATTGTCATCCAAAGAAAATATAATCCTAAGAGAAAAAGTCCAGCTAGTTTTTTTTTTCTTTTTTGTTACCTGCTCATAGGATATAAACTTATTTCTATCACACACAGGTATCATTTTCTTCTATTTCACACAAATGTGTGAAATAAAACACATAGAAGAAGAAATAAAACACTTCTTCTATTTCACACAAATGACAAAAAATGTCCTTCAATTATTTTGACACACGATCTCTCAAGATACATATCCTTTTATATCAACTATAAATACAAATTTAAAATTTTGATAAAAGAGAAATAACTGGAATAAAACAAAGCAGTATTTTTTAAAACTATAGCTGTTCCCCTAAGATATTCTCACACTAAAGAATTTTTCCCAATTCTTCTCCCCCACTGAGAAGTACAGTCTTCAAAAATTAGTCCAGGTATTAGTGTTTACCAAGGAGGAATATTTTGAACAAGAATAATCTGATGCTACTTTTCATTTGTCAAGTACATTTTCTAAATTATATTCTAATAAGAGAGAATATGCACATTTGCATGTCATGATTCTTATAAATATTTACTGAGTACTGTCTCTCTGTAAAGAACTACAGTGGGATGGATTTAAGATATATAATACATAATTTTTCATCTTCAAATTGTTCACGTTTTGTAGAGATAGTAACTTGTGCATAAATGACTAGAATGTTAAGTTGCTAAGTGACAAGTGACAAAAATGTTTAACCTGTAAAATCTTCCCCTTGGGAAATTGAGGAATAAAAACTTCCAACTAAAGGAACAAAGATTGTCATGAGCAAAGTTGTATAAAAAATAAATTAAATGTAGGATAATAAAGGTAGTGTATTAAAGTGAGAAGGGTTAGGGTTTCTTAGGTGACAGACTGGCTTGATTTTGTGACTTGTGTGATGGAAGCAAGTTATGTAACACCTCTGAGTTTCCATATCTTCATCTGTGAAGTAGACATAGCTGAACCAACCACATGGAATTGTTGCGAGGGTGAAATGCAATGGTGTGTGCAAGTTTCTAGGCAGTGTTGGACTGGATCTACTATTACGCTATACAAATGATACTTAGAATTTTTACAGTTATGCTTAATATTGTCATAATTCCAGGAAATGAGAAAAATCTCAGCAGAGGTACAAAACGGGCAAGCTCTGGGCAAAATGATCTTAGTGGGTTTATTTCAAAGGATGCTTGAAAGTAATCTGTGGAAAACAAAATTGACAAAAAGTGCATGTTGAAATGGAAATTAACGGGTCTTTGAATGTTAAGAGAAAGATAGCGGGCATGCTCTTTCATCTGTCTATCCCTGGCCCTTAGCATGCCTGGTGCTTTTCAGTGCTCCAGCTTTACGTGTTTAATCGTTTTTGTTTCATTCGAAATAAGTGTTCTCATAGATATAGAAAACCAGCAGGCAATAAAATATATATTCTGAGCTGTGATTTAGTGGTATTATTACTTAGCAACAGTGTGTAGGATGAATTACAGAAAGCAAAAGTAGGGCATAATTATAATCACTAAGACTAATTATCAATATAAACTTTTGCCAGAACAATTGTAAATATATGGAGAGGTGATGCACATGAAAAACACATTAAAATACCCTAGGATTTTGCCAAAATAAGCTGTGTAATAAAACAAAGGGAGAAGAAATTGAAGAATATGATGAAGTTTAAATTGAGGTTCAAGGTGTTTTGCATGAAGAAAGATGAGAAATTTAAATTTGAGATATGATGAGTTTATGGTAGGAAATTGAGATACCATATTTTGCCAGTTGGACTAGACCTCACAAAAAGACTCAAAATAAGTATGCAGAACGCATTAGTTTAGATATATTTGAAGAGACCATGGGAAAAAAGGAAAAAGGGAGGAGTTTAAAGAGTCAAACAAAAAGATGATGGAAAGGCAGTGGGAGACATAAAAGGGAACCAGAAATCTTAAGAGGAGAAAGTGTTCTGAAGAAACACACAAAGTCAATTACTTAAAAAGTTGAGAATCACTGGCAGTGCTGGATGATCGTGACTTTTTTCTCTATTTCAGTAAGCGGGCGATGGACATTAGAATGCAAGAGATGGATGAGGTATGGAAGTAGAAGGAATAAATGTCAACTATTATTTTAAAACATTTGCACAGAAGAAGCAAAGTAGGATAAGAGCTTAAAAATAAAGGTTCTGTTTATTTTCATTTTGTAGTCGTAGGGAAAATGTGAGCATGTTAAAAGAAAAGCTGAGTGTAAAAAGGGAATGAGAGGACAAATTGAAATAGACATGGGTTCAAATCCCAGATCCCACTGGACATCTCTGAGGCTTACTAGACATCATCTGTAAATATAAGATAAACACCTAATATAAAATGTGTTCAGCTATAAGAAGTTTGAGTTAGTGTATATGATTTTTAGAAAATCAATTTATCATATACAATAAAACATATATTAAATTAGACAGTTTGATGCATATTGACAATTGTATATCCCCTGCACATTTCCATCATATATGAAAACTTCTCACATGCCCTCACCATCTCAATCCCTGATCACAGGCAACCACTGATGGAGGTTCTGTCATTATGTACAGGATATATCTTTTCTAAATTTTGTATAAGTGACATCATACATGTGCATTATTTTGTTTCTGTCTTCTTTATCTCAGCATCTTGTTTTTTGAAATTTGTTCTTATTGAGTACATCAGTGGTCAGCTCCTTATTATTGCTTAGTGTATTTCATTTTAGGAATAATGTTCATTGAATTTATCCATTTTATCCATTATAATTTTGAGGGAAATTTGGGGTTTTTCCAGGTTGGGGCTAATATTAAAGCTGCTATGAACATTCAGGTACGACTCTATGTATAGATATGTCTAACTGTCAGCTTCTACATAAACATTTTAAAAATCACTATCTCTAAGAAAACTAGGAAATCAAACATCTGGAATTCGGCATTGGCTACCAATTGTAGATGAAACATACTTTTTCAATGATTTAGACACAACTGTCACAGCTTACAAAATGCATCTTCACCAATTAGTTACCTAGTTAGGCTCTGCAGACTTAATTGTTTATCTCTGACCATAGTCCTAACCCAACTTGGCTCCATAGTTGCTGGGATAAGATAGATTGATTTTAGCTATTGGTATCAGTATTCTACTTCCCACATGCCTGTCGAAAAATGCTCTTAGAGTTTTAGAACTGGAATGGCAAAATTTATTTCCTGAGTGATTAAATGGCTCCACTCCTACTATTCTAGGTCACCTTGTTCCTTGTTGAGAGATAGCCACATCCTGAATGTGGCTCTTTTCTCTCAGCTTTGCACCCACTGTCAATAGGCAAATCTCAGTTGCAAGAAACTCTTTAGGTAGAATGGAAGTATTATTCTTTCTGCTACATGAACCTGAAGGAAGTATTCTCAGATTATCCAGACCTAAGGAAGGATACATTCATCTATAGCTCCCTCTCAATTTACAGAAATGTTTGGTTGGTAGAGAGTCTTGCCTAAGTATTTAATCTGGCCCAAGGTAAAGAAATACTGCAACCTCAGATCTACTAGCCAAGGGGAGCTGGGTTGTTTTGAAAGGCACTGTAATGTGCCCCCTTTTTCTTACACAGCAGTGGGCACGATTAGGAGGCAAAAACTTATGGAAAGGAAAACTTAAGTTCTTCCTTATAAAAATTTAAAACATGTATCTCCATGGAGGGCCTGCAAAGTCTTTATAGGATATTTTGCCTTTGGGAACTTCTTTTTTTATACTACTATTTCAATCTCCTCACCTCCCTCTCTGTCTCTATTTCTAATTAGATAGATCATAGATACAGGTATAGATAAACATAGATATATAGATGGAAGGCCTTGATTGAAAGTGCTACAACCTCCTTCCACTGTTGAGTGGAAGCACCTGCTTGAGGGATGTACCAGTTTAGTTAGGAGGAGGAAATGAGGAGGGGAGTCTGATGGAGGAAAAAAATAAAATGTTCTGAAGTGATTGAGAGCACAGAGAGTTTGGAATAGACCTGCAAACAGGGGGCCCTTGCTAGGAACTAGGGCACATCCATGAAGTGACTTTGCTGTTGTGTTTACATTATTTGTCTTTTTCCATTAGATACTTGCCACGGTTATATTACGCATCCACAATTTCAAGATGTTGCAGTTTTGGGATGCATTGTTTTATTTCCCCCGAGAACACAGCAGCCTTGTGCAAGAGGCATTGTGCATGACTAGGAGAGGAAGAAATAACAAACTCCTTAAGAACAACAGGAGGGGGAAACGGGGAGTAGTTGTTTAGACAACTAATAGTTAATTTCCAGGCCTTGCCAGGTCAGGAAAGGAAAATCCCTAGGTGGGGTTCATACCTGTAGTCAAATACAAGTAAAACCAAAAGGTAGGGCCTAATCCAGGCACATTTATTTTTCCCCAAATACTTTCAAAAAGAGAGACCATTGAAGGAGTGAGGGAGTCTCAGGGTTTTAGGCTACATATGATTTTCATCCACCTTGTCTATGCAACTCAGGTCCAGGATTCCTTCCAGCCATCACTAACTGAACCAAATTCCAAGGAGCCACTGCTTCACATTGCCATGCTCCGTGTTTTGCACAGAGGCTTCAGTTTTGATCAAACATGTTTTGTTTTTGATTATCACACATTCCACTCCAAAACTAAATATTATTTCCCGAAAATAATTTGTCATTTTAGAAATTGATACAACTCTGAAATGATTTTATCTGTTTGAATACTTTGATGATCATCTCAGACACATAAGCAGAAATTTAACATAAAGAGTTAAAGATTGATAATAAATAAAATTGTTTTTCAGATTCATTGAAACATTCTTAATTTTTCTTCTAAAAGAAATGAGTAAAATTGATTTTGTTATTTAATATCTCTAGAGGTGCTTATTTTAACTAGTACCTTATAACTAGAAGGTATCTGGGTCTTCAAAAGAATTTCATAGCATACCTCTGATCATTTAACTTGGCAAGTTTGTCTTTCAGAATATGTTGTAGTCAGATAGTCGAGAATGATCATTAGTGAATTCTCATATCCATCCATCTATTTCAAGTTGTACTTTGCCATAAATCCAGTTCAGAAATCTGTGGGAAAACTTAGCACTTCTGAAATTTTAGAAACTAGTTAAAAGGGATTGAATTCAGCCTTTCTGAGGCACTGAAGATAAAACTTAGACTTATATTTGTAATTCAACCCAAATGACAAATTTTTCAGTTACAGATTTTAATCTGGTTTTTAACTACCTCATAAAATTTTTACCAGTAAGTTCTACATAAAATAATTCAAAAATCTGATTGTCAGAACCACTGCAATTTCTCTATTATGAATGTATTTACAAGTCATCCTGCATGTAAAAGAAGCAATTTCATGTGGATAAGTAAAATGGTTAAATTTGTTTGTATTCTATACATCTATACATAATTACATGTACATATACATAATTAAACTTATACCCTTGTCGATGATGAAGTGAACGGTTAAAATAAAGTATGCTAGTCTTCACTTAATCATGTTATTTTAATTCAGCATAAAAGATAGATACAGTCATTATCTAACTAGTTAATTTGATTTTTTTGGTTATTCTTATCCACAAGTAAGGCTTTTAGATAGATCTGAAATGGGATAATGGTGGAAGATGAGGAACTACCACTGATCAAGTAGCCATATTAGCAATGATGCAGTTTGCACAGGGAAAACAAGAAGGAATAAATAAGCAAATGGGAGAAGAATTACAGAGAACAGTATCCAAGATGCTTCAGTTCAGATAATATTTTGTTTCATTATGAGAGCCTGCACTTAATTTTCCACCAGTTTACCAAGCTAGCGTGACCATCATGACCTTGTACCATCTTCAGATTCCACGAATGGTAGATGAAGAGTTCTACCCATCACTTCTAATAGGCAAAGATAGCACATGCCTACATGCACTGATTTGGAAGAAGGACAAGGCTAGAGATGGTGAGCGTTCCGCTTGAGCTATGGGCTATTAGCTTGTGGTAAACATGACTTAATAGTCAGTGATATGGACTTCACTGGCAGGTCTCATTCAGATAATCCCACAGTTCTTCTACTTCTTAATATAATATTTTCTAGGATAGGGGGTGGGGTGTAGTTGGGGGATCCATCAGGTGAGTTGAGAAGAGGAATGTGATAGGAACTTTTGTCACTGTTGGAAAGTGCGTGGGTGGTGACATTGAATAGATTCACTCAGGGAGACAAGTTAGCATATCTTTCATCTTTTTATAAGCAGCTGAGTAGAAAGAAATTGAGCAGCAGGAAAGGAGGGACAGGATACAAGAAAGTGTCTTTTCTTCCTCTCCATTCTTACAATGTCCTGATTCTTCAGCCCAGAGCTTTAAATATTTTTGTAACTACTTTCTTGGGGAACTGTCATGTTAACAGTAATTTTGTATATATTGAGCTCCTAAAGCTATGGATGCTTTATAAAGCTACAATGTAAATTTATTTCTCTCCATAATCCCTGTCACTTTCCCTGTCTCCACATAAAAAGCAAGAGACTTAACATTTCATTATTAATTACAGCAACAGCAAGTTGGCTGTCAGAGTCAAACCTCCACACACTCCCCCCACCAAGCTGCTGAGCTTCCAGCCATTTACTCATTAAGCTTATGATGATGATGGAGTTTTTAAAACCTGCTCTTTGTAATGGACAGTAGACCTTAAAAATCTGTCATAAATTGCTCAACTGAGGAAATCAAATGGCAAAGAGAGTGAACCAGTGTAAGAGCAAACAAATTGCACCATAAAAGAAAGTAGTGTCTTTAACTGAGCTTTTATTTTTACAAAGAATGTGAAAGCAACTTGGAGACTGTAAGTGGATGCTGTGAGACTGTTTAACTAAGAGCAGTTATTCACATTAAAGAGGCTGAACACATAAGGAAAAAAAAAAAAGAAAGAAAATCAGACCAAACAAAAACAAAGGAACAAAACCGCCTTAGAGTGTTTTCGTTTTTCAAATGATATGGTACTGCTGAGTAAAAATGACTAGGTCCATTTTTAAGTGTATTTTTTTCCTTAACATTTTAAAACCAGACTACATAAGATAAAAGCATATTTCAAGGTGAATACCGATCAAGTTAAGGATCTAAGCGTATAACAGATTTTTCTCTCATATTTCATAAGAGATTTTTCAAAATGCACATTAATTCTGATATTTTTATTCATTTATTCAGGAAATATTAATGAGGACTGTTGAAGTCAAAATAGAAATGTAAAGAGGAATCTCTAAATTTAACATTTAATTAAGAAATAAATAATTTGCAAATCAGGGCATATATTCAGACCGAGTGGTCTTCAGCATGTCTGAAGAACGAAGAGAAGGCTGGAGGTTTTACTAAAAAAAGAAATATTAATTATTGCTCTTTGAGAAAGTTCATTAGCATTGGTAAGGTTCTGGGAAGCTGGAACGTCTGACTGGTGACTGATGGTGGGTAAAGTAAATCTTAGATTTGTAGCAGGTTTGTTTGGCAACTATTAGATAAAACAGTTGTGAGGTTACAGCAGGCACTTTCAGCAGCCAGACTTGCAGTGAATTACATTTTGGGAGAGCAATGTTTTGTGTCCTGAGTGCTTTTTGCCCCTGCCCTCTTGACTCTGTTTTCACTGGGTATGACGAGAATGCCCCAATTCAAATAATCAGCTTTCACAGTACCTATTATGGTCCAGTTCTTTTCTCAAACACTTTGGAATTCAAGAATAAACTAAACAGAAGAAAATCTGACCCTGAAGAAGAAAGTAACAAATAAGTCATAAGTATAATGGATAGGTAAGTTATATTGCAGATTTGAAAGAAATATGTGATGAAAAATAAGAGAAGTAGAGCAGGAAAAAAGAAATTAAGATGGTAGGTGTGGTGGAAGGAGAGGAGGCAAATGCAGGCTCAACCAGAAGGTAAGAAGTCAACAAACATTTTGGAAGGTAGGAGTTGTCAATATGGACAACATGGACATCTGGGGGAAGAGTTCCATGTGGAGTGAGGTTACCCTAAATAATTGAACTTGCTGGAAAAAAACACAACTCTCAATTTTACTACATAGAAGCTCTTGTAAATGAGAGCAGATGAGCTGTTACTTGTGTTGTGTCCCCAAATGAAACAGCTCATTCTAACATGGGGTAGTGTGCATCAAAGACAAATCATGCCATCTCACAATAAGTATACCCACCAAGAACCTTTTGGAGACCTATATTTGGCACTAAAAATACCATTATGAAGAAGAACTTGTATGCCTAATTGCACCCATGCTTTGGTCAATCCTCAATTATATATACATTATAATCAACCACATACAAAAGTCTAATATGTGCATTTACCCTGTGATTCTGTTTTATTCATATTAATAGAAGCATGTTTCTACCACTGTGGTGTCATATTATTCAATTATTTTGAGTTTTAAATCCCAGGGACCGACTTTACCTGAGTATTGTAGCTCTAAAGTTGGAAAGAAAAAATAATGCTGATACCATAATCAGATAGACATAAACAAAAGTGGGAAGAAATCTGCTATTGTGATGAAGCCTATATCATTTAACACCTGAAACTTTGACCAAGCAGAATAAATGAATGAATAAATAATTAAATAAATTAATAAAATGATTCTGGAATTGTAAGCAAGGGAAGATGAAATGATCAGTAGCAAATAACCAAACATGAGCTGACATCATGAAGAAAATAGCAAATTCATGAATTATTCTAAAATCGAAGCATTTGTTAGTCTTAAGTGTGAATATCTCTCTATGAAATTCTTTAATCTGGCCTTACAGTATGATTTACAAAGCACAGTTTCTATTTCTAAGAGCCTCTTACAACTCAAAACTTGCCTTACAAATTTTCTTAGAAGTAATCTTGACAGCAAACACATATTGTTTGAACTTTGTTTTTCATATTTTGTACATTAATTGCCATTCACGTTTTAGTAGTAAATTCTACGTGGTCCCAGGTGTGTGACTGTGCATGCAAGTTATATCAGAACAGGCCTTCCCAGCTTTGTCTTATCGTTATAATATGCAAACTATTGGCATAATTCTACATCTCCCTAAAGATTTTTTGAGTCTTTTGGGATTGATGGTCTCTCTCCCTCTCTCTGGATGCTGCTTTAGGACACTTACTAAGTATACTACTGTGTCTTTCTCAGTGATTAATGATGACTAGATTAATTGGCTTTCTCTTTCATTGTAAGTTCCCCTTTAACATTTCTGATTTTAATTGTGAGAAATAACCCTGCGCATGCATGTATTAGAAGTCAGGGAAGATCCTCTCGATCCATCCCATCAATTTCCCAGGAGCAATTGGCATAATTTAAATCTTCATCTAACTATTCTCCTTCAATTGTAATTGGTGCCACCTATTTTTAAAGTAGCCTATTCTTGTAACATTAACGTTATTTTGATAATTTATTGCGACCCCATTGCCAAAAACAGGCACAAGGGCGCCATAAATAAAGCAGTCTGATAATTGCTTAAACAAAACTGGGCCCCATGGACCAGCAATAAACTGTCATTAAGGTTAGGCTGGAGAAGCACCTGCAATTTCTCTGGATAACCTCTTTTATTTCTCTGTGTACACTACTGCTCATTTCAGAAAATGACAGTTTTGAAAGATATCAGCAATTTGTTGAAACAAAGAATGAGAAAAACATGGTCTTGGAGGTATAATTTACTTTTACATTTTGAATTAAAAAATAGAAAAAGATATGTTGAAAAAAATTATCATATGAAAACCATAAGATTTCTACTGTAGAGCTAGAGCTATTTCACAGTTTAAAAGCTTGCTCCCTTTGTGGTAACTTTTATTTGTTATTTAAATTCAAGTTAATCTTCCCTGACTTGTAGTACTAAAAAATAGTACTCATGGTCTTTTATTGTTTTCATGCACAATTTAGATAATGTATTTTAGTGTTGCAGCTTGGCTCAGCAATTTTAAAGATTTAGGTTCTGAAAGTTGTTCATCAATAAAGTGGCCTATGTACCTCATTTGCAATGTGAAAGTGTTAGAAATATGAAAGAATTATATTTATTTTATAATACAAAATATAGAAAGATTAAAACTATATTTAAAACCAATTCAGAACACACAAGTAGGTATCACTTAAATGTCTTTTTCAATGTCGGTGACATTTTTAGTTGCTTTTCTTTCTTAAAATTTGCTCCCAAAGTGGCCATAATAATTGATATTTTATAAAGTTGGGGAAAAAAACAAAATGAATGTCTTCCTTTTATATTTATCAGAAGGTTATTTAAATGAATTCTTCTTGAATTTGATGGAAGCATTTTTTAAATTATGTTAATTTTAACACATCAGATGCATGTTTGAATACAAATAAGATCAAATAGGTCTTGAGTCATATCTGCAGGATCTTAATTTTAACATCATAGAGACAAAGATTTTAGTTAATCTTTTGTTTTGCTGTCAAATTTCCCTCTAATTTTGGACATGACACATTTTATCTTATTGAGTTTCAATTATATATGTATAATTATATATATAATTGAATATATATGTGTACATATATACGTAGATATATATATATATGTTGGACTCATGAATGTACATGAAGATACTAGCTTTGAATGAAACAATGTCAATTGCAAACTGCTGTTCATGCTTAATATAAATTCAATTATGAACCGAAATCCTTTAAGACAAAACAGGGAACCAGGTACTCTTATAACTTTTCTCCCAATAATTTGATTTTTTGGAAAAATTTAGTACCATATAATTTTCCCCCAAATATTACCTTTATTAAAAATAATAGTAATAATTCTGGAGAGTTATTTACACTGTGATTTATTAAATCAATCCCTATGATTTAATGTAGTGATGAAAGTGGTCTTTATATTTAAAATGTGCATGTTATATTGCCAGTTTTTACTGAGCACATACATTGTCGGCTAATACATACTCCTTTGTAGGTGAGTGTTTAGCGAAGAAAGCCATTGCTCCATTGGCAAATTAGCGTCATTAGTTGAAGGAGCCCAAGGGTTTAAATTGCAGGAGGTTTGCAGGAAGCATGTGCGCTGGCAGAGCTGTGTGGTAAGGCATCTGCAATAACCATCTACATTATGCTTCCATTTAGGTGGTGTCATCACTCTGTCACTTTCATCTATTCCATAATTTGCACAAAAAGAAAGCACACCACAACAACTCTTTAAATTCCAAAAATGTATGGTAAACTGTCAGTTTCTCTTGTATGAAGTTGTTTATCTCAGGATTTTACTTGGCGTGCAATTTCTCAATAGACGTATCCTTCCTTCTGAAATGCAAAGGAAATCCCATTGATCAATAGGGGTTGCAGTACTTATCAACATCACAACGGAGACAGCTTAATTCCTCAGATTAGCATTTGGCTCAGATCAGCAAATGTTTTCTGAGAAATTACTATTTATACATTTAAAAGTATCCAACTTCCCTATCTTCCTCCTATCAGCTCAAAATATAAGCCCGGGCCATGTGGCTGCATCTTAATCACGTTCGAGCTGGAGAGCCATCAGTTGAAAGCCTGTCTCAGTTCATAGATACGAGAGATTGTAATATTTTAACATTTCCTCCTGCCAAGTTGCTAAGCAATAAAACTATCTTGGCACTTTCCTGCCAGTTCATCATGAAGAACTACTTTAGTTTAGCTTAGTCTCTTGATGAAACAAATGGAAGGCAGCTGCACCAAACGGCCTTTCAGAAACGTGTTGCCAAACAAATCCCGGGAACTTTCACCCCTTTGCATAGCTAATTTAGATGGCTTGAAGCAGAGAAATCCCATGTTAGTATCAGCATAGAAAATCAAGTCTTAAATATGAGTGATTAAAAATTATACAAACAATAGCTCATCATAAATTTGCCGAGTGCTATTGTCCCATATTACCTTTCTCCAAGGTATACCTAAGTGTGATGATTTCTCAGCTAAAAAAAGGCACATTTTTCATACCATAAAGTCAACTTAAGTCAGACATACTAGACAAGCTACTGGCTAAATTTGAAATGTATTTCTACTTAATTTTTACTTAGCTTTTGAGAGTTTTGATTACATAAGTAATGCCAAAAGAATGCCACACAATAATTTCAAACAACAGAGAAATGTATACATTTAAAAGTGTATAAAGTAAAAAGAGAAGTAAGTTTCCTTTCGCATTCATCCAATCCTGTATATTTGTATGTGTTTTTTCACAACTGCCTCTGTGCATGTGTGTATGTGTATTTGTGGCTGCATATGTATAAACTAAGAATTTTAGTCTATAAACTTACAGCAAATATTGACACATTTATTTATTGCTGTTATTGTTTTTATTAAAATTGAATCATATCCTGAGCCCCCAACTTGCCATTACATGAACTAAGTTCTTCCCATCTCAGGAATCAGAAAATCCCAAGAATCTTTATCACAACAGAATGTTCTGGGAGAGTCCCCTTGGATTTAGGACACACAGGTCACCAAGGAAATGGCCCTGTGCAAACTCACACCATCATGTGAAGTGGACATCTGCATTCTAGTGCTACACAGACTACACCATCTGCTTCAGAGAGTTTGCAGGTGATCTTCTCTCAGTCTGTCCTCCTCACATTTCAGGTCCTTCACAGAGCCAACTCCTGTTCACTGTTATCCTCAGCCTGAAATCACAAAGCTTCCTTATGTAGGCCTTCTTTATCAACTCAGATTAAATTAAAACCTTTCCTCCCAGTGGACAACAAGGCACTTTTTAATGTATCCATTATCATACTTCTCAAATTTATTTTTGCCAACTCTCTGCTTCCTTACTAAACTATGGTATCCATAAGCGTAGCTTACAGTGCTCAACATTTATTCATTAATTGGACAGATACTCACTGAGCTTCTACTATGGTGAATTGATGTGCTGGATGCTGAGAATAAAACTTCTATTTGAATGGCATGATTCTCTCTCACTGTCCCTACCTTTGAGACAGATGTGAATAAAAAAGCCACACATTATTACTTAATTAGAATGATAAGTGTTATACTATCTATGTGAGTAGTTGGAGCAAGTTAGTCTAGTGAGAGAGGTGAGTGTTTCAGGAAATTCTCTGGAAAAATTTGTATGTAAGTTGAGACCTGAGAAGTAAACACAACTTCATTAGGAGAGAAGAGCATCCTTAGTTCTTTAGTGAGACTGGAAGGTGTGTGGAGTAGAAGCCTTAGAGAGGAGGAGGTGGTGGACACACATTCTGAAAGAAGAAGTATTCTAAAGCCAGGCTGGCCAGCAAGGATTTTATATTACCGAATCTTTTGGGTTTTTTTCCATGAGAATACTGTGAAGCCATAAGCAAGGCAGCAATATGAGTAGATCTGCAATTAGAACATGATGGTGGACTTGGCCAAGATGGTGAAAACAAACAGAATAGAATTGAAAAATATTTTGGAGTTAAAAATAGGAGAATTTATCGATTCACTGATTGTGGGTCTGAGGCAAAGAAGATAAAAGTTAAAAAATATAAGAGGAAAAGCAATAGTTAACACTCATAATGCACTTGCTAGGTACTAATCATTAAGTTTCTCACATGTATTAGTAGATTTAATTTGCACAATAACCATAAGAAGTAGGTGCTATTATTACTCAAACATCATCGATGAGGAAAGTAAATCAAAGGGTTAATAAATAACTTGCCCAAAGTTGTACGGCCATAGGGTGGTTTGGTTCCAGAATCTATTACTTACACATTACTCCTGGGCTTTTGGAATGAGAAACTGAGGATGGTGTTGCTATAAACTGGAACAGGGAACATTGGAGAAGCAGTGAATCTGGGTTAAGGCACAAGATGATCTTTGAACAGGTTGAATTTAAGGTGCCTCTGAGATAGGCAGCTAGAGATGACAGGTCTGGCATTCTAAAGTTGAATATAAACAGAAGATATCATTTTGGGACTTATCAAAGTAGAAATGATAATGAAAGCCATGAGATGCATGAAAGCATTCAGGATTACAGTATAGAGTAAAAAAAGAAAGCCTATATGAAGTAGAGGAAGGGGTATTGGCCTCATTGTCTAGGGAGGAACTGCTAGGGTAGTAGAACAATGGGATTATGCTGTCACAAAAAACAAAGAAAAAACATAATTTCTTAAATCATGGTCTGTCACTGAATCTGGTTATAAAACCTTATCTTGCACTAGAAGGATCTGTAGCTTTTCCAGCTGAGAATGGGGTTCAGGATACCGAATCAACACTAGAAAAGAGAGAAACTGGGGATGAAGAAAACTCAGCTAAATTTCCTATAGGAAGGAGAGATTTTGACAGTGAGTAGTTTTTCAAAATTCAGTTCTTACATCCTACCATTAAACATAACTCTGAGTTTAAGCAAATTTGGATGCAATCATAACAAAATCAAATAGGACCATGGCTCAATTACACCTGCCAAAAATGTGGGATTAAGAAGTGTTTAATTAGTTCTTATCATTTTGGTTTACTCAGAATTAGTTATACTAGATCCATTATTCTTTTTTCTTAATAAATTTTGTGTGATAATTATAGTCCTTTAAACAATTTAAACTTTCTTCTTCCTTCAGCACTCAGATGTATGCTGGGAAGAGTCTACCAACGTTGCTGGCAAGTCTGATTCTTTTTTTGATATGGACCTGTTGGTCCATATCATCTTTTCAGAAGAAAAGCATTTAATTGCCAATGGGAGGAGAAGCCCATAATGTTACTGTAACTTGGGTATTATGTTAACTGTCTGTTTTAAAAGAAAGTAGCGTTAAGATAGATCAGTAACCAAAATCATAGGCTTTTTCTGTGCATTGAACTTTGTGAAAATGCTGTATAATTTTGACTTACTAGTATTTTTGAACAATGCTTAACATACTAACCTTACATACACTCTAGACCAAAATAAGGCATCATAATTTACACCTTAATCTCAAAAATTAAGCATGTCTTTGGTGAATGGTTTTATATATACATAAACCTAAAACATATAAGACAAAAATTTATGTTTGGAGCCTGTGTTCTGTAAAGAGAAGGTTGATTTGTCTTTTAGCTATCGTATTTGGAGTGGAACTATAATACAAATGTATAATATTCTTTTTTTTTTTTTTTTGAGATGGAGTCTCACTCTGTTGCCCAGGCTGGAGTGCAATGGCACGATCTCGGCTCACTGAAACCTCTGCCTCCCGGGTTCAAGCAATTCCCTGCCTCAGCCTCATGAATAGCTGGGATTACAGGTGCCCACCACCATGCCTGGCTGGTTTTTGTATTTTTAGTAGAGGCAAGGTTTCACCATCTTGGTCAAGTTGGTCTGGAACTCCTGACCCTGTGATCCACCTGCCTTGGCTTCCCAAAGTGCTGGGATTACAGGCGTGCACCACTGAGTCCAGCCTATATTCTTGTTTATCAGTTCAAAAATGCTCTGCACTGTTTTTGACTCTTTAAAAATAACTTAGATTCAAATTTATAGTAGAAGAAAAAAAATCTTTCAGATAAGAGGTGTTCTCCAGAATGGAAGAACGACTTGGCATGTAAGAAATAGCGTCAGTGTCCTAATGCATATTGTGACTGTTTGCATATACTTCTGTTTGTAAAAATATCGGTTTTATTTTCAGAGGATTTGTAAGAAACATTTAAATTTTCATTGAAATAAATGACAAGTCATACTGTCACTTAAAAAAAAAAAAAAGACCTTTGTCAAGGAGAGTGCAGTCAACCAGTAAACTGCAGATTCTCAGAATGTTTATTGACGTACTGATTATTCATTCTGTTATACTCTAACATCTGTATATTTTTACCAGTATTCTCAGACCACTTCTACCAAAACATAAATCTGTGATTGTGATCTCTGAAAGTCAGTCCTTTTATCTACTCAAGTAAGTGCAAATTTTAGAAAATAATTTTCCCTAGAAATATAAGTTGTTCTTTTCTTAATTTATCCACTAACTGTTTAGAAATATAATTAGCTTCTAAGATTTGAAAAACGGTAAATTTTAAAAGTCATATCTATTGGTTAAAGTTTAAAATACTTCCAGGAAATAAGCAGAATTGAGTTAATGTTAATTTTATCCAACTAATACTTGAAAAGGATCATTGATTTATATTACTGCCAGCTTAAACCATTTTAATTAATGTACTACTAATCATAACAGTGTTAGTTACAATTTTGTCTTCAAGTACAATAAAGACACATAGATTTGAACTCTTTTGATTATTTTTGGCCTCTTGGTCAATGCCTCATAGTCAAAATTTTAATTAAGATTTTGCACTAAAAGTAAAAAGAAAATTGGGATAAAAATGTGCAGTGTGTTTTATTCATTATGTGGAGGCATCTTTCCTATATCCAAGTTTAACTAATACTGGTCCTCTACCTGCTTAGATTAACTGGTAAGAATTTTATAAGCATTTCTTACTATCTGTTATAAACCAAAAATGGCAATCTTTCCACATTTTGACGTAATAATTTTGAGCTTATTACAAATTAAAATAAAAAATTAAAAACAAATATTACCTTATAAAAATTCAAACGGTATGTATTGAATATTAATTTAAATTACTGTTATTAATATTACATGAAATACGCATGTTGTAAAATTTTAAATTACTATCTGGTTAAATAAACTATACATATTCTGTAGAGTCAAATCAGATTTTGGCAATGTTGTAGAATTTAACTGAATGCCCAGATGGAGGAACTTGATTATATTATATAAAGGGGACTACAATCCTAGAGTTGGACTCAAGCACAAGCATTTCTCATTATTTTGCAGAAGAAGACACTAAGGTTTTCAGAAATTAAATTGCTTTTTGGAAAAGGTGGGAGATTCTGGGAACATAGAAACTTGAATCCAGTTTTCTTCAACTCCACGTCAAGACAGTTGCATTGTGTGAGAAAATAGCTACGGCCATTTGTGGTAAAATCACATATATGCAATTATGTGAAACTAATTGTGTATATGTATCTGTGTATGTGTGCGTGTACAATATATAAACTATCAATATTTATCAAAGTCCGTATAGCTGCTAGCAATGAGGGGGATCTAGGATTCTATCACATGATACCTTTTTATGAGGCCTTTGTTCTTTCCAGTACATTTGTCAGCTCGTTCATGAAAGAGATTCTTAATTATTTACTGAAATATCACAAAAGTGATGGTGAGCTAGGTTGCCACATTGATCCTGATAGGTCCTTGACAAATTCATATTGACTCTCCACAAATAAAACTATAAGGCAGTTTTTCCCATTGTGATGCTTTTGTCTACAATCTTAATTGTTAACTCTTCCAAAGAATAAACACACAATATATCAATTTTTTAACCCATTTAGGTAGAAATATGGGTATATAGAAAGGAAGAAAGCAAGGTTAACGGTGAGCAGTGGCTAAATGAACAAGAGAACATTCAGTTAAGTATTTCATCTCCAAAATGGTATAAACTGTGGCAGAAAGTACTTTGTTGAATCAATAGTTTCGAGACAGACATACAGTAGGGACATCGAAGGTACAAAATAGAGCACTGATGAAGGAGTGAATTATCATCTTCACAGATGAGTAGAGAAAGAGAAGGTCTAAATATTGAGATGAGAATATAGAAATTTCTGATGCACAACACAGCTCAGAAATTCAATCTGAATATATTCCAATTCAGTGCCTTGCAATAGATCCATAATGATCGCCTATCTTTCCAGCATACAAAGCAACGCATATCATTTAAACATTTTTCTAGCATGAAAATGTGCCTGGGTTATGCAATACACACTTTACCAAAATATGATTTTGGTGGCTGTAAGCACTTGATTGTAATGACCTGTAAAATGAGCAACATTTTTAACTCCGAAATTCTAATCAATATTAGTTAATGAGGTGTGTGACAACTTATAATGCTTTTAAATACTCTTAGTGGCCATCATAATACAAATTTTCCCACTTACAGCATATTTAATTTTAATCCTTGCAATAATATAAATGAAATACATCTAAAACACTTTATAGTAAGCACTCAAGTAAAAGTCCCCATAACATGGCCTTAAAAAAGGTTAATCTTTTAACAATGGGGTCATGAAAACATTTTTGTTATAGATATTTTTATGTTCCTCCTTGTATCAATCAGGATTAAATTTTCAAATATTCATACCATTTAACAACAGACTGAATAAATAACAAAGTTGTTAACACAAAATGAATAAATGTTTTGTATACGTTAAAAATAGAAGATAGAAAAAATAACTTGGTAATGTGTTTAAAATATTTTATGGCCTCTACCCCATTATGTTATTCCATTTTCTCATAACTGTAGACCTTTAGCTACCAAACAGAGGGAAGGGGCATTGTACACTAGTTACCTAGAAAACAAATCATTTATAGGTCTTATTTTTGGAAAAGGAGATATCTTTTAATTCAACTAAAATGTAAAACATTGGAAGTGTCCCCCTATCAAGGCTTAGTTTTACTATTGCTTAATATAGATGAAGAAAAAATAAATCATATACTAAACTCGGGAAGCTTGGGTTTTCTCTTAAAGTAAGCCATGCTGTGATTGTTCCATCTAAACAGTTATATCAACTTTACTTTGTATCATATGAAAACAACAGCCTGCTGAATGACTATGTATTGTCTATTTCCACCTGCTAAACAAGATAAGACCACATGAAATAGGATCAGCTTAGCCATTACCTTCAGGAAGCTTCAGACATATTGTTTATTGCAAATGGACATATATTATAAATGTATATACAGACACATCTTTGTGATATTACTTCCTGAAGTATGTTCTTATGGAAATTTAACTTTGTTCATCCAGTCAGATTTCCAGAAATGTATCTACTGTGACAATTAATATCTTATTCTCCAACTCTTTGTTTTTCTCATTCTGTACTTACTTTGCTTTCATCAAAGACATTTTAGCAAAATTAATTTCCAGGACCATTTTCTTAGTGAACTAATGCCATTTGATCACCAATGGCCATTTTCGTTTTTATCTCGAGGATCACATTGGGCATTTGTCTCTGACTTTTCACTCAGTTTATAATGCATTCTTGTTCCCTTTGGAGGATGTTTGTTCTTTTTTTCTCTGCCCGCTCCCAACATTAAAATCCAAGGTAAACTCTTAATTAAGTGGAGTTGACAGAAGTCACATTTTCTCTATAAAGAACAATTGGAATCCACTGGATTTGCCCTATCAAGAAAAAAGAAAATCATATCTCCAAGAGTAGGTATTGGTAATTAATTAATCCCTAATCTTTTTGAAAAGTATCTGTATCAGTCCATTTTCATGCTGCTGATTAAGTCATACCTGAGACTGGGTAATTTATCTTAAAAAAAAAAAAAAAAAAAGAGGTTTAATGGACTCATAGTTCCATGTGGTTGGGGAGGCCTCACAATCATGGCAGAAGGCAAAAGGCACATCTTACATGGTGGCAGGCAAAGGCAATGAGAGTCAAGAGAAAGGGGAAATCTCTTATAAAATCATCAGATCTCCTGAGACTTATTCACTACCACAAGAACAGTATGGGGAAAACTGTCCCCCATAATTCAATTATCTCCCACCAGTTCCCTCCCACAAGATGTGGAATTATGGGAGCTACAATTCGAGATAAGATTTGGGTGGGGACACAGCCAAGCTGTATCATTATCAGATATTGTATTCATCTGGTAGTGGTCAGTAAATCTGTGCACAATCTCAGAGTTGGCTGATTTTTGCTTTTCCATCCTTGCTATCTCACACCAGTGGTTTCCATCCTAAAGTACACAAACCATGTTATTTTTCTGCTCTTTGATTTCCTAAGCAGTATACCAGCTACTTTAGGACTGTGTTCCTGTACAGTGCCCCTTTTCTTCACGACCACCTACAAATCTATTAAGTACTTAAAGACTTTTTTCCTGTGATGGGGATTTTGATGCTTGTTTGTTCTTTCTATGCCAATTTCATACACCTCTGAGTCTCATCCATATGTCCCAACTGCTCCCTCTAAAACTAAAAGCTACTATTTATTAAGTATTTGTTGCATTTCCAAAATCACTCTAAGTACTTTGTCTACATTGTCTCATGTAATCTTCACAGTTTTCTGAGTTGTGCATTATATGTTGCTACTGTCCACATTCCTTCACTAAAGTTATGGATTTTAGTTTATTTTAATTAAATGGCCAATGAAGATTTTGAGAAGTAACTAGTATCACATAGCAGAGGTGGGAATGCATTTGAAGAGATCTATATTAATTTTCTAAGGCTGCCATAGCAAATTTGCACAAACTTGGCATCTTAAAATAACAGAAATTGATTTTTTTTACAGTTCAGAAGGCCAGAAATCTGTTTTCTCACAGTTTGGGCCAGAAGTCAGAAAGCAGCAGAGTTGGTTCCTTCTGGAGCCTCTCAGGAAAAACCTGTCTTATTCCTCTTTCCTAGCTTCTGGTGGTTCTTGTCACTCCTTGGCATTCCTTGATTTCTTGATTAGTTGTATCAATCCAATCTCCAACTCTGTCATTGAATGGCCTTCTTTCTTGTATAACTCCCCTGCATCTTTGTATTCAAATATTCCTCTCCTTTCTCTTTTAAAGATACTAACCACTGGCTGGGCATGGTGGCTCACGCCTGTAATCCCAGCACTTTGGGAGGCCGAGGCATGCGGAACATGAGGTCAGGAGTTTAAGACCAAACTGGCCAACATGGTGAAACCCCGTCTCACTAAAAATACAAAAATTAGCTGAGTGTGGTGGTGCACACCTACAATCCCAGCTACTGGGGAGGCTGAGGCAGGAGAATGGCTTGAACCCAGGAGGCAGAGGTTGCAGTGAGCCAAGATCTTGTCACTGCACTCCAGCCTGGGTGACAAGCAAGACTCCGTCTCAAAAAATAAATAAACAAAAGATACTAATCATTGAATTTAGCTCCCACCTTAACTAAGTAGGACTTCATTTTAACTTGATTACATCTCAAAAGACCCTATTTCTAAAAAGGGTCACATTCATAAGTACCAAGGATTAGAATGTGAACATATATTCTTGAGGGACACAAGTCTACCCACTAAAATGTGTAATTCCAAATTGCATGCTCAATTTTACAGTATACAGCACTAAACTACATCCTACTGCTTTACTGGGTGACTCTCTTTTAAAGGCCTGCCATGGTCTTTACCGTAATTCTTCAATTTATTTTGCTTGAGTTGTCCTATATGTTTTTCTAGACCCAATCTCAAGCCATCCTTAGCAAGAATCTTAAGAAAATCTCCCAAATTGTATAAGTACTCAGTCAATGCAGAATAAGCAATGCTTTCCCTGATTAGTTCTATTCTGTTTCTTCTGCTTCTGAACCTCTAGAAAGATCTCACCTGAGTTTCAGTAGAGTCTCTATACATCCTACATGAATGATCTAATCTCCAACCTCAACAGACTTCAAGTCAGTAATAAGTAAACAGAAAAACTTTGACTCATGTTTAAAATATTTCACTTGCCTTGGCCTCCCAAAGTGTTGGGATTACAGGCGTGAGCCACCACGTCCGGGTGGATCACAAGGTCAGGAGTTCAAGACCAGCCTGGCCAAGATGGTGAAACCCTGTCTCCACTAAAAATACAAAAATTAGCCAGGCATGGTGGCAGGTGCCTGTAATCCCAGATTCTCGGGAGGCTGAGGCAGAGAATTACTTGAACCTGGAAGGCAGAGGTTGCAATGAGCCAAGATCATATGACTGCACTCCAGCCTGGGTGACAGAGCAAGTTTCAAAAAATAATAATAAATAATAAAATAAAATATTTCACTCATAAATTAATTGATTCAATAAATGTTTCATTCAAGTACGTACACATTAGTACATGGTTTCAATGATCCTTGATTTAAAACCTTGGAAATAGCTTTAATTCTATATTACATTTACATCGACATCCACTCAGGTATGAATATTCTGTAGAAAAGTTTTGGTTTTTCCCTTTCCATTCTTTTGTGAAATGTTTGTCTTCCTTGTCTGCTAACACTTTTTAATATGACAATTATCATTAATTATTCACAAAGTGAGTTAATATTTGCTACATATTTAATGTCTAATTTGTTTCACTATTTTAAACGTACTGTACCTGGCTTCTGAAAAGAATGCAAAGCCCTCAGAATCAAGTGCATAATATAATATCCTTATGGTTTTGCAGCCTACTATTCGTTCGGTACTCAATAACTAGCAATGAACAGCAAATGTAATTATATATATGTATATATATAGAGAGAACATTTATGTATATATAGAACATATATATGTATATATATAGAACACACACACACACACATATATATATATATATATGAAACATAAGAATTTATGTATAGCTAAGCTGAACATTTGGCTATCAGATAAAACTGTAGCTTTACAAATACTTAAGAACAGAAAAACTGAGATTGCTCCTAGATCTGGGGTGGCCAAAAGAAATGGAATCAGATGTTTTTGTTAATAGGTAATGCCCCAAATCTTATCAGTCATAAGCACTGGGCCAGACAGACCTGTGCTTAGATATTCTAATATGGTATACCTTTACTAGTACCTTGGTTAGAAAAAAAGATATCCCCTCTAGGTGGACAAATCAGAAAAACAGACCAGCTGTTAACAGGTCAAGCTTAAGAGCACATGGCTTGGTGATGGTGGCAGAGAAGGAATTTTAGACTCTCCGGCTCCCTCCACAAGGCACTATTGTGCAGCACACACATTGCACAACCTCACGGAGTAGTCTTGGCCTTAGCTGAGGGGATGAAAAGAACTGTTTAGTTAAGAAGTGAGATTTAGCAGCTTACATAAATCCTTAAGGTGTTTTACGCACTTTTTGTACATCAGTGCCTTACATTAATTAATCCATTTAATTCTACCTGCCATGAGTCTACCACACCCATTTTACTCATGTGGAAACCAAGGCACAGGGAGGTTAAATGGCTTGTCCAAGGTCACACAGCCTTTGAGTGGTAGATTCCGGATTCAAATACATGCAGCCTGATACTGAAACTTTGTTCGTGAACACTTTACTGCCTTTAAACTGATGAAATTAGAATAAATGGAAATTCCTGGGACTAACTATTAAAAAAGTGTAATAAGCTGTAAGAAGGAGGCATTATTAAGTAAAGGAACTCACTTTGGGAAATACCAGCTTAGAACTTAATAGGCTTATGATAGTATTTATAAACAATCAAAGGATCAAGTTGATAAGCCATTCTGTGACTTGTTGATAAATATCTTATCAGTTTTTGTACCCGGCTGAAATCCTTCCTCAAGAGATTAAATCACCAAAGGGGTTAACTCTTTGTTTTGTGTGCAATTTTTCCACTGCCAATAATTTTGTTCTCTGAGCAGTGAAACAAGTAATTCCCAAATTAAGAGCATGTTAGGACTATAGGTCCTCATTTTCCTAACTGCAAAGAAAATTATTTTAAAAGTAATTTTCCCCTCAGAAGCAATTCCAAGACTGAAGATTAAATATACAGAGAAGCAATGATTCAGGCTTTTAAAAAAATCGCTTTTTAAAGGAGTATAAGTGAAAACAGTTAAGTAAATATATTTAATTACCAAGATTTTATTGTATCTTTTACTCACATAAAAAGACTAAAATAAAACGTTTCTGGTTTTCACAGTAACTGATCTGATAATGTCAACTTTTGAAAACAGATAGTTATGACTCAAGGCTTTGAGAATGTAAAGAGACGCCCTTCACATGTTGAGAAATGGTACGATTTCACGTTATCAGTGCAGTTCGGTTCTCAGGGGGAAAGGTAAGCCCATAGCTAACTCCAGCTCCAAGCTGCTATTTCATGATAACAGCTCACGGAGCTGTGGGCCTGCTAAGCCTTTCCCACCTCGTTCTGGAATTCCTCTATAGCCCATCCGTACTACCAGGAGACTGGATCCGCAAAGTAGACACTTGGTCTCATGAAGCCACTGCTGGGCTCCAGAGAGAAGGAAAAACTAAGCGGTTTTAAAACCCCCACCCTCCTTGGTTTACCTCCATCATTAAAAAACAACAATGACAACGACAACAAAAAACAAAACTAAAACGACTTATTGTTTATTAATTATGTTGTGGCAGACAATATGCTGAACATTAGGCATAATTAAATTCTTTTTAAAAATTGATAATTTATCTCTGTTTTATAGAAGTGTGAAACTGTCAGGAAGACAGATGAAATGATTTGCCTGAGGCCGTATCATCAAACAAGAAATTCATATTCACCTTTCTGGAATTCTTAGGATAATGATTACATGTGTTCAATTGTTAAAAATTGGCAGATAAAATTTTATGTATTTACCACGTACAACATGAAATTTTGAAACATGTATACATTCTGGAATGACTAAATCCAGCTAATTAACATAGGTATTGTCTCACATATTTACTTTTGTGGTGAGAACAGTTAATATCCACTCTCAACATTTTCCAAGAATACAATATATTACTAACTATAGTCACCATGTTGTAAAACGGATCTCTTCAAGTATTCCTCCTATATAATTGAAATTTTGTATCCTTGGACCAACGTCTCCTCACCCTACTCACTCCTCAAATATCCCTACCCTTGGAAACCACTGTTCTCCTCTCTCTACTTCTAGGATATCAGCTTTCAAGAGTGAGATCTTGTGGCATTTGTCTCTCTGTTCCTAGCTTATTTCACTTAACATAACGTCCTCTAGGTTCATCCATGTGCAACCCCCTAGGTTCATGTCCTTTTTTAAGGTTTAATAGTTTTCTGTTGTGTACATATGCCACAATTTATTTACCCATCCACTTCTTGATGGATGCTTCAATTGTTTCTGTACTTGAGCTATTGAGGACGATGCTCCAGTGAACATTGGAGCACCGATATTTTTACAGGGTGGTGATTTATTTTTCTCTGGATATATATACCCAGAAGAGAAAGTGCTGGGTCATACGATAGTTCTTTTCTTTTCGTTTTTTTCTTTTCTTTTCTTTTTTTTTTTTTCAGAAACCTCCATACTGTTTTCCACAGTGGCTGCACCAATCTATATTCCCAAATTAAACTTCAATGTGCAGATGAATTACCTAAAATTCTTTATAAATTGCAAATGCTGGTTTAGAAGGTGTGCTGATTTTGATGCATTTTTAAGACCCCCCTCCCATCCCGTGTGATGTTCCTACTCCACTCACTGATTTCCCATGTATTATCTAGGGTCTTAACCACATTGCTTGTTTTTCTATTAGAGTTTGGAACTGGGTCACCCATGCTCTGAGGCTCTATGAAACCCTGAAGGGAGAGGTAAACATATAAGCTCTGCAATCCAACTGCTTGGTTTTGTATTTTGGATTTGAAACTTAGTAACCATTTTCACCCAGAGGAAATTCCTTAAGCTCTGTAAGCCTCAGTTTCTTTATCTGTAAAGTGGGAGTTACAGTAGTATTATCTCTCACTGTATTTTTAAAGACCAAATGAGAAACTTGATGTAAATAGGAACCTAATGCCTGGTACATAGTGAAAGTTCAATATATACATTCATGAGTATTTTTAAGTAAAACATGTTCATTGCAACATTATTCACAGGGGCCAAGATATGAAATCAACCTAAATGTCTGCCAACAGATGACTGGATAAAGAAAAGATTATATATATATACATATATGTGTGTGTGTGTATATATATATATATACACACACACACACCCACACACAAACATATATATGTATATATCTGTGTATATGTGTATATATACACACATACATGCACAGATATATATGTATATATGTATATATGTATTACAGGCGTGAGCCATCTCGTCTGGCCAATTATCATTATTATTTTAGAAATTTATCAGTGATGCTTTTCTGTTCAGCTTTAATGAGGTGTAATGACAAAAAAATTGAATATATTTATGTATGCTGTACACTGTGATGTTTTGATATATGTATATATTATGAAATGATTACCACAATCAAGCTAGTTAACATATACATCACCTCTCGTAATTATCTCTTTGTGTAGTGAGAACATTTAAGACCTACTCTCTAAGCTGATTTCAATTATACAATATAGTATTACTAACTATAGTCACCATGCTCTACGTTAGGTCCCCAGAAATTACTTTTTCTGCATAATTGAAAATTTCTATCCCTTGACCAACATCTCTCCATTTCCCCAACCCCAGTTTACACACACACACACACATACATATACATATATAGTGTATATATACACATATACATATATACATATGTGTATATATATATGTGTACATATATATGTGTATATATACACTATATATGTATATGTGTAAAATTAGATGGGTGTGGTGGTGCCTGCCTGCAATCCCAGCTACTCAGGAGGCTGAGGCAGGAGAATCGCTTGAACCCGGGAGGCAGAGGTTGCAGTGTGCCGAGATCATGCCACTGCGCTCCAGCCTGGGCGACAGAGCAAGACTCCATCTCAAAAATAATAATAATAATATCAAAAATAAAATAAAAATTGCTTAGAAATTTCAAAATACAATACCTTCCACTGAACTTCCTTAATCCACATAGCACTGTATTTTTCTGTCTATTGCATTGCCACAAATTTAGCCACTTAACACAGATTTATTATTGCACAATTTCTGTTGGTCGGGAGCCTGCCACATTTTGGCCAAGTCCTCTTCTCAGGGTCTCATAAGGCTGTCAGGGTGCTGGCCAACTGCATCGTCATCTGGAGGCCTGACTACAAAAAGATCGGCTCAAAGGCCCCTCAGAGTGTTGGCAGCATTTGTTTCCTTGTGGTTGTAAGATTGAGGTCCCTCTTGCCTCACTATCTGTCAGCTGGGAGTGACCTCACCTCCTCCAGGCTGCTATCAGGTTATGCCACAGGCCCCTTCCGTTTCTGTAATAAAGAACTGCCCTCATATTGAATCCATATCACACCTCAGATTTATCTGATTTCCCTTCTGCTTTCAACTAGACAAACTCTCTGCTTATAGAAAGGCTCATGTGATTAAATTGTGCTCTATTTTAAGGTCAAGTGTGCTATGTAACATGACCAAATAATGAGAGTAAAATCTATTATAGTGACATGCCCTGGAATTATGTAGAAGCGAAACTATTGCTGGAGGGGTAATCTTTGGGGCCAACTTAGACTATTGATTATTCCATGTTCAAGGAGAGCTGGCATATAATTGGAGAGCTAAGAACCGTCAATATCTCAACATCTAAAAAAATAAAAATTGTAATTGTATTTAAAATGTTAGGAAACATAGTTAGAAATTTAGGGTTTTAAGCAGATATAAAGATCTTTTAATCATGCTACCACCTAATTACAATATTAGATAAAGAAGAACAATTAAGCCTAGTCTATATGTTAGAGAAATATAGTAATTTTTTCTGGAATGATTTATTATGTGCAGACTTTGGGTTATTGGAATAGATCATTGACCATATATGTTTTAAAGTACTTAAAAATATTTTATAAATAAAGTTATTTTTATACAGAACAGAAATAGTTGATATTGAATCAGAAATACTGTATTAGCATAAGTCATATGTTTAAGGAAATATATTCCTAAACAATAGGAAGAAACACAGGCAACACTGATGTAAAAAAGATTTACAGACATGAGCTGCATGCACTTGGTTTATGGACTAGAATTCTATGCCTTCTAGAAGCAGAAAATATGCAACGACTCATTCTGCCTTATGGCCATTTCAGAGCTTTTAATCTAATAAAACCTATATGTCAGCCAGTAGCATGTCAGGGTCTTATTACTCTGCTTCCTTAGAGTCTGATATGGGAGGTTAAGTCCCTGCACATATGTACCCCTTGGGGTTCCCTGAGGTGGAGCCGTGCAGGTTTGCTTCTTTGCTTACTGATATATATAAAAAAGATAACATTAAATATTCTATTCCTGTTTCACTTATGCGTTCACTAAGAATGATGAAAGTGGGAACTGTGTGGCATGGCCTAGGAATTGTGCATGAGCACACTCTATTTTACATGTCTCATCAGAAGTCAGTTTCTAACCTTCTTCTGTCTGTAGACAAGCATATCACCTAAGCTTTCTCAGAGATTAAAGGTATACCACCTAGCTTAAATGGCCCTACTAATGAAAGAGAGGTACACTTAAATTGCATCTTAATGAGAAAAAATATGAAAAGGAGAATTAATAGAGATTTCTCAAATAAAATCTAATGAGCATAATTTTTATTATTGAACAATGTTTGCCTATAAAGTCTTACTCAACTTGATGAAAAAATGCTAAGATACATGTTAAGGAGTCCTCATTTTAATACTTTATAAAATTGTATATACATATACTTAAGAAAGAAAAATAATGGCATATTTGCTGTCTTTAAATCATTGAGAAAAAAATAAAAGACTACATGTGTCATTTAATTTAGCTAAAGAAGGAAGGTGACTGAAAAATACAGTTTTTACATAAGATACTAAGTAGCTGGCTGGGTTTTGCTAATGTTCCCAAATTTGAAATCATTTTAAAAAGAACACTCCAATGAGCACCAGAGAACTGAGATGTTTTAAAATAAAATTATAACTGCACTTAATCTCACATTGTCTCCTTAGCCTTTTGACATTTTAATTGCTGTGCCATTTTTCACTGAGATGGCAAGCATTTTTTACATATGCATAATGTAGCCTGTGTTAATGCATATTGATTAAAGTAGACAGTGATGCGAGGATGTTGGAATTTTACCCACTGTGACCCTATTGAATGTTTCTCTCTGCTCTTTTTGTTTTCTTTATAACCAGAGGGGGAAGAAAAGCATGTATTTTCCAACAAGTCTCTATGCTATCTGAACTCTAGTATTAACAGGTGAAAAGTGACATGTTTAACAAAAGAAAGACTAGAAAGCATCTACATCACAAACTTGTAAGTCTTTCATTTCTGCATTGGAGACACTATAGGAAAATCAATAACTTCCTTTGAGTCTAGTGATCTAGCTGCTTACAAGAAATTTACATCTCCCTGACAGGCAGTTTGTAAGGTCTGGTTCACCTGGGTCACAGGAGTACACATAATTTGCATCTTGAGCAATTTCTCTCTTTCCTTCTACCTGTTCCATGAGGAAAGAAGATTGAACCTGGTCATAAAGAGAATCTCATTACGTCTCAGCTGAGAAGAGTAATTTTGTAGGTGTTCTTGGATTGCAAGAGTATCATATAATGATAATATTTTCTCATAGCTCTTCAGACCTATGCACACACCAGGAAATGAAAGTAACATACACCCAGGCACATTTGAAGCTTCTGAGCTGTCATTCACCAAATGAAATTTAAGTGTTCCATCAAAGTCATTTGCAAATATGACCTCAAGATGGATATCCAGATTCTTTGCTAACAAAAATATACAAGAAGATAGACATTTAGCTTACCTCTCATAAAATCTGAAAAAAAAATTCCCCTTCTATTTTATTTTGCCCTTCAAAATACACAAGATCTGAATGTCAAATAAATGTTTATATTATGATATGCTAATAATGCCTGGCATATATTTTCCTAGTTAGTTCTGTAAGCTCAGTTAAAAACAAATAAAAACCAAGGAGGCAATGCTGAAAACTTTTTGAATCAAAAATAGAATGCAATAGCATTTAATTATAATTAAGTCTTTAATATGCTTATTTAAATCTCACATACTTTTAAGCATGGGTCTATTTGCAAATTCATCTAAATAAATATTTGGCACGAAGTCTAAATCCACTTTATTCCAATGTTTTTTTTTCCGGGATAAAGATTATAATGAGATTCAAATGTAATAATTTTCATCCTGTATTCATGAAAATAATTGTCTAGGTGTAAATGAACGTATTATTACAATTCACTATGTGTACTCATACCTAGTCGTGAGGTCCTCATATATAAAATAGAGGGAGAGTACAACTTTAAAGTGTTTTATATATCCATTTCATATTTTTTCTCTTTGCAATTTGGGATGAATCTCCTTAGACAAATGGTTATGTTATTAACGCACCAACATTAACCTAGAAAAGGCTACTTAGTACTACTTAACTTGAATACTAATCACCCTGGCCTCAGTAGCCCACCATATCTTGCAAAGTATTCTGAAATAGTATTGGTGATAAACACCATTTGGAAAGGAAAAATGGCTGTATCTGTGTTTTTACATGCACACTCCCCTCATTATTTTTGCATATGATAAAATAGATAATATTTACTGAGCACTTATCACAAGTCAGTTGTCTTGTTAAGTGATGCAGAAGCATTTTCTATTAGTCCCCAGAAAACCACTGGGAGGTTGGTACAACACAGCTCCATTTTATCGAAGGATCCATTCATGAAGACCTTGTACTCACAAAATGAAAGATTAATTTCCCGCAGGAGCAAATAAAAAGCTGAATGGGGGTGTTCTTTAGAAATATCACGGTGGTAATTCAGCTTGATTTAGAATGAATTTCTAAACCTATCTCTGCTGCACTGTATTTGGTGGCTTGCTTCCCAATATTAGCCGTGTACACCTTACTTTTATATCATTATGACAGAATACACTTTTTCTTTGCATGATGACAATACATGTTTAAATAAAAGTCTATGCATCAGCAAAAGCACTCACAGGTGTTCTGATCCACTTGAACACCTGCTTGATTTACAATATGTTGACAAATTAGCTCAGGTCATCATTTATATTATCTAATGTACTAGTGCTACATACAAATAATAAAAACAAGAATTATAATGGTGTCCCTTCAGCTTTGAAATTCTGTGACTCTTCATAATAGCTTTGCATTATTTTAAAATTAGCATATAAAATAAAACTTCATTATTTAAAAATTTGAGCACAGTTAAATTGTTGGCATCGGTTCCTCTATGTTTTTGAATATACAGGTTCCTGAAAAGGTCCATAGTTTTAGCAGAGCAGACTTTACAGCAGTGGTGAATTTTGAGGGAGAAAACAGATGAGGACTGTCAATGTGCAAAACAAAGACCTAGTAAAAAATCAGCAGAAGAGAAAGAAACTATCAATGCACACCACTCAACAGCAAGGACAAAAGAGAGACAGGACAAGAGAGGATCTGTTGACAATGGTACACAAAGAAGGAAATAGAAAGAAAATACTGATTTTCAACTCTGGTTTAATATGGTGACTTCTTATCCAACTGCCTTAATGTTGAAAATGAATAGTTTTCTCCAAATTTCTTAAGATCATGAGGATATGCCTACACATTTTCATTAGAAAATGGTGCATGGGTAAAATTTTCTTTAATGTTTTGTAGTGTGGTAGCATGTTTTTCTGCCAGGTATATTAATAAAACCATATTATATTGCGTCTTTTCTGATCTATAATTATAGCTTACATGGTTCAGATGAATTTCCTCTCTGGCAGCTCTCTGACTTAATCGCTGCTGGTAAACACTATCACTCATTTTTTACCCACCAAATAAAATTTTTCATCTTGACGCATTTTGTCTGCATTGCACATATTTAAATACTCAACAACTACCACAGCAAAAACTCACTTCGGTGTTTACCTTGTAGACAAATGGCTTATCTATTTAGCTTAAATTCATAAACTTTGTTACAGCGTTATCAACTGGATGAGTTTAAATATACTGGAATCAGGTTTACCATGACATAATTTAGATAGTTTAATAGTTCATTAACAAGATATTAACAAGATCAAAATTATTACTCCTTACTGAAAAAGGCAGCTCTATATACAAGGACATAGTCAAGACAGTAGCAAAAAGGGTCTGTGTGTGTGCGCGCGTGCATGTACATGTGTGTGCCTGCGTGTGTATGATTCTTTAAGGTAATGTTAGAGACAACAAACGGTAATAGACGGAGTAAAAATAAAATATGTACCAGGCCAATGAAAGTTAGAAAAACTTCACCTATCTATTGCAATATACGTTGCTCTTCTGTTCTGGCTCAAACAGGTATGTGTTCCAGAAAGTTGCAAAACTCCTCAAAGACTCTTCAGTTCAATAGGGTATCCATCATCGGACCCATACAGTTGAGACTGAAAATAGATTCAGTCTGGCAGAAAAATGTCCACAGAAGGCTTTTCTCTTTTTTTTTTCTTTTTAGAGAAAAACAAGATAAAGCAAAACAAAATAAATTATTAACATGCTGCTTTGGATATGTTAGATGTGTTTCCCAAGGGACACTGTGGTATCTTCGTGGCTGGATATTTTCAGAACATCTCAGTGTATTTTCTTATTTACTGCCCTTGGTTCTCCTAGACTTTTGAACATTGAGTAGTCACATGAACGTTGTTTAGCAAAAGGAGGTGAACCAAGTAAATCATTCTCTGAGATAAAGAAGTCCATGGGAATTGGCCTTACCTCACAGAAACAAACCAAAATGAATTGTAATATTAATCTTAGTGCATTCAGGCTGCTATAACTAAAATAGCATATACTGGATAGCTTATAAACAACATAAATTTATATTTAACAGTTCTAGAGGCTGGGTAGTTTAAGATCAGGGTGCTGGCTGATTTAGTGTCCGGTGAGGGCCCCTTTCCTGCTTCGTAGGTCACACCTTTTGGCTGTGTCCTGTGTTCTCACATGGTGAAAGGGACCAAGGAGCTCAACTCCCTTGGGCCTATATTATAAGGGCACTAATCCTATTTATGAATGCTCCACCCTCATGACTAATCAGCTCCTAAAAGACCCTACCTCCAAATACCATCACCACAGGGGTTAGTTTTCAACATACAAGTTTGGGGGAAAAGCAAACATTTAGATCATGGCAATATTCAATATCAGAAGCAGAAGATGATTCATGCTAGAGGGTCCTCGACAACTGTGTTTGGGAAAGTCATGCATGGCTCTGCACGGAGTCTCTGCCTGGCCCTCATTTAACACTCATGACCCTTGGAATGCACACGCTCTGTGACCTTGCCCAAATCCTGAAGCTTTCATTCCATAATTTAAGGGGAAGATATAAAAGTGTATAGAATTCAGCTGTCATAGAAGCTTCACTATTCTCATCCTCTCTCTTCTCATTTCTTATATCTTAACTATGATTGCTAACCCCAGTGAGCTCTTTGTCAACACTATGTTATGGAGTTCCCCTAAACCTTTTTGTTTCACCTCTCCTCTTCGGTCCTGTGTTCTGAAAATTAAAGATAAAAATTTTAGATGATTTAAGAATCCTTATGAAAAAATGAGCTAACTCTGGAAATTTAAAATACTAAAACACTTAAAAGAGAATATCATATTGCAAGAATAATCAGAAACAACCTAAAGAAAAATATCTGGCTGGGCATGTTAGCTCACACCTGTAATCCCAGCACTTTGGAGGCTGTAATGGGAGGATCACTCAAGCTCAGGAGTTCGAGACCTGCTTGGACAACATAGCAAGACCCTGTCTGTATCATAATAATAATAATAATAATAATAATAATAAATTGCCAGACATGGTTGCACGTGCATGTAAGAGGCGGAGGTGGGAAGACTGGATGAGCTCAGGAGTTCAAGATTGCAGCAAGCTATAATTGTGCCATTGAATTCCAGCCTGGATGACAGAACGAGAACCTCTCAAAAGGAAGGAAGGAAAGAAGGAAAAAAGATGGGGAAGGAAGAAGAGAGAGAGGGAGGGGGGAAAAGAAAAAAATCCAAACACCTCAAGTGTGGTTAACTGCAGTTGGGAATTCACTTTATATTTGAGCTTTCTGAAATCTGAGATACTAGAGAAATATATATTTAAAAAATAACATGCATAATAACTTTATTACATTTATTTGTAAAGACTCATATGTTTATTATAGAATGGGGGATTAATCTTTCATTAAACTGGTCTTGTCGAAGTCACTACAACATTCAGTTCCCAGCAATGTCTGTATAATGACTTCTTATCAGTTTATGTTGCTTCAGCATCCATTTTGAATACTAGTATTGCTTTCTCATACTAGAAGCAGGGCTCAGTCACCCTTTACACAGTTTTTCATCCTACAGCATACCCAAAGGGCTGAAACTGGTGGTCATATATAAAAATTTAGAGGCATCTCTTCTGCCTAGCAGACTGAACACTGCTTTCTTGCCCCTTTCTTTAAAGGGACCATTCAGTCATTTGCTCTGAACTTTGAAGGCCCACACCCTAATCTTTATACAGTGTGCTAGTTGCCACCCGTTTCTCTCTCTTTGTCTGACTCTTCATTTCTGCCTGCCATGACTCCAGGATAAAGAACTGCCCTCCAGACTCATTATACCCTCCCACACACCCTTACTTGGATCCTGGAGTCTGCAAGGAAAAGTCCTTGAACTTGTTCCTTATTTTGGTGTTACATTAAATTTGCACTTTCCATCTGAAGAATCAGGAGCTGCCTCAGGTTGGGTTTTCCCTGGAACACTGGGGAGAATAAAAGGTCAAGCTCCCAATGCCAAAGTGTTGACCAGGCAGGCATAAACCAGACACAGGTCAGACAAGAATCACAGGTGGCTTGCCAGTGTAAGTTTTCCCTGGTCGCAGGTATGATGTGTTTATTTTTAAAAATAACATCATGCATATATTAAGTTTATTTGTAATAAACTTACAAATAAAGTTTGTATACACCCACATCCAACTCCTCATCATTTGCCCTTAGTGCAGGTTTGTCAGCTGCTCTAGTACTGGACCCATAATTTAGCTGGGGCTCCGACATCATGGAATATTTTATTTTCCCTTACCTAGCTCTCAATACACCCTATAATGCAGGCTATTCCTCCGCAGTCTCTTTTGTTGGTTCTTCCTCTTCCCTCTGACTTTTTTTTTTTTTTGAGACAGAGTCTCGCTCTTTCGCCCAGGCAGGACTGCAGTGGCGCGATCTCTGCTCACTGCAAGCTCCGCCTCCCGGGTTCATGCCATTCTCCTGCCTCAGCCTCCTGAGTAGCTGGGACTACAGGCGCCCCCCACCGCTCCCGGCTAATTTTTTGTATTTTTAGTAGAGACGGGGTTTCACCATCTCCATCTCCTGACCTCGTGATCCGCCCACCTCGGCCTCTCGAAGTGCTGGGATTACAGGCGTGAGCCACCGCGCCCGGCCCCCCCTGACGTTTTAATGTTGCATCTCAAGGTTCAGTCTTCGGCCCTCGTTTATCCTGTTTATATACATTTGGTTGGACTTCTCGTCCAATGTCAGGACTTTCGATATCCTCAATATGATGACAACTTCCAAATACATATTTCCAGCCCAGACTCCCTCCATTCCTGTATATTGCATGGACATAACACAAAGAATCATGTATCAATATTTACCACTTGGATGTCTAAAATGCATCTCAAACTTGGCATGCACAAAACTGCACCTTCAATCCATGAACTCACACACACCCATCTATTTGTAGTCTTACCCACTTCAGTTGACATTCACAACCATTCAGACCAAAATTTTTTAAGTTGTTCTTGAATTTTCTTTTTATTTTACATGCTACACCCATGCCATGGGTAGAATACTGCCCCAAATATTCATAATTTGAACATTTCCACCATCTTTGTTAGAATTATCCTGACATGAGACACCATTGTCTCTTGCCTGAAGTATTGCCATTTGTAACAACACCCAGGATCACACTGTCAATGAGATTCCCAAGAATTAGAAATTTGATCCAGTACTGAGCTTATTAATAATTTCAAGGGTACATATAAATGCATAATACAGGTGAAGCAGGAAGAATTCCATGACAACCAGTATGACTCCCTAGGTCATTTTTTCATCTCACCGTTATGTCTTTCAAGTAATAGATGAGACTTCTAATAAAGTACATGGTCACCTCACTTACAAAGAAAAAGCCATTTAGATTATAGAACATCACAATTTCATACTCATATAGTTACATAATTCACATTATGTTAATCAGGAAGTATGTCCCATGAATCTGTAGATTCCAGGTTTATTTACCAGAAGCAATTACAGAAGAAGCAAGTACATCCTGCCCAAAACTTTTCATAGTAATCTCCTCCTAGTGTTACCAGGGGTCCTTGCTCCCAGAGCTCCCAAGATGGTGGTGGGCCACTTCCAAAATGGCGGCAGGCCACTTCCAAGATGGTGGCAAGCCTCATGTTCTCTGACTTGGGGTTCTTGGCCTCAAGATTCCAAGGAATGGAATCTTGGGCCATGCAGTGAGTGTTATAGCTCTATTAGAAGTCGTGGGTCACAGAAGAGAACTGTGGAACCCAGTGACTAGTGTTCAGCTCAATTAGGACGAACCCAAGCACTTAGCTGTGCAGGAACAATGGCAAGACTTTAACCCGATGGGGAGCGACAGTGGGCGCCTCGCTGAATCAGGAGCACAGCAGGCACCCTGCTGGATCCTGAGGGATGGAAGTCAGCGGAGGGTCCCTAACGGCGGCAAAACAGCAGTGGTGGACAGCGAGTGAAAGCTCAGCTCAAGCCGTAACAAACACGGACCAGAAGAGTGCAGTTGCAAGATTTAATAGAGTGAAATAGAGTGAAAACAGAGCTCCTATACAAGGAGGGGACCCCAAGGGGGTTGCCTTTGCCTGCTCAAATGCCTGGGTTTATATCCCGATCCTTGTCCCTCCCACTGTGCTCTCAGGCAATAGATGATTGGCTATTTCTTTACCTCCTGTTTTTGCCAAATTAGCATTTAGTGAGCTCTCTGATTGGACAGCTGTGAGCTCAGTTGCAAGCCCCGTGTTTAAAGGTGGATGTGGTCACCTTCCCAGCTAGGCTTAGGGATTCTTAGTCAGCCTAGGAAATCCAGCTAGTCTTGTCTCTCACTAGCACAAACCATGTAGTTTAATTGCCAGGAGGTCTGTCATTAAACATGACAATGTTTAATAGGAGATTAGACTTCTCACTGAATGTGTTTGTTTCCCAGGAGCACTGCCTTGCGAAAGGGAATTAATTCATCATTTCATCGCAGACCTGCTGTGTAAACATTTTCATCTCACCGCATAACAATGTCTCTGCTTTCACTTTGGCCCCGACATTCTATTCTGAACACAGCAGCCAAAGGGGCTGGTTAAAATGTTGGTCTGATCATGTCATTCCTTTGCTCATCACCGTGCAACTAATCCACATTTCATTCAGGCTAAGAGTCAAACTCCTGACAATGGCCCCGAAAGCCCCACGTGATCAGTTCTTGTTACTTCTCTGAGTTCATCCTCTGTTAATCTCCCTTCACTTTCTCCATGACAGGCACACTAGCCTCGTAGATGTTCTGTGGATTTGTTAGGTGTGTTCCTGCTGTGCTTTTCATAGATACACACAGTGACAATTCCTTTACCTCTTCTAAATCTTTTCTGAACTCTTACTTTTTCAATGGGTGAATGTTTGATGACCCTATTTAAAATTGCAAATATCCAGCCTCCCAACACACATACACATACACATACACATACACATACACATACACACACACGCACACACACACACACGCACACACACACACACATTCCAAGCATTTGTGGTCAACACTCTGTGTTTCACTTGTTTTTTCCTTATGTCAGAGGCCTTTGAACCACAGCAACTCCATCTTGAGTAGGGGCTGGGTAAAATAAGGCCGAGACCTACTGGGCTGCATCCCCAGATAGTTAGGCATTCTAAGTCACAGGATGAGATAGGAGGTCAGCACAAGATACAGGTCATAAAGACCTTGCTGATAAAACAGACTGCAGTAAAGAAGTCAGCCAAAACCCACCAAAACCAAGATGGCGAGGAGAGTGACCTCTGGTTGTCCTCACTGCTACACTTCCACCAGCACCAGGACAGTTTACAAATGCCATGGCAAGATCAGGAAGTTACCCTATATGGTCTGTAAAGGGGAGGCATGAATAATCTGAATAATCTACCCCTTGTTTAGTATATAATCAAGAAAATAATATAAAAACAAGCAACCATCAGCCCTCAGGGCTGCTCTACTTATGGAGTAGCCATTCTTTTATTCCTTTACTTTCTTAGTAAACTTGCTTTCACTTTACTCTGTGGACTCACCACGAATTCTTTCTTGTGTGAAATCCAAGAACCCTCTGTTGGGGTCTGGATCAGGGCCCCTTTTCAGTAACACTTATCAATTATCACTTTTTTAAAAAAAATACATAATGGCTAGTTCCTATCTTACACTGTTAGAATGCAAGTTTCAGATATGCAAGGATATTTATCTCTCTTGTTCGTTGATGTATCCCAAATCCCTGGAAGAGGACCTAGTTAGATAGTAGCTTCTAAGTATTTTTTAATGAATATCTGACTGCACTGGGAATTATATAGCTGTTCATTTATATTGGACATCTGGTCATCCCTTGAATAGAAGTCAATGGGTTTTTTTGCTTATGCCCATACCATATTGTCTGGTAGTTGATTAAGATGATTTTCCCTAGAATATATTTCTCTTAAAAATATTTTCTCCTTCTAAATTACCAGCAACCAAATTAAGATGCTTCAAGTATTTTGCTAAAAAGATTTTAAAAGTAGGTCAATTAGAATAAATCCAAAGAATAGCATTTTTACTATCATGCACTGCCAATTTCTTATATGGCACAAGTTTGCCAAATTATGCAAAAATATGTACACATGCTTTTAAAATATTTTGACAGATTAAAAACTACATAGTAAAACAACTGTAAAATGATTACCAAGAAAAGCTTCATTTCATAAAAATGCTGTTTCT
Source organism: Homo sapiens (assembly GCF_000001405.40). Classification (NCBI taxonomy): domain Eukaryota; kingdom Metazoa; phylum Chordata; class Mammalia; order Primates; family Hominidae; genus Homo; species Homo sapiens. The sequence goes on from NT_187651.1 coordinate 930,199, forward strand.
CTAATATATCAAATTTGAGATACACTGTTAATTCAATGCTCATAATTGAAAAAATTCTTACTTTTAGAAATGATCGCTCCCTAGCGAGAAAGAATATATCTTACATTTTTTTAAAAAAAGCAAAAAATGATGGCAAAAGTCAATTTGAACCCAGTTGAAGTAATCATTTAACTGATAAGTAATACTCTGTAAATATCTGTTTCTTCAGTTTCAGAAGAAACTTCAGTTGTTGATCTTCAATTCCTATGTTTTATATGAAAATATTTTGAAAAGAAAATAAGTGTTTTCCAACTGAGCATAATAAAGGAGGCTAAACATGATTATTCACACTTTGCAGTAATATACCTTTGACAGGCATGAAACATACATATGGATGAGAAAAGAGAGACCTCAATTTGTTTAGATTAGACCCATTTCAATCAGCAGGAGAAAACACATGTAAGAATGGATGTGGTTTGTGAAACACTGTGTTAGAATCTCTCTGTTTATATTCTGAAGGATGCTAGTCATGTGAATGATTTTAAGCAGCAGAATATATAAATGCCAATCAAGTAAATCACTCACGAAGAGCCAAAGCATCGCTGAAAGAAAGATACCCCAGGGAATTGGAATGACCTTACGCTGCCAAACCAAAGCAGATTGAAAAGTTTAATGCCATGGACAGATTTTGACAGTGGTAATGGTATTGGTGTCCTTGGCTCGTTCCTACTCTGGGGAGTTATAACTTTAAAAGCTTTGATTTTTGTTTATCATGACAAGTTCTTCAAATATATAGCTCTTTGGACTCAATGGCTCTGCCATGCCCCATTTCTCTTCTGTAGGCCTGGAATCAACTATGAGAAAAGAAAGCATAGCCATATATATTTTTCAAAGACATAATTTAAAACTATAATTCTACTTTGATACTTACAGATACTATAAATTTATAGTGCTATAAATAGTTAATAACATCATGATGAGTATTAAATACTCTTATTTTACATAGATTTGGCTATTTTCTTTTACGATGTATTATGTCTGTGACTCCCTTAGGTCTGCTTTGTTCATGACATTAAAGTTAAGCTTTGAAAATCCATATTCCATTTCTAATAGCTTTCCTCTGGCACATGAGTACACCTGATCTAAAGGGTGACATCATCCTTTACTTTCTCAATCATCTTGATTTTCCTCAAACTCTGGTCAAAACACCACCATTAGATGGACACATTTTCCATCATTTTTATAAGGTTCTTTTTCCTCTCAATACATGTAACTGCCACATATAGCAACCGAAGGATGATAAGAGAATTTTCATGGCACCCAAGGTGAGAAGCTGAGGATTGTCAGAGAAAGGTGGAGTGTTTATTTTTCTTTCTTTTCTCTTTTGATTCACTGTAGTTCTGTACCAATATCATCTTTGTCCTAGCTGAGCATGCCTCCTGACTTTGTGGAATAATGTGCTATATGTTCATGTGCATAAAGATAATATGTATATTTATAGTATGCATTAATTTGAATGAATCGAAATTAAAATTATGTGACTTTTTTCTCTCATGTCCCCTCTTCCGTTATTACACTACTAGTCCTCTCTAAACCCACTGACACTGTCCATTGTTCTGAATTTGATTCCAGAGTTAGAGCTCAATTCTCTGCCTAATATAGTATTTTCTGTTTACATAGTGATTGCTCATATATTTTGCTCTTGTCAGAAATCTTTGACGGACTTATGCTGCATAAAAGTGCTGAAGGAAGAAGTCATTTAATTTTAAAATAATTTGTTTACTATGCATTAGAGTCTAACAAAGACAGATGGATACACATTTATGGTAATAATGCTTATTTCTCTCATTTCCTTCTCATTGTATTAAAACTAAGAGCAAATAAGCACAATTCGGCTTCTGTTTGTGTGATTTTTACTTTTCAAGTTCTTTCCATCCTGACTCTCCTTGCAGCTTTCACATATGGACACATATTATTTGTGTTGAACATGATTCAAATACTGTTTTGAGTTATGTTGTACAATGTCTGATATATGTCATATATAAAAATAAAGGGTCTAATATATTCCTTCAAAGAATAATCAAGGTAAGTAATGTGCGCATGGGGCACACACTGTTCAAATAAATACTACAAAGAGACAGCAGTCTTTGCTGTGAGGCACACATCTTCCCTAGTGACCTCCCCTTGACAATAACTACGCTCCACTAAGGATGAATAAGGATCATTTCTTTTTCTCTCAGATGAGAAAACAGTACAACTACACTAGATGCATTTATCTTTTGTCTTTGCAACTGTCTTTCTGCTTCTTTGTCCATCCAATCTCTGTTTCTCTAGTCTAATTCAGACCTGCTCATTTCCCTCTCCTCCTGTCCATGTCTGTCTTCCTGTCTCCCTCTCTCTCTGCCTTTCTGTCCTATTTTTGCCTCTCAATTTCTCTCTACTTTTGTTTTCTTTTGGTTTGTCTTTCTGTCTTTTTTTTCACTTTATCCTCTTCTACTCATATTTATATATGCATATAAAGAGATACAGAATTTACACTTTATAAGTTGAACTCATTTCTGTTCTGCTCTCTTGCATAGTAAAATATCAATCACACTAACCTGCTTACTGAGCCGAAGTTCTTCCTTACAGTTGAGAAACCTTCTATGCGTCTAAAAATGAACAGTCGTATCCATAACAGTGACAGCATGCATTTGATTTGCATAGTGCCTTTTCAGTCAAACTGTTATGCAGCCTAGTTAGACCTCTGACTTTGAGGATGCAGACAGAATTGTTTAACACAATGACCTTGACGAGCCTCACAGTAAAGTCTCATTCTGAGAAAATCACACTTGAAAGATAAAATAATTTACACCTAGCATTCTAGAGTATAATTACACCCATGATAGACATTACTTTTCAGGGCTGAATCTATGGCTACATTTTATAATGCAAGGGGAAAGAGAGAGATAGAAATGATTGTTTGTTGAGTGCATATCACTGACTAAGCACAATGCTAATTGATATATAATATCTCATTGTATTCTCTATGTCACATGCTTATCCTTCTGAGTTACCTCTGTTTTATACACGAGAAAACCAGAGTTCTAAAATAGTACATTAACTTGTTTAAGGTCACAGATTTAGGAAGTGGTATTTTTGAGATTCCATCCTGAGCCATGTGTACTGAAAATATAGGTTCTATACTTGTTAATATATGTCTTCCATATGTTCCTATGAGGGTCCTATTTCTTAAAGTTATATAACTTTACTGCTTATTTAAAATATGCCTAATTGAAATAAACCACTACAATTTTATTTGCCATTACAATCTTTGGATTAATTTTCCAAAAAGCTGACACCTAGCAAATTGTGAAAGGGTGAAATGTGTAGTTGAATAACACACCTACAAAGGCAGAAAGCTGAATGTCCCTCAGAATAGTAGAAACAATTACTGGGGCTGTGGAGGGGGAATGATAATAGCCAGACCTGCTTCTCTTGAATACATTTTATTGAAGATATCAATATTCAAAGGCAAAAGATAATAATAATGATCAAAAACTTTAAGTTGTTCTGATTTTCTCGATGTATTTTCTAGGTGTGTTAGTTTGAGGGAATTGAATGTATTGAATAATTCAATTGACTTTTCACATTTCACATACTAACATTTCCTGAATACTTTTAAGGCAATTGTACTTCTTTGACATTTTTAAGGCTAACAACAATCCTAAATTGTAGATATAATTTACTGTAGTTAAATAAATGATTACCTGAAGCTGGGAGGGTTTGTTTTACGTTCACTTAGAGAAATGGCAATTCAAATGATGAGTTAACTTATATATAAGCTTCTTATATATAACTTATATATAAGCTTCTTTTTTAAATTTTCAAACTCAGTGCTTTCCTCTAATTATCGTTCTTCCCAGTCTACTTCTGAACTCACTTTTCTATGTCAAAGTAATATGTCTCAGTTAACATTGTACAATCTAACCTCTGGCAGCAGAACCACGAATTCACTGAATTTGGGAGCTGGTGCCACATTTTTTGTGATAATTATGATCTTAATAGTATGACTTTTTTCTAACTTCCAATTAGATTGAACTTTAAAATTAACATTTATCTTATTTTACTTATTTTGTCCATAGCTACTGTTAAGTAGAATTTTAATTAAGCAGCAGTTGGTAGCAGTTAGTTTTAAGTTGTTAGAATTCGTGATCATCTAAAACCCAAATGTTAGTAGACACATGCTTAAAAATAGGTGCTGTCAGAGGTCCACAAATACTTGGGTCTTTTTGCCAGTTTTAACAGTTAAAATTAGATATGCTTCCATGTTATTTGGAAAGAAACAATCCAAGAATATCTAGTCCAAGAACTTGCGTGGTCCACTGAACAGCATCATTGACAAGGAATCAGGCCTTTGCTTCTATTCCTGGCCACATGCTGCGAAAGTCATTCAGATTTATCATGCAGATGACTGGCTTTGCATATCCCTATCATTATCACTAACGCTGAGATAGCAATTCCGACTTACCACACAGGAATCTCTAATGATTAATTGGATAATGTTCGTTAAGTGCTCCCAGCTACTTAGAATAAATGTACTAGATGGCTATTAAGCATTGTTATTATAAGATGTTGCTTAGATGTAATACCAGTGACTGACTGCTCCATAGTTATGAGGAAAATTACTTCCTCTGATAATATGAGTGTAACACATATTGACTTAAAATATACATTCTTTGGCATACATTTAGACTTTCCAAATGAGCTAAGCAAAGGGCGGCCTTCTATATGGTTTGTTAGTTGCTTATTTAAGAGTGCATACTATCTGTGTGGCACTTTTATAAGCACTTCATCCTTACGATAATACTGAATGCCAATGATATATCCTCACTTTTTATAGGAAGGACACAGAAACATAAATGCCTTGCCTGAGGCCACACAGCTAGTAAGTGGTAGGGTCAGAACTTAATCCTTTTAAAATTGGCTTCAAACCACTCATGCTTAACCACTCCCTTAGACTGCATAGCTCCTATATTTACATTTGTATTGTGTTTATCCCTTTGCTCAAGAAAGTGGAAGTGTTTGGTTATATATCACCTGGAAAACTTGCTGATCTATCTTTTTAAAGACAAATTGTGCAAGGTTAATCCAGGAAGATCCCCGAGGGAAAATCAGTTAAGGAGAATTGAGAGATAAAGAAAGCAGGTGTAGGAGTGAGAAAGGTAACCTGAGTTCCTTGTCTATGTACAGGTGTCATCACTTCCTATTAATTGGGGAAGACATTTTAAGTTCATTGTGATTTTGAATTTAGATGCCTCCAATTTTTTGAAAATGCAGAAAACAAATTATAGAAATGCTATGTGAAGTTATAGCATCTGGGAAAAAGAACAAGTATTTTCTTCTCTAATGTTTCATCAAGTGAAATGATTTGGGCTGTAAATAAAGTGCTAGTACAATATATTTTCAATGATAAAAGAAATTATCATCTCTCCAAACAAGACATCCAAGGCAAACTAACTTAATTTTAAATTCAGCACCTCAACAGCATCATCAAGGATCCACACTTTTTCCCTCTTTATTCACTAGACTCCTCAGCATGTTACCTGAGCCTCTTATCTGCTCCTTGAAGATGACTGAAGCAGCTCCATCTACCAATTGACACACATCAGGATCTGCAAGAACAAGAACTCAATCTTCCTTGTTTCTCTCTTAAAGCCCCACAAGAAATCATTTCCCTTGTATCTCATTGGCTGAAACTTTGCAGCATGTTTGTTCCTAAAACAAATAGCAAGAGGGCTAAAAGGTTCACAGTTAGCTAAATTAGTCAAGATTCACTTCTTTCATCAGGAACTGGGAGGTCTCTTTCCTTAAATTCCGTTGCTTTGTGAATGAATGTGGTTTTCGGAACATAAGTCATAGTCTCTAAACAGGGAAGAGGGATGTCTATTGGGTAGATGACTGTATACTGTCTACTGTTACTCTTATATTTTATTGAATGCATTTCCTTTTTTCTCTATTTTTTAATATTTGCATGGTGAGAGTGAATTCATTCAATTGATTTTAATTTTAAATATATATTAATGCAAATTTTACATAGCAAAATGAAAGAAATTTTTAGTTCATTAGATGCTGTGTCATTGTATTGTACTGAATTTTCTCCTAATTTTGTAATTCTGAGGATGACCCACAACCCATCTTTTCTCAAACTCAAATACAGACATTACCCAAGACTCATTAATCAGAACCAATGACATTTTTGTCTGGTTTGTGTTTTCTTCTAGATGTCAAATTGACATGTAAGGATTAACATATCCACAAAACAAACTTTATCAAACTAGGCTGCCCATTTCTATGTTCTGTCCTCTGTAATACATCATTTACATTTTGCTTTATTGATTTTTATTTAGCATAATACTTTTGGCAGTGGTGGTGGCCTGTGTGTACATGTATGTACATACATGTGCTAAATGTACACATTTAATTACATATATGTGATTTATGTTATATAATTATATAATTTATATAATTTAAATTTTATAATTATATAATTTATGTAATTATATAATATAATTTACATTTTATAAATCTAATATAATTTATATAATTTATATAATATAATATAATTTATGAAATTTATATAATTATAATACATACACTTTTATATAATATAAATATTAATAACTATTAATATTTATTAATAGTTATTAATAAATATTAAATAAATACTAATAACTATTTCAAATGCTTTAAAATATTTGAAATAACCTGTATATAGAATTAGACTTAGATATCTAACCCTTATATAGGATTAGGCTTGGATATCCCAGACATCCAAATAGAATCCTATATACAGATTAGATATTCAAATATTTTGAAGAATTACTTCGATTTTTACAACCTTGGTTAACTCTTCCTTCCTATGAGATGGTATGATGTAATTTTTACTACTTTTATTATACTGTTTGCCTGCTGTGTGCTGTAGCTATTCATATACTAAAATTGTTACTCCTACCACATACACTGTGATAGTAAAAGCACAGCTAACACTTACATAATGTGTAATTTCCTTAGTATTTTCGATGTTACCATAATTTTTTGCAATGCTAATTAGTATTTTATGATAAAGTACGCTTAAAGAAATGTGGAGAATCCTAGTCTAGAAAAAATAGTTGAGCCTGTAAAAGCTGATATGCCACATGCCACTCCAAGTGGAATGGAGATAGTATGCTGCATTTCCCAAACATGTTTGGCCAGGAATCACTTGTGGTTATACTCATAGAATTACTAGTATTCTGTGAAACACATTAGGTGAATATAAGTATTGTGATTTGTAATGCATGCAATGCTTTAGGAATAAATATCATTTCATTTTCACAAAACATTTGAAGTAAGTAGATCAATAATTGTTAGTATTCTCATTCTATAGATGACAAGGTTGATGTAAAAAATGTGGCACAAGATTCATTGGAAATTCAAAATAAAATGTCCTCAACTTTGACTAAATCCTGTGTTGTCTTCATTACACTAAACACATGCTTAAAGCTCTACTTCTCTTGTATTTCTTTCAGTACCTTGCGCAGTACCTTGAACTTTGTAAATACTTCAAAAATAAAACTTGCTTCAAATTTCGTCTAATTTAATAGTAAGTTAAAATTAAAGCAAAAACAAGAAGTATGACTATGTCCCTAATAGTTTGTCAACACATTGATATAACAAAATGGTTTGTTTAATCAGTTCAAGATCCAATGGCATTTCTAAAAGCTTTTCAAAACTGTAATTAAGTTTTGTTTTTTAACTAAACTACAAGCCTAGAATTTAGTGAAAAATCAGGCAGAAATCATGAATTGGAAAATATGTCCTGACATAGCTTTAGGTAAGAAATGGAATGATTAATATAGACCGACCATAATGAATACAAATGGAGTTCTACCTGTTCTATTAAGTGAACCATGGGAATCAGTCAATACCATTTATCTTGAGGACAAGTAAAGACTGAGTCAAAATACACTAAAAAGAGGGTATATTAATGTGGATTTCTAATTAACCGAATCCACCACACTCTGGTCATCAATGGTAAAAAGTTGCAAATATGCTTTATATATGCACAACCATACAGATAACTAATGTCAACTCAATTTGCAAAGCTATACATTTTAATGAACTGTCTTTAAATTGTATTAATTTTGAAAGAAATTTTGCTGTGCCAGGAATATAAGACACTAGCAACCATCTCAAGGCTCTAATGACTCTATTTATATCATTTATTAGTCTTCCACATTGTTATTATTATAAATGTCCTATACCTACTTACCTAGAGTTAAATTAATATTTTAAAATAAATACTAATGAATTAAATGCCTAATTATTTAGCACATACAAAAACCCTCATTCTCAATCACATTTCAGATTTAAAGAAATGCTTTTACTTTGTGAATTGTCTCGTAAATAAATTTAGTTCTCTCTTTTAGGTTTAATAGGGTTTCTAAACATGCCTGGTTTAACAGATTATCAGTATTTGTTACACATTGTGTGTAATAGCATTAATTTAGAAAATTTAATGTACAGACACATTTTTCTTCTTCACAAATAGTAAACCATCTATCCATGTCAGATGTAGAAAAAATTGTTTAAAGCAAAATATGGTAGCTTCTTCTGTGTCTATCAGGTTATTCTGTTAAATGCCAGAAGGACTCAGAAGTTCAGGATCAAACAGAAAGCTAATATAAATCTATTTGGAAAACTTGAGAATGAAAAAAAAATATGTATATATATATATAAATGCATTTCTTTGCGGATTTCCCAGGCTTGAGTTTTCCTAAGTATCAGAAGGAAATGTAAATTTTTTATAACCAAAATTAAGAAATATATGGCGTTAATTAAAAAGAATAGAAAATAAAATAATGCAGCTAAAGATTTATAGGTTGAATGGGACATGCCTGTAAAAGGAATCTGTATAGGTGGTATCTATGTAGGTCAACCTACAACAGAGAGCGTGAATGCTGATGGCAGAATGAAGTCTAATCAGGGTAAGGAGAGAAAATTCTAGATATCCCTGATGGCTCATCTCCTCCACCCTTTCAGTGACTTAGCAAGAAACTGGATCAGCTCACCTGAACTAGCGCAATAAATAGGACCAGAGGCTGAGCTCAGGAGCTTTCTCCTTTTAACTCGGCCACTTCCTAAACCAAGAAGCACCAATCATCACAGGGTTACTAGATGTTTATTTTCTTCCTTTCTCCACTCCTAAAAATGTGTAGATCATTATAGGGCTGGTATCTCCTTCCCGGAACCCTTTCTGTGCTGAATCCAGTCCAGCTCAATCTGCTTTAACACGTCTCTATGGATTATTGAGCAACTGGGGCTCATTTGAGTCGTCCTAGTTCTCAGTGTATACATTATCTTCAAACAAACTCTATCACATATATACACTTCGGGGTATTAGGGTGTGAATGCCCATATCATCCTTATAATCCAGGACAAACTTTGTATATCTGAATGCAGTGGCAAGATTTTCACTTTTCATATTTGAATGAAAGATTCAAAACCATGTAAACATGTAAATCCCTTCATTGTTTTGTTGTTTTGTTTCTTTTTTTGAAAGTCTGTCTCCAGATTAAGTTTAACTGATCAATATATAGTATCTTAATCCATGTGTTTTAGGAAACAGTCTTTCTGATACTTTAAATAGCTGTGTTCAGATGATCACGTTTGTTATATAACATTCTCTGCTCAATTATCTTCTATTTTGCTTTCTTCCTGCCTTCCTCACCTAAATAAGCCAGCAGCTTTGTTTCTCATACCAAATGCTAGGTGTCATCTTTTTATTCCTTCCTTATCTATTCCAATAGCAGAGTCTGGTTAGTTCTACCCCAAGTGTCTTTTCAATCCTTGCACTTGGTATCTCTCCATTATGAATACCGTATTCCAAGCTACTGTCACTTTCTGCCTAACTGCCACCCTATCTTGTCTCTCTGCTTCTGCTCTCCTACCAGTCAAACCAGATCTCTTCCACAGGGGAGTGGGAGTGATCATTTAATCAGATCATATCACTCTTCTGCTAGGAGCATGTCCAAACTCAGAGCCCTCATAGAGTTGGGGCACTTTCTACCTCTTTCACTTCCTCCTGTATCACCTCTGACTTCCCTCACTATCCTGCAGCCCCATTTGCCTGCAATGCCTTTCCCTCGATATCTTCATGCTTTGCCTCTTTGCTCATGCCTCAACCAAGCTGCCATATGATCAGACAAGCTACCCACACTACTGATTCACACACAGGCATATGCTCATATCTGCTACCCTCCAACCCTGCCTTTTATTGTAATCAATAGTATTTATGATAACCTGACATAATACATATTTGTTTCTTGCTTCACTGAATGTAAATGGTATTATAAATGGCATGAAACAGGGATTTTGACTTCCTAGGTGGTTACTCTACCCTCAGTACTTAGCACGTTGCAGGTTCTGCAGAAATCCTGATTAATGGAAATGCTGACACAAATCACATGATTATTTTATGGTGAAATCACAAATTTCCCTACCTATTTTTTTCACACAGAAGTAGCTTTGCTTTTTTCTCATTAGTTGTATTTATCTTCTAAATGAAATGAAAATATATTGCCGAAACAGGAGTAAGTTTCCTGTAATTTGGGTGTGGGAATCCCTCTGTAGAACTTAGTGCCTGAAAACCTTGCTTCACAGGGGAAGGAATAATGAATCTCATGTTTAAATTATGTAGCACAAGTAGATATAGTATCAACCTAAAAAATTTCACAAATTCTTTGAAAATCCAACTATTCAAAGAAAATCCATATTCAAGCACAGACTTTAATCTGGAGTTACTCTTCTATTGGATCTCTATATAGCTTTGAAACTGATTAAAGCTGGCTTTGATTTCCACATTTAGAAATTAATCACACATGGCTGGATCACGGCCATGGGGGCTGCTATTCTAGAGCAACCTCTCTCTGTGAGACTTGGAAAAATATGAGGAGAGCCACCCACCTATCACACCATCAAACACTTATATAGACACACAACTGAGAGAGGGGTTGCTTCATGTGTTCTTTTCTCTAAAAACATCCTCTGGACATTTCTCTTTTAGCTTCAACGACTCTGTTGGTTTTTAAGTAGATAGAGAGATGGTTTGACAAATTAAAAGGTAGCTAGCTTACTAAACATAGCACGGTGAACACTTAATTCCAATCATAAAATAACATTTTACTATGTTCAAATTGTGAAAAACAGACGATAGTAAATGAAGATATCACTACTGATGGTGAAAGAAAGAGAAAGTAACACGATTGCTGTTGACTTCTCCAGCTGCATCTTCCCTCACTGGCATGTATCCACACCGTGTTTCAGGAATACCAAGATATTTATTATTTCCTAAATAGTCAAGGCTACCTCTCATCCCTTAGATCTAATTGGTCATGCCTCTCTGCCCAGCAGAATTTTAACACCTATCCTTTCTCATGCTAACTTCTATTTAGATTTCAGATTAGATCTCAAAGTTAAACTCCTTCAGATGTGGACTCAGCTCAAATACCATGGATACCAGAGATATCATTGACTTAATTATTCTTATGCTGATTAAAGCCTTCCTTGGGTTGTTGTGATAGATTATTGTGATAGGGGATATCAGATATCCTCAAAATTATAAATACCTATGGTATTAATAGTAATTTTTTTGCAGAAAATTTACTTTTGAATATCTATGTATTTCTAATTTGTAAAATCACTTTTCTGTTATAAACAATGAACATCTCTTTATGCAACAGATAGTTTATTCATCAATCTTTGTGTCTTTTTCTGATTGTTTCTATTAATTAAACTCTTAGAAGCTGAAACTGCTAGATAAATGCTGTTAACATTTAACACATATTGGCAAGTTGCCATTCTGAAGAGTAACACCAATTCATACTCTTACCAATAGTCCTCAGGGTACCCTTTTCCTCACATACTGTGAACTCTAGGTATTATCAATCTTTTTAACTTTGTAAAACTGAGAGTCAAATAAACTTGTTGTTTTGTGGTTCTACTATACCAAGAAAAGATATAATAGACATGAAAATGTTGGCATCTTTATGAGTCTGGAATTAAAGGAACTTTCCCTTTCTGCTTTCTAATTTGATTTAAGGAATATATTGCACTTTAATAACAAATGCACTAAAATGATTTGCATTTGAAAATCTCTTTAATATTTTAACTCTGAAAAGACAGACTTGCACAATGGTTAAGACTGTGAGGTGAGGACTCAAGTGGGTCTGAGTTCAAATTGAAGCATATGCACTTAAAATGCAGTTTTATCATCTGGAATACAAGGGTGATAATCCTTGCTCTTCTAGGATTAAAATGATCTCATAAATGTTGAGTACTGAAAGAAGTATTGGCACATAATAGGCAGTTAATAAATAGTAGCAGTGAGGAGACTCCTGGTAAACATAGCATTTCAAACTTACGCATTCTTCCAAACAAAACAGAATTCATCTATGTACATGGACATGTATTTCTTACGAGGTTTTCTTCCATAGATAATGAATGTAAGAAAGCAAAATTAATTTGCTTGTGATTATTTGTGTTGTTATCAAGTATGGGTTTATGACATACTATAGAGTATTCTTTGGAGGCAGGTTATTGCTTTCATCCAATAAGAGGAGATTTAGTACTATAAATAGAAAATGCTTAAAGCTTTTCAGAATTTGTCTTAAAAGTAATTAAATTTCAGTTTAAACTATGATATTTTGCTCATTATCGTAAAGTTGGAAGATAAATTAAAAGTTTCAGAAGTTATTTTAATACAAATCTAAAATTCAATCATTATTCTTCTAAAATGCAATAAATTAAAAGATTATAACGGCTTGAAGTTTACCTTAATAACAACTTTTTAGTTGATGGTACATAGCTCCTGTGGGTCAGAATATGTTTTTAAAGTTTCTCAATTTGATCACATTAGCATTTGCACTGGATAAAAATGAATGGTACCACAGAATTAAGCAACGATTTCAGAAACAAATTCAAAATAAACTCACACTTAAGTGACTAAACAAATTGGCCTTCCATCTATTAATTTAGCACCTATAGAGTTCTAAAGTTTAGAGATTTAGGAAGGTACTAAGAGTGGCAAATGTGTGTCATCTGCATCTTAAAAAATAAGAAACATTAATTCACCAAACAGAGTGGTATTACCAAGTAGAGGAAGCCACTAACACATGCAAACAGAGTGGGTAAATTCACGGTGACTTCAGAGTACTTGTGGTTGTTGTGTGGGAAGCCTAACATGGAAGACCATGAATCCAAGTCAGAAAGATAATTAAGGATGAATTATGTTAAGGAGATTATATCTCATTAATTTCCCTCATTTATGAAGGAACTTGGACATTCTTAGAAATTTTCTCTCTCCAATAACATCTACTGCAAACATGGATCACATCATGAATGCCACAGGAAATAACCTAGATCATAAACCATTCCACTGGCTAATTTTGCTTTTTTCCCTACCTAACTCACCCTACAGCCACTCACTTTCCTCAGTCCTTTTACATTTCAGCTCCAGTTTCAGGAAATGACTTTGTTATCTACTTAGAGAAAACTGGACCTATTGATAGAGAACCAATTAATCTTTTCTTCCCGCAACCTACAACAAACTCACCTAAGTCTACAGTGACTTAATTTTTTTTCCTTTTACAGTACATCAATCATCTATTTGTGTCTGTAAGACTATCCTTTTGCCAAAGTTTTCAATACTCAATACAAAAATCACAGTTTTTAATTTTTTTAATTTTTTTAATTTTTAATTTTTTATTTTTTGAGACGGAGTTTCACTTTGTCGCCCAAGCTGGAGTGCAGTGGGGCGATATCAACTCACTGCAACCTCTGCCTCCCGGGTTTCAAGCGATTTTCCTGACTTAGCCTCCGAGTAGCTGGGATTATAGGCATGCACCACGATGCCTGGCTAACTTTAGAGACGGGGTTTTGCCATGTTGGCCAGGCTGGTCTCGAACTCCTGACCTCAAGTGATCTGTCTGTCTCAGCCTCCCAAAGTGCTGGGATTATGGGCATGAGCCACCGTGCCCAGCCAGTTTTTGAATTTGAATGCCCATAGAGAATACACTGCAGTTACCCACAGAATCTATAATTGTTTATGACTTTATATCTAGTTGTCTTGCTTGTATTGAGTCAGATTATTTGTTAGACATCAAAAGGCACATAATTTGGGGTACCTTGAATTACGTTATCTCTTTGATGTATCTGACATTGACTACTTAACTAAATCCTTCCCCTGTGTATGTAAACCCCTTCAGATTACTTACAAAAATAGACACACAGACCCTCTGTTGGACAGCAGATCATCCTCTCCTCCCTCACAAGCAAAATTATCATGAAGCATTGCATATCGTCTGAATCTCTGTTCATTTCTTTCTCTCCCACTAACATTTGCAATTGGCTGTAATTTCCCTTCAAATTCCTATTAACTTATGAAAGTTGTTGATAGGGTCACGTATAAAGTTCCATGTGAACAAATCTAATAAACATTAATAAGCTTTTTTTTTTGCATTCATATTCCTAGAGATACTTGATGACCCCCTTCACCTAGAAAGTCTTCCCTCTCCTTTATCACATAGAAGTCCCCTATTCTCCTCAGCATTCTTCCCCATCCTCCTTTACAGTCTCCTTAGACATCTCATCTTCTATGGAAACATAAAATAGTGAAATTCTGAAAGACTCATCTTTGCCTTTTTTTCTTAGAGATCTATATTCTCTCCCCACATAAGCACATTTATGTCTAGAGTTCTATTTGCTATTTTGTGCCAATGTTCCCAATATTTATATTTCAATCTCGGGCTTATTTATATTTTTTATTTTGAGATTCTTTTTAGTTTTATTCGCATGCACTTAACAATTTCCAAATACTCTTTGGTGTTATGTTTTATGGCACATTTAATATAATGTACACAAAAGCAGACACTATCATCTTGCCCTGTTTCTTCCATCAATATCTGTCTTTTTTCTTGGCTCCTAATTTCAGGGAATGGTAATTTCCCTTTCTGCAAATTAGACATCTGGGAGTCATCCTTGATCTCTCTCTCTCTCTTTGATTCCTCTGTGCCCCATGCCATCCATATATGAGTACTTAAAATTTTTAATCACATATTAAGAAACTACTCCCAAATCATCCCGGAAGTCTTGCCACATCTCTCCATACTCACTACAATCTTTATATCCCAAGCTATCTTGATCTCTTTCTGGCAATATCTTCTATTCTGCTGCACTCCATGCACTCTGACTTTTTCAATCTGTTTTCTAAGTATATCACTCCCCCGCTCCATCTTTAAACCCTATAATTAGTTTTCTTTGAATTTAGAATAAAGACTAGGTTTATAGTTTTTACGACCTGAACAATTAGTCACATTCTCTTATTTCTTCTCTCTGTTCAAATATACTGATCTTTCATTTCTTAAATTTTCCGAGCCTCTTCCTACTTAAGGAATTGTATTCACTTTGTTTCCCTTGTTTAGATTCCTTTTTTTCTAACCTAGCTTTTATCATTTTTCAGTTTGCAACTTAAAGTCTCCCTCTCTGACTTCCCAGGTTTCTCAAGTCACCTCAATATATGCATTCCACATGTTGGTGTTGTAATTGTACCTTTGTTTGCTAAGTGATTTGATTACAGTCCCTTTTACCTACCATAAGAGGATTGCATCAGCGTTACCACTGTTTCTTCAGTACCTAGTTTGGTAGATGTTTGTTTCTCCATAAATGCTCAGCTAAAAGAATATTTTGCCTGTTAGAATGAGCTGTATTGAGATAACTATGCAGGGTGGGAGCACAGTTAATTTTTGTTTTTAGAAATTTTACACAATAGGAAAATAAAAGGAACAGATGGAGTGCGGGTGTTCTAAAAATAGGGAAATATTTTTGGAGGCTATATTAATAGCCCAAGATCCTGCCTGGACTGAAGATATTGATGAAGGCACAGCAGTTGGGTTATAGATGAGAAAGTGCAACTGAGAGATACTTAGATTAATGTAGTGATTGTTTCTGACTGGCTGGGCTGGACCCAAGGTAAGAGAGGCCTCATGAGCAAATGATCAACACTATAAGTTCTAATGAGTTGTAGAACTTTCTCTACAACTGATTAGAGCTTATAGTGCCAATAAGAAGATAGCGATGAAGCATTTTATGGTGAATTCTCAGTTACATTTTCCAAAGGCGGAACTTTAGTTGTTTAGCATGGAGAAGTTTAGAAGAATAATAGAGATAAGTACTACACGGTGCTCAAAGAGAGAAGTGGACTGATGAAACAAATTTGACAGTCATTGGTACAAGTTGCAGATAAAGTTATGAATGTGGCTGGGAACACATAGAGACTGGCTTTGGCTCAACCACAGGAATAATCTTAGAAGGAGAATGAAAGAATTTGAGCCAAAGAAAATTAAAAAGAAATGGCTACATGGGTAGAAATAAAACAGCAAGAAATTTGGGAATAAAAACCAAGCGAAGTGAGAGACATTCAAGGAGAGAGTGGTGAATCAAGATGAGGACTAAATAAAATATTGCTTATAATATTTGGTGATCAGAATTTGTTTTTAGGATTATCAAGTGTGTTGTTATTGGAGCTAGACAGGCAGCTATAAAGCCTGTTGTAAAGTGCATGGGACAGAAAAGAATCAGAAGTTATAGCACAGACTACTTTTAAAATATTTTTTTCTTATAAAGAAGAAAGAACTATATGGTGGTAACCAGATAAGAAAGCACATGGAAACGGGTGATTTCTTCTCGTGAAATTTAATGAAACCAAACATTTTACCCTTAAAATACAGCATTTACTCTATTTCATGCAAGTCACTAAGAATTCTCCCTGACCTTGCCGTAAGAAGGAAGGGGCACCTGTAGGTACTACTGCTAAGGATCAGCAGGGACAATCTCACTCAAACCCACAGGACACAAGAAATCTTACGAGCTAAACAGAATTGACTGAAAGTCAAGTGCAATGTTAAAAAATCCCAGAAAGCCATAAGGCATTCTGCGAAGTCATCAAACTGAAAGGATAAAGAAAGCAGTGATACAGTCAGAAATATCCCCCAAAAGCAAGAGACTTGACAGTTAGAAAGGGTCCTTTCTACACGAAAATAACTAGAGTAGAGTCATTAATGGCCTATTTTTATTTTCTGTCCTAATATATGAAGAATGGCTAGTTTGCAAAGGAAGAATAAATACCCTAGTGATAAAAAAAATTACAAAGTATGGAATTAGAGAAACCTGGGTGTGACCTTCCAGTTGTGTGGTTAAGGGTATGATTTTAGATAAGGCATGAAATGTTTCTTAACTCGGTTTTTTTTTGTTACTTTATTAAATGGGCAACAATGGCTACTCTTAAGACTGTAGAGAGGACTAAGACAATAAATCCAAAGTTTTTGGCATGTAACACACGCCTAAGAGATAATAAAGTTATTCTTGATAGAGTCCTAGATTAGAAGTAGTGAGATGGGTTCATAAAATTGACCCTTGGTTTTTGAAACTAAAAATAGTTTTCCATTTCCAAAAAATATATATCGTGTAAATATCACTAGTAACACGTATAACAACATTTTTTTCCCCTGAGGCAAAGTTAAGGCAAAAGATAATTTCAGAGCCTTAAATATCTCTTGCCTAGAGCTCCTTCTTCAACCATTCCTCAACAACTATAGCGAGATCTGTCCTCTGTGTCTAAAATTTTCATAACTAGTAATTGTGAAACTAGTGGTCCAAAGCAAATGAAGAATAACTGCCTTGATATATGTATATGCACGACAATGAACACAGCAAATCCTGAGAAAGAAAGAATGGATTGGAACAGAGAAAAATAAATCCTCCTGAGAACTACATCTTCTTCTTATTTAGAACTCCTGTCCTTACTTCACATGTGCAGAACCAGCTCAAAGTCCGGATGTAAGCCAGCCATGCCCCTTACTCTGCTGTGAATATCATTCCCCCCAACAGTAGTCTCAGACTCTTCATTTCTCCATGTGGAAAATGTTGCCAAGTCACACAATACCTAGTACACAGCACTAAAGTCATTTTTTAAAAAGCTTTTAAGTTCAAGGGTGAAAGTGCAGGTTTGTTACATAGGTAAACTTCTGTCATGGGGGTTTGTTGTACAGATGATTTCATTGCCCAGGTATTAAACCTAGTACACATTAGTTAATTTTCCTGATCCCCTCCCCTCTCCCACCCTACCCTCTCTGAAAGGCCCCAGTGTGTGTTGTTCCTCTCTATCCATCCATGTGTTCTCATCATTTAGCTCCCACAGTTTATCTAAAGATGTGTGCTTATAAATCTTCCTTCTCCCTTCTACTTCTGGCAAATAAAATATTCTTTTTGTTCATCTGCAGAAAGAAACAGAGTCCTCCTTCTCTCTCTCTCTTTTGTTTTTTTTTTTCTTTTTTTTGAGAAGGAGTTTCACTTTTGTCGCTCAGGCTGGCGTGCAATGGTGCAATCTTGGCTCACTGCAATCTCTGCCTCCCAGGTTCAAGCGATTCTCCTGCCTCAGCCTCCCAAGTAGCTGGGATTACAGGTGTGCACCTCCATGCCTGGCTAATTTTTTTATTTATAGTAGAGGCAGGTTTCACCATGTTGGCCAGGTTGGTCTTTGATTCACATATCAAGGCATGTTACAAAACTATTTATGCAGAAATGGCACACGTGAGCTGCTGGCATGTAACCTGAATCCTAAATTGGTTGGGAGAAATAGAAATTGTGTACCATAGAATCAAAGACTTTTACCTTGACATTCACAGTGTGTCCCTTTTCATGTAGATGACATTATTTACTATTCATTGTCTCAAACACATTTCCGTGTATAAGTGAGAAGGTCCTAGTGCTTATTTGTCATAAGGTAAGTGAAGATGCTTCATGGGACAAAAGAAATCTGACAATGCAGCAAGATTTTTAAATTTTCTATTGTGGTAGGAGTTTTACTGATTATCACTAAAATAGGGAATGAAGTGGGTTTTGGGAAATCAGTTCCATTTACATTTATTCCACAAAAAAGATTTATATCTATATGCCACTCTTTCTTTGTGTATGCTAAGGTGTATGAAAGGAAGAAAATCCTCTGTGATTTGCATTAAGAACAGTAAAAAACAATATTGAAGGACTTCATCATAACCAGTAGGAGAACCTGGTCAAATTAAGCACATTTGTGATTCCCAGAACATTCTGAAGAGAAATACTTGAGTCATTCATTTGGTTCTAAGTACACCTGACAGAATTGCATCTGGGCATCTTCTCAGGGGAATCTTCTCTCCTTAAGTGCCCTTGAGTAAGATCTCTCTACAGTTAAGTGCCTGACATTATTAAGAATCTTAATTTTGTACTGACTTCTTGTATGCGCGGCATAAGATTTAGGCAAAAGTAACACTGCCTCTTTCAAAGTCAATTTGAAACACACATATATGAAGAATTTTTTAAAAAGTCAATAACTATTGTCATTCAGTAAAATCCTCAAAAGAAATGTAATAATACCAAGTCCTTCACCCACTTCATTTTGATTTGAATTTATCAGAAAAAGTTCTGAAATTAATATCTAACCATATAGTCAAGCTGTGCCAAATGATTGTAGATTAACCAGTGAAAATCTATTCACATTTTTTCAGTAGTGTGAGAGATACAGCAGCCAAAATCTACGGATTTGTGTTTGGTTTTTTGTTTGTTTGTTTGTTTTTTGAGACAGAGTCTCCGTCTTTTGCCCAGGCTGGAGTGCAGTGATGTGATCTCAGCTCACTGCAACCTCTGCCTTCCGGGTTCAAGTGATGCTCCTGCTTCAGACTCCTGAGAAGTTGGGATTACAGGTGCGCACCACCATGCCCAGCTAATTTTTGTATTTTTATTAGAGGCAGCTTTTCACCACGTTAGGCAGGCTGGTCTTGAACTCCTGACCTCAAGTGATGCCCCTGCCTTGGCCTCCCAAAGTGCTGGGATTACAAGTGTGAGTCACTGAGCCCGGCCAGCATTTTTATATACCTGCAAAAGACACTTTGAAATAACAAATAAGTTGTAATGACACAGTTGATAGAAACTGGAAAATGTATCCTTCCAATGTGGAGTAAAATAGCAAAACATGCTCGTAAAAGCACTAAATAAATAAGAAATATTAATGAAAAATATCTAACTGTAAATATCTTGAAGAAAATACTTAAAGTACAGTTTTAGGGATTGAACCTAAACTTCAAGTTTAAATGTTCCATAATATTTAAATTTATTTACAATATAAATTTATAAAACAAAATAGATATTCAGCGTGGAAATTCAGAACGGAAACATATACAAAGTTACTGGTGTTACTAATAAGTGCACGTGGTTTGCAACTGATTGCTCTTATGCAAACACTCACACGAACACATGTGAGGTCCCCTAGGAGTAATAGACCAGTCTCTGGCATCTGGGCAGATGGTGCTTATATTGCTGGCAGGTGATGAAGCTGAGGGAAGACACTTATCATCTTAAATCCCAGAGACCAACGCTTTCAACTTAAAAATGAAAATGTCCCAATTATAAATCCCTGAGGTGGAAAAGGCTGCAACACGAAAGCATTCTAAGCCATGCCTTTGTGTTGTATTGCAGTCAAGAGGAAATAAAGAGGTCCCCTTTGTTTAATAAGCAACTGAAAGTTTTTCTTTCATGCCTCTCATATTTCTTGGCATCACCATAACTGTTGCCATTTAATCAAGATTCCCTTTAAACTGGTGAATGCTAGCAGAATGTCTCAAGAGAGCTGATTTCCTTCACTTTCAAGTTCATTGTGACCACGAATGCATTAACCTGGGCTGCCTACATTTCTTCCTGTGCTGTCACATAAGATATACTCCACATAAAAATAAAGAACATCAACCTTGAAAGAGGAAAAAAAAAAAAAGAAAGAAAGAAAAAACTACATTTAGCAACCCAGACTAGAATCTAAGCTCTGTCAAAGTGATTTCTTATTCCATTTTACTGAAGCAGTGCCAAGCTTTATCACTTCTGAGTTCATGTCTTACAGCTGAGGCAACCCACTTGAATTGGTAAGTTGCTTAAAGTATACACGCGCTGTTCACGTTGTCACTGATTTAAAATGAGAGAGGAGTTCTGCAGGTGGAATACAACTGAAATAGAGGAAATGGGAACTAGAAACATTAAACCATGCGTAATTAATGGTTCTTTGTCTTGCTGGTCCTCTGGAACTCTTTTTATGAGTGTTATGCAGATGCCCTATAGCAGGAAGGGCAGTGCTGTCATTTGAATAGGGTTGGTTGTTCTCCACCAAAGTGCATTTTGAAATTTGATTCCCAGCATGTAGGTGTTGGGAGGTGGGGTCTAGTTGGGAGGTGTTTGGGTTGTGGGGGTGGATCCCTGATGGATGGCTTGGTGCTGTGATCCTAGTAGTGAGTTCCCACTCTCACAAGACTGGATTACTTCCCTTGGGAATGGATTTGTTCTTGTGAGAGTGGATTGTAATAGAGCCAGGGTGCCCCTCAGGTTTCCCTCTCTTCACATGAGTTCATTTCCCCTTTGGCCTTCACCATGTTGTGACACAGCACGAAAGCCCTTGCAAGAAACCAGGGCTATGGCCTTGAACTTCTCAGCCTGCAGAACCATGAGCTAAACTAATCTCTATTCTTTACTAATTACCCAGTCAAAGGTATTCCTTTAGAGCAACACAAAACAGACAGAGAGAGAGAGGCAGGATGCTTAGTGCTGAGGGTCCAACTTTGTATCATCCTACATTTTTCGTTCACATTGGCATCACAAATAGAAATGGAGAAAATAAGTATGATTGCTGCAGCTAAATCTGACAAACTGTCACCTACGTACACCATTTCTACACCATGTAATCTCACATAACGTCCACAAGTGTCCTGTGCCTATTAGCATTTTAAAGGACTTTGTGGCCATCATACTCTCGCTTTGGAGCTAGGGATGTTTCATTATCCTCAATTAAAACTCTCTCAGAAGCAAGACTGGCAAGCATTTATTTATATATTTTCCTTAGAGGCAACATGGGAGGCATGGATTCTGTAAAGGAGGCAGGGTGCTCTTCTGTGCTGCATCAAGAAGCGATGCTGGTTTGGAATAATTCTCCTAATGTGAAGCTATCTCCATTAAAACATAAACCATAATTGTGGAAAGCAATTTGCTCAGGAGAACTAACAGGGTTTCTTATTGTGATTCAATAACAAGGGAGCATGGAGATGCAATGCTGAAAATGCTCCCCAAACTCTTTTAATTTTCTTGAAGTGTAATTTTCTTCTGTGAAACCAATGTGAAAAGCTGAAATCATTTCTATTATACTCAGAAGCAAGATGTATATACATTTCCTGTAAATTAACATTTTCCAACTTCAGTGAACTTAAACACTCTTCCATTTGTTTGTTTCAAAATGTGGATTAATAAAAACTTGAAACCATGACACTGCCGATAAACAGTGAAAGCAAATCCACAGCTAGGTCAAAAGCTGATGTACTTAAATTTCTAATCAGTTTTGTCATGCTTTATACAGCTGCTTCTCTTTCACTAACAATTGATTATAGTTCAATAATGATTATATACCAACATGAGAGGTTGATAAATATTAATAATATTTTAAAAATCAATAACATTATTAAGAGAATCTTTCCTATAGAATATGGTCAAAATCAATAATAGCATATAAATATATCAGATGCTGAGATATTGCATACTGTATGCTACTAAAGTCAAAATCAATAGTAACAATCAGGAGATCTATTATTTTATTACTTATACTTAACATAAGTAGATATTCGATCTGTACAATTCTATTTCTTTTATTAGGCATAACATGGATCAAGGAAACGAAAGGAGCCATAAATGGTTCTAATAAATTTATAAAAACATTTATTTGTTAAAAATTTGTAGCTAGCCCGTTTCTTTTTATAGCATTATCCACTAGTGAAGGACAAGAAATAGAAATATCTTTTTAAAAAAAATTTCTATTTTTAATCATAGTGCTCAATAGTGGCACATGCAATGGCTTGAGATCTGTGGTGCATCCAGGGGATAACAGATGCCTCAGAAGCATTACCACATCTTCCCCTCCCCTACCCCCAGCCCCGTGGGCTGCATTTTGTTGTGACTCCTGTGTGCTTTTCTAAGACGTGTTTGCTTCACAGCTGGTGAATGGACACTTTCCATCACTTCACCTCTTGGCAACAGATGCCTCTCAGTTAGGCACAGATGCTGAGTGTCCACCCATCCCTAACATTAGCCTTGCGTTCTGGACTAATTGGGCCAACAGAGTTGCAATTAAGATTTGAATAATTAGATAACGGACATGATTACTTTTGTAATTAATCCTCATACTGAGTCATCATGATCATGTCTGGGGTGATGACCACTGGCTTATACTTAATTCAAATAGAGGTAGTGAGTATTAAAAGCAAAGCATTAGCAAAAATACTCCCTCACTTCTCCTCTAGAAAAAATAAATATGACACTACATATAGACACACAATTTTCATTTTTCAAGTACATTTTACAGTGATCTGTTGGATGATGAGAACTCATTTCAATTTAATTCATGCCTCCATCTGTCTGTCTGTCTGTCTATCTATCTATCTATCTATCTATCTATCTATCTATCATCTATCTATCAATCGTCTATCCATCTTTTTTTCCCAAAGACTTCCACTTTGGCTTCTGCACTGTTTTGGAACTGTGACCTATATTTTAAAATGAGTGTTTTCTTTCCTTTTTCAAAAATTTACCATATCATAAAAACAAATACATATAAACAAACTGAAGTTGACCCCTCTCCCTTCTCTTGTCTACAAAAAAGCCACAGATGTTAGAATTTCTTATGGTTTGGCTGTGAGTTCCTCCTCTTGTCTCTACTCTTTCCACATACTGTCCATATCTGTGACTCCTAGAATGTCATCTGGTAGGAGTGTGTTGCGAAAAGACATCCAAAGCCAACAGTGCCAAGCAGACCTGCCAGAGCTCTTGTCTCTGCAGATCCCTCTCAGAAGCCTGTTGTCTTCAATTAATCTTCTCAATGAAAGGATCAATCAGCTCCGTAAATCAGGGTCTCAGACTCATCCCTGACTGCACACTCCCACAACTGGCGCATGCCAATCTGTTGCCAAATGAAGTTCACTTTTCTCTTTAAATGTTACTCAACTCCCACCACTATGTATTTCGCTCCATTGCCTCAATGTGGGAATATCGTGATATCTTTCTGAAGTAATGTAATAGTTTTCCTTTCCTATTCCTGTCCCATTCCAAACTTCCTTCTAAATTGGCACAGGCTTCTCTGTATGACTGTGTTCCTCCATCGCTGCATTTTAGCTGCTGTAGCTTCTCTCAATCCTAGGAATAAACCAACATCCCAAGTGTTACTACATGGACGCTTCCCTTTGCCTAGAACAGTCTTTCTTCCCTCTTCATCTAGTAAACTGCACATCCTCAGATCTCTGGCCATCAATTTTCCCAAGAGGTGTTTCTTGTCCCTCTAGACCAAGCCAAGCCCTTCCTTTATACTCTCTTACAGCCTCCTTCTCATTTCACTCTTAGCGCTTTCCTCACTTTGTAGTTATATGAGCTTTTTTGTTAATCATTTCAGCTCACAGATACACTGGATCGACCCAGTTTCTGACACACAAGAGACTCTATGCTCTTAAATTAATGAATGATAAATGGTGTCATATTGAAAATGGGTTAAACTGTGTGATTCAGCAACTAAGGATAAAAAGGTTTCAGAAGTAATTACTCAATATTTATTTATAAGTTGTCTATATACACCAATGGTCTTTAAAGAACAGATTCTTTCATATATGTGTTCATGTATGGCAAAATTAATACTCATGTTTTTTGTTTGTCTGTTTGCTTGAGACAGAGGCTTGGTCTGTCTCCCAGGCTGGAGCGCAGTGGCCTGATCTTGGCTCACAGCAACCTCTGCCTCCAGGATTCAAGTGATTCTCCTGACTCAGACTCCCCAGTAGCTAGGATTATAGGAGGGCCACCATGCCCAGCTAATTTTCGTTTTTTTGGTAGAGACAAGGCTTCACCATATTGGCCAGGGTGGTCTCAAACTCCTGGCCTCAAGTGATCTGCCTGCCTCAGCCTCCCAAAGTGCTAGGATTACAGGCATGAGTCACCATGCCTGGCAGTCAAATATTAATATGTGACTGACACAATACAGGTCTTTGAAGATATACACATAATTAATATGTAGTCTGGGCCTGCAAGGAACTTATAATCTCTCAAGTAATACAAATCTCTAAAGACAAAATTAGGAGCCATGACAAACTAATAAAATAATGAGTTAACGAGGCTGGTGGCTGGAAATGAGAGAGCATTTTCTGGTGAATGTAATGTCACGTTTGGGTTTCAAAGAGAGTAGGAATTAGCCAGACAAGTTACACAGATGTAGAAGAATAAGAAGGAGAAGAGCAGACACATTTAAGGCCCTATGGACAGCATGGATAAAAGTCACAGAGGTCCACAAGCACCATTAGGGGTGTGTGTGTGTACATTTGTGCACACAGGCTTATGCATGTGCCTACAAATTATTCACAGTGACTGAAAAGAAAAGAATGGTGAGAGGTAAGGAGGGGTGGGATAAGCTGGGGGGATGTCAGAGTAGGCCTCTTATCCCAGAATAGACTGTGGCTCACTTTGTAGATAACAGAGAGCCATTTGAGATTTCATGTAGGTAAGTGGTAAGGTTATATTTGTATTTGAAACAGAACACAGCTGGGGAGGCTACACTTGAAAGGGAAGAGACTGGAGGCCAGAATATTGAAGAAGAGGCTGAGTCCAGGCAAGAATTTGCTATACTTGCCTGCATAGTCAAGAGTGAAGGCCTGTACTTAAGAGAGATGCAGTAGGTATGCAGACATGGCTACATAGTTAAGGAAGTCGGAAAAAAACTGAGATTTGTGATACTGGAATGGAGTGTGGAAAAAAAAAATCATAGTTTAGTAAGACACTCAGGTTACAAACATACATGCTGGAGAAAATTGCAATTTTAACAAATGTATTTTAGCTTCTCTGACTCATGAATCTGAGCCCTACATATGTCTTTTTGTTTGTTTTTGTTTGTTTGTTTGTTTTTGAATACTAAATGTTTTGAACACCAATTTGGATGGCTATAAAGTTTAATGTGAACTAAAGATATCATAACTTCTCAAATTCAGGCTTAATGCTTCTAGGAGTAAACATGTTCAGAATTCTAACCAAGAGCATAAGGAAATGTAATGACATAACTTTGTTAAAACTAGATTTCGATGTCATGTTTTTTGAAGCTATGAATGTTAGACGATGGGGAAACTCCCAGGTCTTTTCTGCTTTACATAACATGTAAGTATTTTTGTCTCTTTTTGCTGGTTACTTTCCTAGGCATTGAGGAGTACAGGTGAATTCATATATTACCTTTGGGGTAGGTTTTCACTTAGTGCTGAATGTCAACCTGTTCCTTGAATGGGCATAATTCAGAAAAAAAGCTAATTTGTGTGTTATTATCAGAGATTATAGTTCATTTTTTATTCTGGCTGTTGTCTTCTTTGAAACTTTTTTCTTTGTAGGTATACAAATTTGGATAAGCAGCCAGATGTATCAGGCAAATTCTTGGGGAGATCCATGTTTGCACAATTGTTGATGTAGTTGTTTTATAGAAGAAAAACCCACGAGGGTTGCTGAGTCATCAGACTCCACTGTACTCTTTCACTGCAGTAGAGAATATAGTAAGAACTTGGTTTGGCTCAGTACAACATACTAGCTCAGTGGTAGCCTACACAAGGTATTATTTAAGACTTACTAATACAATTGAATTTGTGTAGGATTATCTTCCTTTAATTTTCCTATTAAGAATAACTTAGGGACTGCAAGGGAGAAAGGAATGTTTTATTGAAATAAGTGGACATTATCATAGCCAATACTTACAAATGTTAGAATTTGGAAATGAAAATGAGGCTTCTATGATCAAAACCCAGGATGGAGTCTAGGGCTTTGTCTCTGACACCTCATTGGAGATGAGTCCTGTCCTCTGTGCTAGAAGATCTATTTTAGTGCAGTCCTGGTAGGAAAAGAAAGCTGGCCCCTAGCCAATGGTAAATAGGGGTTAACAGAGATGAGACATTCAGGTACCAGGCTTGTGAGCTAGAGAGGTGACACACTGCTTACTTAATGGTGTCTTATGTAACCTACCTCCCCCACTATTCTTTCTTTTCTTTTCTTTTTCTTTCTTCTTTTTTGTTTTTTTTTTTTTGTTTTTTTTTGTTTTTTGTTTTTGAGACCGAGTCTCACTCTGTCTCCCAGGCTAGAGTTCAGTGGCACAATTTCAGGTCACTGCAAGCTCTGCCTCCTGGGTTCAAGCGATTCTCCTGCCTCAGCCTCCCGAGTAGCTGGGATTACAAGCGTCCGCCCCCATGCCCGGCTAATTTTTGTATTTTTAGTAGAGACAGGGTTTCACCATGTTGGCCAGGCTGGTCTCGGACTCCTGACCTCAAGGGATCCGCCCAGCTCAGCCTCCTAAAATGCTGGGATTACAGGTGTGAGGCACCGTGACTGGCCTCCCCACTATTATTTCTTTACTTTATGAAAAAAACTTGCCACTTGGTCTGTCGGTGCAGTGTGGTCTTAATGAAAAGGCCAGGTTCAAGTTGTGAGTAAAAAAGAAATAAAAGGCAATATGTTATTCTTTCCCTGTAGCTACAATTTTGTGAGTAATGGGGACCACGGGCATGGGACAGTTTCACCCAGAGGAGCTGTGATCTCCCAAGAGACATCAGCAGTTGTGGTCTTGCCTGGCAGATGGCAGGAGGTCAGACAGGGAAATACAAGACTTTTTTTCTAAGAGTATAAGCGAGCACCTTGGGAGTTTCACAAACAGCCAGGAGAGAAATCAAGTGACTCAGGGGCAGCAATCAAGGCAGTGATCCTGAGCTATCGTAAAGGTGTCAGTTGATGAAAATAGGACCTGATGATATTATCCCAAGCCTAGAAATATGGGTTGCCATAGGTTCTTGATAAAAGTTAGTTTTCTGTCCTCTAGGTAAACAGAGGCTTTTTAAACTTGAAATTATTAGGGAGATTTGAGACCAAGATTGTAGCTAGAATCAGTGACAGGGCAATGTCAGTGAAATATTGGGACATGGGCTATCCAGTTGCTGAAATAATAATAACCTCCTCAGCAGTAGTGTGCTTGCTGTAAGCCAGGTGCTTCACTAAGCACATTTATTATAGTATCTCATTATATAACTACCTGTTAATATTGTCTGTGTTATGCTATGAAAGGAAATCAGAGCATTAAAGAGTGACAAAAATTGTCTAAAGCTACATAGGTAGTAAGTGGTAGACTCAGATTGAAATGTCAATGTGTTGAATTGTGAATGCCATTCTTTTAACCATTATGCCTTTCCAATTCTACTTTACAAACTTGGATGTGCTACCTGGTAACACTGTTAACGCTGGGAAAGCCAAAGGAAAAACAATTATTATTTTTCCTTTGAAAAATTGTTATTTGTCATTCATTAAGATGGGTGCTTTCTCATACTTTACCTCATTTAATTCTCAATACAATGAATAAGAAAATATAAAATGTGTATTTATACCTTTTAAACACACAGAAGCAAAGGATTCTCCAACTCTCACTCTATTGCCACCAAATTTATTTCTTATGGGGATTTCTCTTTCTCTACAATCTTCTGCAAAAGAGAGCATGTTTTGCCATTTTCTCTCCTTTATTTCTTGTTCCTAAATTTAGCTCAATATGAGGGAATAAAAGCCTGGTGTGAAAAACTCTTTTTTCCTAGGTGGCATCTCTCCTCCCTCTCTTTCTTTCTGTCTTTCATTTTCTCAGTTTCAACCTATTAGTAGTAATAATTTTTAAAAAGAGTCATATATACATATTAATCACAGAATTTAACCTAGATGTTTACATAGATTTAAATAAGAACGTTCTACACGTCTTCATTTCTCTATCCTATATTACAGAAGTTTTGGTAGAAATAGTGTGTGTATATTACAGCGTGTATGTATGTGGGTGTGTGTGCATATGTATGTATATCTCTGTCTATTCTATCTGCATGTAATTTTTTTTTTTTTGACAGAGTCTTGCTCTGTCGCCAGGCTTGAGTGTAGTGGCATGATCTCAGCTCACTGCAACCTCCGAATCCCGGGTTTAGGCGATTCTCTTGCCTCAGTCTCCCGAGTGGCTGGGAATACACGCACTACCCCGCCCAGCTAATGTTTGTATATTTAGTGGAGATGGGGTTTCACCATGTTGGCCAGGATGGTCTCGATCTCTCGACCTCATTATCTGCCCACCACGGCCTCCCAAAGTGCTGGGATTACAGGCATGAGCCACTTTGCCTGGCCTGTATGTAATCGTTTATTCATTTTACAGAGATCATTAGAATTTTCTCTCCTGCTTTCTCATGCACTCCATTCCAGGTGACATCCTATACACAAGCCACATATACAGTGAGAAACTGCCTACGCTGAGTTGACCTCAAGTAGGTAGAAGGCTTTACGCAGCTTCAAAAGTCCCTCATTTGCTCTCATCAAAAAAGGATATCTGCAAGGGGACTAGAGACATTTATTCTAACATGTGCATCAGGACTCAAACAACTTCTGAGGTGTCCTCAGGCACCCAGAGGGCTCTATTGTCCCACTTCTCCTTGTTGCCTGTGTTCTCCTTTCAATCTCAGCCTAAAGTTCTTGTGGCTTTGGGACATCACTGTAGCTCCTTGTTGGGTATTCTCTCCCTTTAATTATTTCATGTGATAGATCTTGCTTCTTTTCCCCAAGGAAAGGGATTCAGAGTGGGTCAGTCGAATTTCTTAATCCTCAATCAGACAAAAAAGTAGATCATGAAAAATAATTGATGGGTGTTAGGCTTAATATCTGGGTGATGAAACAATCTGTACAGCAAACTCTCATGATACAAGTTTACCTACATAAACCTGCACTTCTACTCCTGAACTTAAAATAAGAGTTAAAAAATAGATTATGATAAGATTTTCATTAATAAGAAACTGTTTGTTGCATTTCTAACACAGGGGCCTTCAATACCTCAACTTAAAGAATGGAAAGAATAGGCCGGGTGCAGCGGCTCATGCCTGTAATCCCAGCACTTTGGGAGGCCGAAGGGGGAGGATCATGAGGTCAGGAGATCGAGTCCATCCTGGCTAACACAGTGAAACCCCGTCTCTACTAAAAATACAAAAAAAATTAGCTGGGCGTGGTGGCAGGTGCCTGTAGTCCCAGCTACTTGGGAGGCTGAGGCAGGAGAATGGTGTGAACCTGGGAGGCGAGCTTGCAGTGAGCCAAGAGTGCACCACTGCACTCCAGCCTGGGCAACAGAGCGAGACACCATCTCAAAATAAATAAATAAATACATAAATAAACAAAAAAGAATGGAAAGAATATTGGCAAGGTAGATTTTGCCAGAGAGTATCAGTGAGATGCTTTTAAAGAGAAGCAGCTTTAAGCAGCATTGTTTCTTTTCTGATTAGTCAGCTCTTCTGTTTTATTCTAAATTAGCTTTCATTGCTTTTTGTGAAGATCAGGTATTGGTAAGGACTCCTTATTGCATTTTCCTAATCTGAAACTATGATGTTATTATCACTTGTTCCTAAAATACATCTATACCATAAAAAGTTTGGGGCAATTACTTTATTTCTGGCTCAATGTCTCCCAAGATGATCTCAAACACAAAATCATTACTGTTAATATTTATAAAGTCTCTCAAAAAGTATGGATTTTTCTAATTTATAAATTTGTATGCTTCTTGCAGAAAATCCTTAAACCTTTCTTATTTTTTTCTTTTCTTATGTATCAGTGTGAAATCAATTTGAAAGTTATTAAAAGGCTTTACATGGTGCTCTTCACTTGCAAATTGGTGGGACAACATTCATTATGATAAAAATAACAGTAAAATAAGTATGATTTTATTCACAACAATATTATTCTTAATCATATTTAAAAGAATAAAAAGATAATTTACTTATAATTACAACAAAGTTCTTAGCAAACCATGCAGAATAACTTTTTTCATTACTAAAATATCATAGTGTGTGTGTCTGGGTGAGTGTCTCTATGTAATTACCATCTGTGTCGGGGTGTTCATTTCTAGCACTTCAGTAGTCTCTCTTTTGTACTTCTGTCAGTCACCCCAAAAACGTACTGATAGTGTTGGCTAAATGAATAATGCAATAACACTTTTATTCTACTTGCATTTTATGTAATAACTAATAATGTTAAAAAAATGCTTCAGATTTATTTTACACACCAAATAAGCATATTGTATAAACATGTTACATACATGATAGTTATGTTATCTGACAATGTTAGAAACAGGCATTTCTGACACTCTTCAATATTTTTATTTTTATGTAGGAATCATAACAAATGCCTAAGGAACTTAATGTCTACAAAACTATTTCTGCTGTTTAAAAGATACCTAGCAACTGGAATGTTAAATTTGCTCTATTTGTATAAGTAGTTATGCTGTTGTCAGATTGAGATGAGTAACTCCAGGACCTATGAAAACTCTACTTTCTATTCCTATATGACTTCAACAATTCTGCTCTATCTAGTAAGTGATTTATGCACAAAACTCAAGGCAAGTATTTGAATACATCTTACACTTTCATTGGTAATGGCTTTATGTGGACAAAAATGCTATCAATTCTGAATTTTCCTTTCGGAATGCAAAACCTATGAAACATTTCAATAAATATAACACAAGCAGAATCACCCTCTTTACCAATCCTCAAGATTTTGAAATGTTTAACAAACCTGACATTTTTTATTTTTATTTATTTATTTAGTAAAAAAAGCAGATAGGAAAATTCGGCCTATTTTTTGTACTTAGTATGGGTCACTAGAGAGATAGAGAGAGTGAATGGTCTTTCAATAACCTCAAACTACAATGTGTTCAAAAGGGGAAATTGGAGAGGCACGTGAACTTGAATTATGATTATAGAGAAAGTGCCAGAGCACCCAGCTCTGCACCTGGGAGTACAGAATTCTTAAAACGAGGAAATGCTTACTCAGATTCCTCCAAATATGGAACAAACCACTTGGGGAAGCAACACATTTTAACTTTACTGGTTCTTTTCAAAATAAGATCACCAAACTTCTTGAATAGGACACTAATACAACAGACACACAAACAAAACCAAAGACAATGAAGAGACTCTATGTTGATACATGTGTGGCTACTTAGTCATGAGGGTTAGATAACTCAGGAGTCTGTAAAAACTAGACTAGAAAAGACCAGGAGAGGCGTGAGGGTGGGAGATGGCCGGTAGCTTCCTAAGTTCATATGTTGTTTAAGACCAAGGGTAATATAAACACTATCACACAACAAGCTTTACTTTGTTAAAAGAATCAGTGTGAAGCATTCATAGCTTTAACTAAACTTTTGTGTTAACTGTTTTCATTCCCCGCTGCTTACCTCTGGGCTGAGTTCCTCTTTTCATGCCTGCAGATCAGAGCATAATTGGACCTGCTCTTTTTCCCTAAAATATTTTCAAGAACAAAATGGCTTAGCATCCCATAGAGAAAAACATTCCTGATGTTTAATTATACTTCTCAGTAGATGTAGAATTGTGGGATATTAAACCTGTTTACTTTTTGTTTGACAAGAGATATGTCTCTATTATTTTTCTATTATGTTCCCCCTTGGACACTAGTCACAACATTTTTCTTTGCATTCTTTTTCTCTCTGCCTTTTAGATGTTTGCCTTTAGGGGCGCTGACAAAAAACATTTTATTTGGTGGATCTGCATTAGAAATCACTTCTTTTCCTGACAAGCTATTTAAAATGTCACTTGTGCCTTGTGAAGGCTTTTAGAAAAACACAGAGACCTGGACCCAGATGACCCAAACTGTGTTTCTGCAAGGATTGCAATTTCCTTTTGAGGATTATGGTTCCAGGGAAGATTGCTTCTAAATATCTGTGAGAGAAATACTTTCCAGAATTATTGCTGTTGTTTACTCTATATTGATTTTTAGAGTATTTTACCTCACTTCATATAAAGGACAAATAATAAAATATCATTTAATTATTGTAATATTAAATATAACAGTGTAATTATTTCTCAAACACAAGAGATCAAAGTGTATCTCTTCAGGATGTGCTTTTTGACTACTGATTATCAAGTACAATATAGCCAATTTCAGTTGTTTGTTCTACCAATTACACTTCTCTGAAGATCAAAAAGCTGGAGAATAGGAATTAGTGTAGCTCCCCTATACTAATTATCATCCAGTTATGAAATACAAAGCTATAAGAGTGGTGCTTTTGAAGAAAATTGACGTGTGAGTTAAAATATGCATGTTCATTGATCACAAATGGATGAGAAATGTCACCCAGTTATTACACAGAAAAGAGCTGATTGAAAATAGGTGACTTTTACCAAACGTGTGTGAACAATTTCCACTGTTCATTAAAGTACAAGATATCTACATCATCCATAAGGTGGATATGATGTTGGAAATGCATTAAACAGATTTCAGTGGTTACTACCATGATAAGTGTTTTGAATTAATCTAATTGTTACTATACTTTGTGTTCTCTGACATTTCATCAAGGGGACATAGGGAAGCAAAATTCTTTTCAGAATGTCAGGAATTTAATTGCCCAAGTAGAAGGAAGAAGCATTGGCTTATGAATAAATAACTATGTTTTTAATTTGAAGAAGATCACCAACTATTCTTTTTACAAAGGATTTGGGCACATAAGTGCCTGTCACTGGGAATATAGTAGTGAATGACACAGGCATAGAACCTGCCATCAAAGAGTTTGAAGTGTGGCATTATTCAATGAAGTAATGAGTTCTGTGATTGGATTATAAGGGACATAGAGTGTGCTATGGAAACTGATAGAAAAAACATTTGAACTCCACTTGTAGGGGCCAAAAAACACTTGTATGAAATGTATCTTGAGTTCTGAAGGTCAATAGATCTAGTCAGACAAAAAGTCAACTTACTGTGACAGACAGCAAACATGAAATCTCAGACATAGGAACCAAATGATAGCAACCATGGCTGGGTCATAGACTGCTTGAGATTAAGAAAAAGCAGATATGATGCAGCATCCAAACCTCACGTTGAAATGGATGCAGCCATATTCACCATATAAAGATATGGAATCAACCTAAGTTTCCATATCTTAAGATATCTAAGATACAGAATCAATCCATCACAAAATGACTGGATAAAGAAATGTGGTGTATATACAAAATGGAATACTATTCACACATAAACAAGAATTAAATCATGTCTTTTGTGGCAACATGGATAGAACTGGAGGCCATTATCTTACGTGAAATAACTCAGAAACAGACAAATACCGCATGTTCTCACTTATAAGTAGCACTAAATAATGTGTACAAATGAACATAGAGTATGAAATGATACACACTGGAGACTCAGAGCTTGGGGGATGGAAAAGTGTGAGGGAGGATAAATAACTTAATGGGTACAATGTATATTATTTGAGTGATGGATACCCTAAAATGCCAGACTTCACCCTATGCAATATATATTGCATATAACAAAATTGTACTTGTACCCCTTAAATATATACAAAAAAATGGGTGTCCAGTGGGGGTTTTAATTATGTCTTTAAAAAGCAGGGAAACTACAAGAGAAGCCTTAACATGGGGGTAATAGGGCAAGCTTGTATTCAGAGATATCAATTTTCTGTCAGTATATGGCATTATCTTGTGTAGAAAAGGAATACGGTAATGCAGCCATAAGGCAAGTGACAGATGAAGGTGATAAGAACTGTGGGGAAACAACGAGGGAAAGCCAGGGGAGAGAAAGTTAGAAGGCAGGATTGAAAGGACCACATGTTAATTGGATCTGTGGGAAGTGACAAGTGGGAAGGCAAAGATGTTTGCTGGATTCCTAACTTGACACATTGGGTGGATTAGAGTGCCACTTACTGAGATGGTAAAGAGAGAAGACATAGAAAAGGTTTTGAGGCGAGATTAGGGAATGCACTGATATCTCCCTCCCTCTGCCCCTCCCTCCCTCTCTTTTCCTCCCTCCCTCCCTCCCTACTTTCCTTCCTTCCTTCCTTCCTTCCTTCCTTCCTTCCTTCCTTCCTTCCTTCCTTCCTTCCTTCCTTCCTTCTTTCAACATATAGTTACTACCTCTGTGACAGACACTGATCTAGGTGATGAGCCTGCAGCAGTAAACAAAGCAAGGTTCTCATCTTCACAGAGCTTACAGTCCCATTGGAGCAACCATCAGCAGGTAAGACAGTAAATCTGAGATGAACAATAAGGAGAAAGAGATAGGGTGGGTGATATTTTAGGTAGAATGGTAAGGGAAAACTGAAAAATTAGTTTCAGCTAATATTAGCGACAACAAGCTCTGCACAAAAGGGTCAGAGATTTTGCCAGAGTTAACCCTTAGTGTTCTATCTCTGAAATAAAAAGCTCAGAAGTTCTCCTTCTAAGAATGTCAATGGTGTTAAATTTAAATAGCTCAGTTTGACTTTGATTATCCAGCAAGAGTAGAGGCAAAAAAGTGGCCTTTTCTGTTAGGTCGCAGTCAGGAGGTGGGAGGATGTGAACACTTCTCCACGTCAGTACTAGCAGATATGGCCATCCATATTCTTCACTTTTCCTGAACTCTGAAACTGAAATACATTCATTCATCTAATCCTGCAATACAGAACCCCTGAAAATCACCTATGGATTTCTAACTTTGCCAAATTTATGCTCATTCAACTTTATTTGGTTCAAAGCTCTACACGTGAACTTTCATATATTCTTGGCACAGCATTTAGGTAAGTGACTTTCTCTCCCTTCAACTCCACTAAAACTTATTTTCTCCTATAGTATACATATTTTTGTTTTTCATGTGCCTTTTTAAATTTTTTAAAATTTATTTTTTAATTGACACATAATAATTGTGCATAATTATGGGAAACAGTGTGATGTTTCAACATAGGTATACGATGTGTAATAATCAAGTTAGGGCAATTAGCATATCCATCATTTCAGAAATTTATCATTTGTTTGTGGTGAGAGCATTCAAAATTTTCTCTTGTAGCTATTTTGAAATATATGTTATATTAACTATAGTCACCATGCTGTGCAATGGAATACTAAAACTTATTTCTCCTATCTAACTGTAACTTTGACCAATTTGTTTCTATACATCTTTTTCCCTCCCCCCGCCACAGCCTCTGCTAACCTCTAATCTACTCTCTACTTCTATGAGATCATCTTTTTCAGATACCGCATATGAGTGCAATCATGAGGTATTTGTCATTCTGTGCCTGGCTTATTTCACTTAACATACTGTCCTCCAGGCTCATCCAAGTTGCTACAAATTACAGAATCTCATTCTATTTTATGGCTGAATAGTATTCTACTGTGTATATATACCACACTTTCCTTGTCCACTCATCTGCTGATGGACACTTAGGTTGATGCCATATCTTGGCTGTTGTACATAGTGCTGCAATAAATGTGGGAGTGCAGACATCTCTTTGACATACTGATGTTATTTCCTTTGGATACAGACCCAGCAATGGCATTTTGGGATCATATGGTAGTTCTATTTTTAATATTTTGAGAAACCTTCCTACTCTTGCCTATAATGACTGTACGAGTTTACATTCTCACCAACAGCAATATGAATTCCCTTTTCTCCACATCCTTGCCAGCACTTGTTACTTTTTGCTTTTTTGATAATAGCCATTCTAACTGAGGTGAGATGATATCTCACTGTGTTTGTAATTTACATTTCCCTGAAGATTAGTGATGTTGAGCATTTTTTCATGTGCCTGTTGGCCATTGTATGTCCCCCTTTTGAGAAATTCTATTCGGATTGTGGGATAAGAACTCAAACACACAGATTTAGAAGCAAAAATAGATAAATGGGATTACATCAAAATAAAAAGCTTCTTCATAGCAAAGGAAACAATCCACAGCGCAAAGAGACAACTGACAGAATGGGAGAACATATCTATAAACTATGCATCTGACAAGGGGTTAATATCCAGAATCTATAAGGAACTCAAACAACTCAATGAAATAGAAACATAGAATTCACGTGTTTTTGTTTTGTTTTGTTTTGTTTTTTGTTTTTTGAGACGGAGTCTCCCTCTGTCGCCCAGGCTGGCGTGCAGTGGCGCGATCTCAGCTCACTGCAAGCTCCGCCTCACGGGTTCACGCCGTTCTCCCGCCTCAGCCTTTGCAAGCTCCACCTCACGGGTTCACGCCATTCTCCTGCCTTAGCCTCCCGAGTAGCTGGGACTACAGGCACCCGTCACCACGCTCGGCTAGTTTTTTGTATTTTTAGTAGAGACGGGGGTTTCACTGTGTTAGCCAGGATGGTCTTGATCTCCTGACCTCATGATCCACCCGCCTCGGCCTCCCGAAGTGCTGGGATTACAGGCGTGAGCCACCGCGCCCAGCCCAATTCACGTGTATTTTTTTAAGTAGCTAATAACATGTATTTCTATTTGAAGTAGTAAAAAATAAAATGTAAAATTCAGACTAGAGCAGCAATAAATCTAGCTTGCCCTTCTGAAAATTCTTTAATGAGTTCTCATTATTCCTGGGTTAAAGTTCGCACCTCTTACACAGGCATCAATGAAGCTGCTCTTTTTTACATATTCACCACTCCATTGTCATGTTCTATCAAACTAATGTGGTGCTGGAGGGTGTCAGGAATGCACCCAACATATCTCTGTGCTTTTAGCACATAGTGTGATTTCCATTAGGAGCTAATGGTCTCTCTTTTCCTGTCTGTCTAAATTCAAGCTATTCTTTAATTTACAGATAAGGGAATTCCTCTTGGCCTCTCTGTTTAAGTCAGGAGCTATTTTTTGTGCATTGACAGCAGTCTGTACATATGTTCCATGATGGCAGACCACAAGCATTGTGACTACTCGTTCTTTAGTTCCCCTCTCCCACCATCAGGCTGAGCATATTATGCATAGGAACTAGGCCTTGTCAACATGTATCCCTAGCACCTAGCACAGCACCTAACACTTAAGAGGTACACAATAGTTACTGAGTAAATTCAATGGATGAATGTCAATGAACAAATATGGTTGAATCTTACACATTAAGATTTTATAATGTGTTAAAACGTTAACAACAAAAGCAAAAGCAATTGCCTCAATTCTAATACAACAGCCACAGAAATTAATTTGGAATATTCACTCAATCTTGGTCAACAATATTTTCTGAGGATAAACTCTGTAACAGACACTATCTTAGGTACTGAGTTGCAGCTTTGAATAAAAGAAACAAAAAGCCTGCCTTCATAGAGCTCACATTCTAATAATGGGGAGTGGGGAGAAAAACAATAATCAAATAAATTTAAAAGAATACGGTTGATAAGATTTTAAACATTACAGAAGAAAATAATAGAGAAGAGTAATAGGAAATTATGGGGGCAGGTTTGTAATTTTTAATTTATATTACCATAATGATGGTAATATAAATTATCCAAAATTTATATCTATATTAATGAAATATATTTCCCTCTATTGTTTATAGATTTTGGCAATAAGAAAGAAATATGGCAGTTGAGATTAGAAAGGGAGAAAAGTTTAAATAAAGAAGAGAGATGAAATCAATATCCTTGTAATTCAGTTTTGGGAGAGAAGAAAGTTGAACTGACAAAGAAGAAAGTCTTAAGGCTACATTGCTAGAATACAGAGAACTGAGATGTTACCAGAGAAGTCAGCATTTTCTGATAAGTTTTGAACTTCAGTATGGAGTTATCTTGGGCAATGCTATAGCCAAAAACTTCTAGATATTGGGAAGGGAGACTGGAGAAGCAATGAACACCCTGTCCCTCTTAATTGCAAGGAATTAAATATGTCAGCGATACTTACCTAAATATTTTGCTTTCTAAGACATCCAACTATTCTATGTCCAAAATAGTTATGTAGAAATCAACAATAGATTAAATATACACACAAAATTTTATATTATATATTAAATATAATATACATATTTCTCAATTTTGACCTGGTTCAGAATTTTTCATCACCTTCCTGAGATGGGAAAAGCTTCTCAAGAAGGTTGATCAACATCTGATTCAGGTGAGCTAGGCAGTGAGTCTCATCCTGTGAAACGTCCTCCAGTAGACACTCGTCCACCCATGGCAGCCATGGGGCAGAGTAGGGGGCAGTGGTGATATGAGAGCAGCATTTCTCATCACCAGTAGCATCAACCTCTCTGGCAGGTTGTTAGAAATGCAGAATCTTGAGGCACACTCTAAAACCTCTAAAAAAGATCCCCAGGTAACTTGCGTGCCTGTTCTTAAGGTTTGAGAGTTGCTGGTCGACAGCAGCAGTGTCCAACTGGGGCTACATAATAGAGTTACCTGGGAAATTTTTTTTTTAAATCCCAATAATTAGGCCACATTCTTATATATTCTGTTTTTGTCAGAATCAACTGTATATGTCTCAAACTGTGGTTCCTGGTTTCTTTTCTACAACTGAAAGAAATCTACCAAAGTTTTGACCTACTAAACCCACTAAGGTTTGACTTGTGAAATCAGCACTCCAGGAATGAGACCCAGGAATCTGCTTCTTTATTTAAGTCACATAGCAGTTGATTCCTATATGTACCAAAATATAAGGTGTGGCTTGGAGGATGAAAAATAATGGATTCCACTGTAAAAAAAAAAAAAAAAAGAGTTTCTCTATGTTTATTATTTGAATCAATATGCAAAGTATGCAGTGGAATACTTTTGCATATATACACTGGTAGTTGATAACTTTGTCAAAATTTATAATTAGAGGTTTTAAATACCATAGAAAAATATGGATGAATTAGTGAGTGTGAGGAAATAAAAATACTGAGTCTCTCCAGAGACAGACATTTAGATAGTTATCTTCAAGACATTTAAAAATATTCTACCACGGTCCGGCGTGTTGGCTCACACCTGTAATCCCAGCACTTTGGGAGGCGGAGGTGGATGGATCACGAGGTCAGGAGATCCAGACCATCCTGGCTAACACGGTGAAACCCTGTCTCTACTAAAAATACAAAAAAAAAAAAAAAAATTAGCCGGTCATGGTTGCAGGCGCCTGTAGTCCCAGCTACGCGGGAGGCTGAGGCAGGAGAATGGCGTGAACCCGGGAGGCGGAGCTTGCAGTGAGCGGAGATCGCGCCACTGCACTCCAGCCTGGGCGACAGAGCGAGACTCCGTCTCAAAAAAAAAAAAAAAAAAAAGACTGCCTCAAAAAAAAAAAAAGAAAAAGAAAAAAAATTCTACCAAATATTCATTATGCTGATAATAAAAAAATCATGCAAGATGAATGTTTCTCTTCTAAAGAAGCAGTCAGCAAACTTTTTCTGTGAAAGACAAAATGGCCAATATTTTTAGCTTTTCAGGCTCTACAATCTTTTTCTGCTCTACTATTCAACTCTGGCTTTGTGGCTTGCAATCAGCCATTGACAAGATGGAAATGAATAGCTGTGGCTGTATTCCAACCAAACTCTATTTACAAAAACAAATCATGGGCTATTTTTCTGGCCCCTGTAATACCAAGTTAGATTGTTGACTACCAGTGGTCAAATGGAACTTCTTTTTCAAGACTTGTTCAATTCCTTTCAATGTACGTAAGAAAGAGTCAAAGAATTCAGTTGCTAATTTAGTCCTCATGACAAATAGGATGGTTTCTCTAAAATGGCTCCTAAGTTACATTCTTTTAAGAAACATCCACTTCATCTGTGTAAATCCAACAGGACCCCCAAAAAAGAGTATGCCCCAAAATTCAAAATGTACTTATATAAACACAGTGTTATGAAATTGTTCCTGGAAGTTTTGCAAGATCCACGTGTTCATTGTTGCTTAGGAGAGAAAAGATCTCTAATTTTTGCTACTTTACAGGTAAGGTGACAGCTAATAATAAGGTTCTCTATTTATAATAACAACTATCATTTTCTGAGGACCTGAGCAATTGTGGATATATCAATTCCCTCCTTTATTTCTCAGAACACTACAATAGGATAGGTACTGTGATTGGCTCAATTTTAAATAACATAAAAACAAAGTTTAGACACCTTAACTGACTTGTCCAAGGCCACAGAGCTAGAAAATGCCCTCAGCTGGATTTGAACCAGGTAGTTGAACCTAGAACACGTACAGCCACTAAACATTACTGCCCTATCCATTGTCTACCAGAACTATGAACATGTAAGATACTGAGTTAGTTGTAATATTTTCATTTGTAAGGGAAATAGATGTGCTCAATTTGAATGGATTAACAGGACTAAAACTACAGAGAAAAATGTGAATGTGAAAAATGGGGAAGTCTCACCACTGCATGGTATGCCTGGAATACGATACGGGATATCAACCCAGGATAACACAGTACTTCCTCTGAGAA
This sequence comes from Homo sapiens, assembly GCF_000001405.40. Lineage (NCBI taxonomy): Eukaryota > Metazoa > Chordata > Mammalia > Primates > Hominidae > Homo > Homo sapiens. Next base: position 971,525 of record NT_187651.1, read on the forward strand.
GCACTCTTTTCTTCTTGCGCTTAGCTATTAGGGTAAGTTAGAAAATGTGTCTGTTCTTACTGACCTAATGCAATTAACCTCTTTTCTTTCTTTTCTACTGGCCTCATTACTGCAGCTTATTCATGATTTCCACAGACTGTCCTTTCTATGTTTCTCAACTTCTTTTCCTGGCCACTAACTGCTGAGGCTCCACATGGTATTTCAAATTTAAGATAACCAAGTCAAATATTTGTTATTTCACACAGAACATTTTTATTGGCATGGTTCTCCTGGAAGGCCACATGGTGGCCATTGGCCAGTCTAGAGAGGGCTCTCTTAGACCTTGGCACATTCATTTCTCATCAAATCTACTGCGGCCAGTAGAGCCTAGACACATGGTCATATTTTCTTAGTGGAAACACCTATGCATTGTGAACTGTTACCATTACAAGCTCTTCTACAATATTGTTCTTTATAGATAATATTCATTCTTTTGGAATAGTAATACAGGAGGTAATGTGTACATATACTTTGTTTTTTCTGTTATTCTTATACACAATTAGGATAAGCCAACCATTTTCCAACAACCTAGAGAATTGAAAGTACGCTGGTTGGTTGTTGGAGATTATACACATATATGCCTTGAACATATTTCTAGTCATTGTGGAACCTGTTATTTACAGTATCTGGTACAACGTCATCTCTTTCCAGATTTGGGAACATGTTGGAACACAATAAATTATCATATTTTATAACCATACAACCTAACTTCTAGTTACCATCTTAGCACATCATTGGATATGACAGCTAATCATATTAAATTTTCCAGGTCACCTCTAATCTTATAACATCCCTCCCTTCTTGTCACAGGATTAGATCAAATATTAATTGAAAAATATTACCACAATATCAACATGATTAGCTACACCAAACCTCTGTGGACATATGGGAAAGTTTATGTAAAGTCAGCATAGCAAATAGGCTGCTGAATATGTAAGTCTGTTTTTTCTGAAGTCCACTTCCAACATTCAATTCCAACAGTTAGTTTCTCTACCTTTTCTAATATTGTGAATATCTTTCACTATTAACCTGAGTTCCCTTAACTTCCTTTTAATCGCATTTCAATACAATTAACACTGAATTTATATCTCTACATTTTATTTTATTTTATCCTGAGAGTGTGTCAACCTCTCTTGGAAAGATGTATATGTTACAAATACTAAATTTCAGTAGAGACTTTGCTTACAGTAGAGTGCTTTTTCTGTCAGTAGTAATCAGAATTAGCTGGAAGCAAAGACTTGCACACTAACCTCTTTCAGAAACTAAAAGAACAAAGTACATGCTGGTTTCCAATACTGGTGGTGATGGAATTTACAAAATCATTTATTTTGTGTAAACAAGAGTTAACCTGTTCTAAAGGTAATATGATTACTCTGTACTATCTTAAAAATAGTCTTACAATATTCATGAGTATCATGTCAAGTGCTGGAAACAGTCACCATATATGAGGTAACAAAAAGGTATGGTATAGAGTGTATGAGTTTTAAACACAGCCAGATCTGAATTTTAGTTATAGGTTCATTACTGTGTGCCCTTGGCCCAGTTACATATGCTCTCTCAGATTCCAGCTTTCCTTCTGGAAAATGAGGGCAAATAACATCCATGTTAACATTTCAACTTTCATATGTTTTTATATTTATCATTTATTCATATATAAAAAGTTTATAACTCAGCTATCTGAGTTGAGGAAGCATGTGAGCTAGATTAGATACTGCCTATCTCTAGTGTCTTTTATTGAACATATTACTTATTGAGAAGCAAGTTATAGAAGAACTTGAAGCAAGTTTTGTAAAGTTTTAAAAGATTATTTTATTTAAATTTTGAGACTTCCTACTCTAAGTGAGGTTATCCTATGAGATGTTTTCCCATCTTACAGAAGAAATAAACTACCCTCAATCAAATGAAAAATGGAATTCAGTATAGATTAAGGAGGCAGATGCTAAGTAAAATAAACTGTTACTAATTCTCAGTTGAACCCAAGATTTTCTTCATCCTCTTATCAGTATATTGCAAATTCAGACAACTATGACAATGGTAAGACTCCTTTAAGCAATTGCATTTTTAATTTTTTAAATTAAATTTGTATTTTAAGTTCAGGGGTACATATGGTGGTTTGTTATATAAGTAAACATGTGTATTGGGGATTTGTTGTTTTTTGAATGAGAACTACAATTCCCTCAATTTTTAAACATAGATATTTCATTAGACAGTAAACACAACCTTCAATGGACGTACTCTGGTCAGACACTTCAGTGGTCAATACATCCAACAAAAAAGTTCATTGGGTCTGATGCCACCATCAATTCTGAAGTTGGCACAAGGATAGAGATGTTTTCAGCGACATGCAAGTTCGCTAGTAGCAAGTGTGTGTCCCTGTTTGGTTAATGTTGCCTCTTTCTGTTTATCAAGTTTGCTTAAAAAAAAAAAAAAAAAAAGAAGCCAAAGACCCAGGGACAATCACTGTAGTCAACACATTCTTCTCTCAATTATCTTTAATTCTATTGAGAAATCATCTCCCCAGGGAAAAGAGATAGACGTCTCAGAACAAGAGAAGTAGATAAAAGTCTTCAGGCTTTAGCTACAAACATACTGGTAGCCAAGTACACATCAGCCTTTGGGAACCTTGAAAATAGTTTACTCCTCTGGAAGAAGCAGTAACATCGACATCAGCCTGAAAAGCTCTCCAGAGAATTTCAGAATGATAGCCAATTATTAGAAAGTGTTCTGACATCTTTATAAAATGTCCCATCTCAAGAGATCCATAGAAGAAAAGGGAAGTCAGCACTTCAGGAAATACGAGTGCTCACTCTGAAAAGCACACTTGAGATACCATTATAAATCTTTATACAAAAGCAGCTAGATATTTACATTTTGCTTTAACAATAGAAATTAATTGTTAAAAATCAACCTGTTTCAGTATTATATGTGATATTTTAAATAATGTTTATTTCATTATTTGAAAACTTTTATGTCATACAGTATCAAGGTAAGTGATTGCTATTCTTCAGTATTTAGAGTGCAGACTAATAGATCACATAATTATAGTGATATAATTATTTAATTACTCTTAATTACATAAAAATTTATCATAATATGGAGTAAAACCATCAGGCATGTATGCGCTTAGTAAGGTAGAAAAGAAAAAGTTCAGGTAATTAAACTTTGGAAAAAAGTTGCTTACAATACCTTTCTAGATATTTTTAACAAGCTTACAAGAAAATGGGTAAAAAAGAATTAATATGGAATGGTTTAATCTGAATTACCTGGATAATTGCCCTAAATGATATAGGAAATGTAAGCTTCACTTCGATTCATTATATCTTAATAATAAAAATGAAATAAAACATAAAAAAGATTTTTTTACAAACACATAATCTCTTATTGAAGAATTCTTTCAAAAACAAGCATTTTAGAAAGCACTTAATTTTCCTTTGCTTTCTTTTTTTATTCATGTCATAAAAGAAATCCACTTCTGTTGAATAAGGACTATAAATTATATGAATGGTATAATAAGTCTTCTAGTTTCATTTTTCTTAATACTTGCATCAGAAACTATAACATTTAAGTTTTAAGTTCCAAATGGATACTATTAAAATATTCAGGGATTTAGTCCTAAATCCTTAAACCAAAAGGGAGCTCAGGAATATTGCTAAAGTAGAAAGCTGCACAAAATCTCAACTCGCATTTGCAAATTTTCTTTCCATCTGATTTAACTTTGAAGCTTTCAGACTCAGATTTTACTATATGACATCAACAAATCACTTCAATCAAAATCAATTTACCTTGGCAATGCACAACCCTCCAGATAGATTATTAAAAAGGTAAAATGAGAAATTAACTATCTTTTCATGTTCCCTTTTATTTTCTCTGGATACAAGGCAGAATGAATGTATTTCAAAAGAAATTGCCCTGAGATATCATTATCTCCAACGCCGTTTTTACTCCAGGAAACTTGCTTATAAATTAAGCTTTTCCTGACACAGTCACTTGCTGCAGTGCAGAATGTCAGTTTAGTCAGTTAGAACTTTCAATGCAGAAATTCAGTGCCATGCAGTCACCCGGATAAAGCAGCACTTACCTTAATTGAAATTTTCTCTGTGAACGAGGTGAGAAATCCGTCAAATCAACCGTGATGGGGTGGGGAGATCGAAGTTTTCAATCAACACCCTCTAAGTAGCTGCATCCTGTGCTCCTTTTCCCTGTTATGTTGAGCTCCTCACTGTCTAAGGAGAGAAAAACATCAGCTGAAATCCTCCGAGGTTCCCAGTGAGTAAATGAGGACTAAGCGATGTTTCTGAACGGGAGATTCTCCGTGAGCGTGCTCCGTTTGGAGGCTCCCTAACACTCTTGGCAGGTCCCTGGAGCCAGGCGCTAATCATTGACCTGATTAGCAAGAACGCTCCGGGTGCGCAGGCAACACACGCCGAGGGTTGGTGGGTCTCCCGGGAACTGGAAAAGGCACCAAGGCCACTTGGGAATCTTGTCTTTTCCAGCCTAATGGATGAACTACAACTATGATTATAATTTGCAAGGAGATTAGCTGCCGTGCTAGCCATCGCAGGACTTAAACAAATGTGCTTTCTCCTGCTGTTTTTCAAGGTGCCTTCGTGTAAGATATTAGGTACAGTGAAACAATTAATAGACTGATAGAGCTGACTTGTAAGACAAGCTTAAAGCTGAAAAATGTTTAAAGCGATGTGATCAAAGAGATAGCTGCACTTGTCCCTGACGCTCGCCTGCTACATACTTCAACCTTTGTCGAAGTAAAATGAATTTAAAGGTTTATTACAGCCCTCCAGAGTGCAACTCTCTGAATTTATAAAAAGGAAGTATTCATACTAAATAAGCATATTTGGCAGATTGCTACAGACACAAGCACTCAAACCACGGCATGAACACAGCCTTGCTTGTGTAGTTTTCCAAACGGCATTTTCAATTAGCATTAAACTTGCAAAAAATGTTTGCATTGTACCATTAACCAGAGTAACGTAGGAGAATACAGCACTACACCTAACCGAATCATCTCTTTGATTATCTGTTGAAACACTGATTTACTAAAACAAAAACAAACAAGCATATGAGAGGATCGAAAATATCTAACAACTTTTTAAACGTAGTTATGTGCCGTTACCAACCTGCTGGTCCCCATCCGTCATCCGCTCTTTCTGCCACTGATCACCTTCTCAGCACTTCCTCATCAAGTTCCTAGTTCCCTGAAGAGATCTAACTCTCTGGAAAAGGTCACATAACTGAATGCCAAAGCCCCAAATGGTTAATTTTTGACAGCTCTCACTTTTGCAGGAGAAAATTATGCAAATAACATAAAAAGAACAGATGAAAAAAGTAATTTGCATGTCTTGAGGGTGAGAAAATTCTCATTGCCAGAGAGAAAGCTGACGACTGTCCTCTCACAATGATCCTGAGTGATATGTTCAGCACTTTTGTTTTTTTCCAGTGGGCCTCACTTGGGACATATGGCATTTCCTTGATGTGTGTGTGCGTGTGTGGGTGGGTGCGTGTGCTTGCGTGTGTGTGTGAGAAAGAGAGAGAGGAAGAGCGAGAAGCTATATTTACATTGTGATATTTATATATATCTTAGAAAACCCTCAAATTTCAGTAGGCGAATGCACTAAGTATAAATAATAGAGAATCCGTTTGCCTTATACATTCCCAAATATATTTTTAAAGTATCTCATTAAAATACAAGCTCTTGGTGAAACTTTTTGGACAAAGTAAAACTTCAGGGTAACTGAATTGCTGTTACTAAGGCAGGTACTCATCCTACTCTGAAAACGGAGACGGCCCTGCAGGAGACCCAGGAGGTGGGGCTGTAGCCTCCCATGCAGAGGTCTCTTGCTCCCTCAGCTGGTGGAGGGTGACAGCCGAATGTGAAGAAACCCAGTCAACCACTTCAGGAGAGGGAGAACAATTTTTGCTGCTGTAAAGCAGGAAACCCATTGTCCAATTTTAGATTGGCATGAGAGTGTTATAGTAGAAAAGAGGCTGCTTACATCGAAGTAAATGCACCTTGAGCATAAATTGTAAAAATAAGAAAATGTAACTGCTAATTTCTCCTGAGAGGGTTCCAACTAGTCTTTAACACAATACTTGTAAATAACAGTGGGATAGATTCCAGGGCTCTAATGTGTAGTTGGTCATGCAATTAAAGCACTCCGTTTCTCATATTGGTCTAAGTCCCATTCTGAGGATCTTAAATTGTGAACTATTTTTAAAACTTATTAAAACATTAAGACACGGCTTATTTTCCTGAACCCTGCCAGCCAACCTGCAATCATCATCACCAACTAAAACAGGTGCACACGAAACTCTGTGCCATAGTAGATGGGTTCTATCTGGAAACTCCAACTCCATGAGACTGCCCTGATGACATTTCCAAATAATCAGCCTTTCTGTTCTCATAAAATCCAGAGGTCTTTCAAAACCCTGAATGGTTTCTACAGAGAGTATGATGACTCTTCAGTAGTTTTTTTAACCTATGTTGGAACACTAATTGATTTTATGTGAAACTACACACATGAAGAACAAAGCAAAATAAGACCATTTTGTTGGAGGAGTGAGGGGAGACCGTAGTCACATGAAAATAACAGGTACTGTCTATTACATGCTTGCTGTGTAGTAAGTGACTGGCATGCACTTCAGCTATAGCTATCCATGAACCCCTTAGTCCAATTCTATTAAGCAGACATTATAATATTTTATTTTTTTAATTAATTAAGTTAGGGCTCTGAGAAGTTAAGCAAATTTGCCAATGTTGCATAGTCAGTACAGAAGAAACCCACCACTAAAAGTCAGGTTACTGTAACTATAAAATTAACAAATATTTGGAAGTTCCCAAATGTTAAAACTGATCAAAATCCCTACTTCCAACAGAATGGGAACATTTTCTAGATTTTATGATTAACAAAAATCATTTTCACATCTTTAAAAACCATTTTATAACTGATAAACTATTGTAACAGTTCTGCTATTAAAAGTTATGTATGATTTAGCAGAAAAAAATTCACAAAAAAAACTTTAGGCTAAAAAATAGATTCCATCCAGAGCTTCCAAATATATAATTCCATTAGCACAAATTACTCAATTTCAAATTTTTAAAAATCCCTTCTGCAATTCATTTGCTCTCCCACTCAAATATAATAATTATTGCTTTTTTAAAACAAGAAAATAGCTCCACTCTAAGTAAATGAATATCTCAAGAACAGTCATAAAAATATATTAGGCCAAAATTATGATGATTTTTACTCTCCTAGTTCTCCAAGTGGCATAATGTAACAGCAAAGCTCAAATGTACTAGGGAGCTAAAGTTTATCTCTGATTTGTTCATGCTTTATCTACAGGTTTCTTAAAAGTCACATGAATCCTATCATTTCATATGGCTCTTTGAAATTCTCAGACACATCCATAACTTTACACAGAAGCATTGTGACCACACTCTTTCAAGATGTTTAATAAAATAAATGATGATAATGCAAACTAATGCAACATTTAAACTTTGCCAAGAACTTATTCTCTCATTTGATTCTTACGGGAATCCTGTGAAATAGGTTACCATAAGTATTTTTCTCATATGTTAGTGATGAGGAATAAAAAGAGCAAGTGATTGTCCTTTGGTGTTCGATAGTGGAAAACCTAATGTCTTCCTTTTTACATAAGTCCTATTGCTCCCCACTATGTCAAATAAATATGTTTATCTGAGTCATCTTTTTGTCAAAAAGGATCTTAAGTGGCTATATAAACAGAAGCCAGTCTTTCTTCATTTACTTAGGTTTGTTCCAAACAGTGTAAATTGTGATTATGATTTATTGAAGAAAAAATTACTCTGAGCTGACAGGGAACTTGTGATTTATGTATACTGGAATAACAACCCTTAGATTTCCTACAGACTTTTCCTGATCTTGGCTATTATTATTTAAATTGGGGATATATGAAGATATTTCCCAAATATTAGTCTTATGATTCTTACACAAATAGAATCTTGCTTCTGTATACCAATGTAGATTCAGCTATTACCTCCCTACCACTGTTTGTGGTGGTTTATCTGAACAGACCTTGAAAAATTACCGTTAATTATTTTAAATGGATCTATAAATACATATACATAAACAAGCCACCTAACTAATAACAAATTGATCTTGCAGCAGCAGCATCAAGCTAATACTATCACACAGAGGTTTGCTGAATGCTAACAGATTCTCATGTATTATACATATTTCTGCTTATGTCTAAATCATGGAGGCTGAATGACTAAACTCACCAGCCTTCAAGAGAAATTTTTATTTTTGATTCCGGTTTCACGCACATATACTCATGAGTTTAAGATAAGATGAAATTTTAGATAAAAAAGAAAGCTAAACTGGATATCAGAAAACTTAGACTATAGTCAAAATTCTAGCAGTGAGTAGTTTTCTAACCCGAAGCCATTTAAAAAGCTTCTATTTAATAATTTCATTGGAAAATTTGAGGAAATTAAACTATATTATCTCTAGGATTTCAGTCAGTTATGAAAATACATCTATTTGACTAATAATTTGTGATGTTCTTTCTACCTAATTCAGAAATAATCAAGCAATTAAGAAGGAATTATTGTCTGCAAATACATGTTTTCTCCCTTCTCACACCCTTCGGTGCCCCAAACAACTTACTTTATACTATAAATAACATTATAGCAAGGATGTGTTGATTTCATAGTTCGAGTAATTAAAAAATCAGCCAGAAATTATTGATTTGAAATTGTAAATGGAGTAGATAAAAAAACTGCTAAGGTCAAGAATATTCTTTAAATGTTTTAAAATAATTATAACACGTTTCTTATAACGAGAACCGAAGCCCGTGGAGACTTGGCGGCGCCGGGAGCCCTGCTGCTACACACGCCTGGGAGAGCCCAGCGAGAGCCCAGAAAGCGGGTTCTGTTCTGCCGGAGGGATAGGCGTGTGTGGATTTTCCCCACTGTGCGCCAGGCACAGGGGCTCCACCAGCTCCCCACTTTTTTTTTAATAGGAAATCACAATAAACACTACAATATCTTACTTTTTGGCAAAGCACATTAGCTTTCATTCATCCCCTTGCGGAGGCGGAGAGGGGCGGATGGAGACTGAACAGATTGAGGGTAACTGCAAAAGGCACTGTCCTTTACATATTTTCCTTCCTTATTCTAAACACAACTCTGCAAGTTAGGCTTCATTGTTTTCATTTTGCATAAGAGACAGACTTAACTGCGTAGGAATTGATATGAGAATAAAATTTAAGACGGACTCTAAAGCATATTTATTTTCCAGTTTATTCCAGTGCCCTTGTCACGATCCACAGTGCTTCAGGAGTTTTAGGCTACTGACTGTGCTTAGGTTGTTTGGTGGGGAGAGAATGGCAGGGAGTGCAGTCTTAACCACAATTCAGAATAGCCCAGAATAACCTCGGAACCTAGTAAAAGCTGTGGACCATCTGCCATTGGTAGAAACACGTGTAGAGATGCTTCTGTGGCTCATGTAGCGTATAATTACTTCATCTCTTTCATTGTTATACACACACACACACACACACACACACACACACACACACACAAAAGAATAAAAACAAAAAGAGGCCGGGCGCGGTGGCTCACGCCTGTAATCCCAGCACTTTGGGAGACCGAGGCGGGTGGATCACGAGGTCAGGAGATCGAGACCATCCTTGCTAACACGGTGAAACCCTGCCTCTGCTAAAAAAAAAAAAATACAAAAATACAAAAAATTAGCTGGGCGTGGTGGCCGGCGCCTGTAGTCCCAGCTGCTGGGGAGGATGAGTGAGGCAGGAGAATGGTGTGAACCCGGGAGGCGGAGCTTGCAGTGAACCGAGATCGCGCCACTGCACTCCAGCCTGGGCGACAGAGTGAGACTCTATCTCAAAAAAAATAAATAAATAAAAATAAAAACAAAACGATAACATTGTTACAAACTGAGATGATTTGGATACCCCACATTGCCCTATATTTTAAAAACTTTTATTTTGGAAGATCTGAAATTTATACAGTACAAAAGCATTAGTAACAAGGATAACGAATCCTCAAGGAGATGCGACCAAACTTCAATTATTACCTCATAAAATCGTCTATTTTAGAGAAGGTGGAGAAAGTGAAGACTGAGGAGCTCTGGAGATGAACTGTCTCGGTTGAAAGTCCATCTCTACTAATTAGTAGCTGTGTCAACTTGGACAGTATTTCATTATGTTAAAGCGTTCTTACCTGTAAAATGGGGAGGTATGTACCTTCTTCATTAACTGAATTAACGTATGTGAAGTACTAGGTCCCCAGCATATGGTAGAACTCAATATGTTAGCTCTTACTGTCATTATTCTTTCAAATTCAGAGAGCCTCGCACACATCACTATCCTATCCCCACACCCCACCTCTCTTCCTTAATACTGCTAGCCTCTGCTTCCACTTAGTGAAGTAACTTGAAGGGAAAAGATTGACTTTCTGGCACCGTGTTTTGTTTTGGAGACAGTATCTAACTCTGTTGCCCAGACTGGAGTACACTGGCGCAATCTCCGCACACTGCAGCCTCAGCCTCCCAGGTTCAAGCGATTCTTGTGCCTCAGTCTCCCAGTAGCTGGGATTACAGGCGGCTGCCACCCTGCCCCGGCTAATTTTTGTATTTTTCGTAGAGACGGTTTTTTGCCTTGTTGGCCTGGCTGATCTTGAACTCCTGGCCTCGTGTGATCTGTCTGCCTCGGCCTCCCAAAGTGCTGGGATTTCAAGCATGAGATTTCAACCATTCCAACCTCTGGCACAGTTCTTTATAGAGATAAGGTCATCTAAAGAGGGAATGGGGTGGGATTGGAAGGTAAGTGGTAGAGTTTTTTTGTTTGTTTTGTTTTGTTTTTTAGACGGAGTCTCCCTATGTCGTCCAGGCTGGAGTGCAGTGGTGCGATCTCAGCTCACTGCAAGCTCTGCCTCCTGGGTTCACGCCATTCTCCTGCCTCAGCCTCCCAAGTAGCTGGGACTACAGGTACCCGCCACCACGCCCAGCTAGTTTTTTGTATTTTTTTTCGTAGAGATGAGGTTTCACCGTGTTAGCCAGGATGGTCTCGATCTCCTGACTTCATGATCCGCCTGTCCCGGCCTCCCAAAGTGCTGGGATTACTGGCGCAAGCCACCGCGCCCGGCCGGTGAGTAGTAGAGTTGTTTTTGTACGTGCTCTCAATTTAATCTAATTGAACATTTTTCTTTGCAGCTGAAATTTTGCAGTTCTTAAGTTGTAGGGCTACACATGATATACCCCATGTACACAAAATGTGTTGTGTGTGTCTCTCAGAGAAAAGTAGAGATTTAAAAAATTCGTATGATGCCACTAAGAATTTACTCCACAAACTTGTGTAACAAATGTCTTATGACTTTATATTTAATAATAAAATTTAATCTGATTCTGTTCCCATCCCTTTACTGGTGGGAAATTAAATCTTAGTCACTATTTACTTTCTGACCTGTAAAAACTTGGGACAATGCCCTAGTCTCTTAAGTGGAACAGAAGACCATCTGGGGAAAGGCCCTGTGTCTTCAGTTGGTATCAGAATATGCTGTTCAAAGCTGTGTAGACCTGGCAGTGGCTCCAAGATTCCTGAGACATCTTTAGCAGGGTATTCTCTCGAATTCTTGAGCTTCTTTAAATAAAGAAGATAAAACTGAGATACTGTTCCTTTTCCAGAGTATTGCAGGGAGCCCACGGAATCCACAGACCTCCTCTTTTCTCTTCCTTCCTTCCTTCCTTTCTTTCTCTCTCTCTTTTTTTTTTTTTTTTTTTGAGACAGGGTCTCACTTTGTCACCCAGGCTGTAGTGCTGTGGTGTGATCTTGGCTCACTGCAACTTCCGCCTCCTGGGCTCAAGCAATCCTCCAACCTCAGCCTCCTGAGTAGCTGGGATTACAGGCAGAAGCCACCATGCTCAGCTAATTTTTGTAATTTTGGTAGAGATGAGGTTTCACCATGTTGGCTAGGCTGGTCTTAAACTCCTAGGCTCAAGTGATTCGCCTGCCTCAACCTCCCAAAGTGCTGGGATTACAGGCACGAGCTGTGCCTGGCCTCCAGACCTTCATTTTCTTCATAGTCTTAGAGATATATGTTTTCTCTTCTCTGCTTTCAGTCTTGCCTTCCTACTCTCAAAAGCACTTGCCTCTTTTTTGTTCTCCCTTTAGGTGATCAATTTCTTCAGTCAGTTCAGAATTTTATTCCTTTGACCTTTTGTTATTAATGTATCACCATATTCTTGTAGGATTTTCTTTTCCTTCTAAGAAGAAAGTCAGGCCTTTGTGTTCCCATGAGTCAGGGGATTTGTATCACTGGTTCACACATTGGCCCAATACCTCCAAGGCCAACCTCAGCTCTGGCTATTTTTCCTCTCATCATAGAGGACTTCCCTAGCCACTCTACTGCCAGCCTCCCTCCCATTACTTTCTATCACATCATCCTGTACATTTCTCTCTTTTTTTTCTTCTTATTATTAAATTTTTGTTTTAAGGACAAGGTTTCACTTTGTCACCCATGCTGGAGGGCAGTGGCACTATCATAGCTCACTGCAGCCTGGACCTCCTGCCTCAGCCTTCCAGGTAGCTGGAGCTAGAGGTGGGAGCCATCACAGCCACCGCATGTAGGTAATTTGTTTTAGGGGTCTCAATATTTTGAGCAGGTTGGTCTGGAAGTCTTGGGCTCAAGAGATCCTCCCACTTCAGTCTCCACAGTAGCTGGGATTATAGGCGTGCCTCGCCATACCCGGCATTCAACCCTTAAATTTATTTCATGACATTTGATATACTTTATTTTATTGCAATTAATTAATTAATTCATTTATTTTAAGACAGAGTCTCACTCATTCTGTTGCCTAGGCTAGAGTGCAGTGGTGCCATCTTGGCTCCCGGCAGCCTCCACCTCCAGGGTTCAAGCCATTCTCCTGTCTCAGCCTCCCATAGCTGGGATTACAGGCTTGCACCACCAGGCCTGGCTCATTTTTGTATTTTTAGTAGAGATGGAGTTTAACCATGTTGGCCAGGCTGGTCTCGAACTCCTGACCTCAAGCAATCTGCCTTGCCTTAGCCTCCTAAAATGCTGGGATTACAGGCATGAGGCACCCACGCCGGGCCTGATACATTTTAAAAATATCTTGTTCATTTCTTTTTTGTATTTTCTCCTCCCAAATCCAGAATGTCTTGTTTACTGCTACCTCCTGAAGCAGATTAAGAACACTCACAATAATTTACAAGGTTTCAACTATAATAATTTTTAAACAGGCTGGAGTGTAGTGGTACGATCTCGGGTGATACATTCATATTAAAAAGTACACAAGGAGGTTGGGCGTGGTGGCTCACGTCTGTAATCCCAGCACTTTGGGAGGCCAAATGGGTGGCTCGCTTGAGCCTAGGAGTTCAAGATCAGCCTAAGCAACATGATGAACCCCGTCTCTACTAAATATACGAGAAAAAAAAAATTAGCCGGGTGTCGTGGCGCGTGCCTGTGGTCCCAGCAACTTGGGAGGCTGTGACGGGAGGATCGCCTGAGCCCGAGAGGTGGAGGCTGCAGTGAGCCAAGATCGCGCAACTGCACACTCCAGCCTAGGCGACAGAGCAAGACCCTGTCTCAAAGGACAAAAACAAAAAAGTACACAAAGGCGTACGGTAAATGGTCTTCCTACCACGACGTGTTTTCCAGAAACACATTCCTCTCCTGGGAGGTAACTATTATCAGTTTCTTCACACCAGCATTTTTAATCTATGTCTACTCAATTTAGAATTTCTAAACCCTTCAGGATCTTCAAAAGACAAAATCGGCCAGCGATTTTAATAGTTCCAGTAAAGGTTTGAGCAGAGAAGTGGACTTTCTTCTGTTCCTCTTTTCAACTACTCCTAAGGACTCCTGGAGAAGAAAGAGCAAATATCTCTGCATCTCAATTTCTGGTCCGCAGGTAACCCAGTCTCAGTAGCTTGGTAGTTACCATGGCTCCCAGTGCTGTGCGTCTGACGTCATTCTGCGGCGCTGGCTGATGGCGCAATCAGTTGCGGCGTCCTGTGAGCGCGGGGATGCTGGGAGGAGGGTGAAATTTAGCCATCGGTGTGTGGCAGGGTCATGAAAAAGCGGCGGCGGCGGGAGAGAGGAGGAGGCGGCGGCGGGGCAGTGAAACTACGGTAGCTGCCCCCTGAGCTGGTGGTGTGGCTTTGTGGGGAGGGCGTAGTTCCTAATCCCCTTTCCGGGCAGCCGCCGGGGCTCGGGGCTGTGAGCGGCCGTGAGGCTGCCTCCCCGGGCCCCCTGCCTCCGCCATGTTCCGCAGGGCACGCCTTAGCGTGAAGCCGAATGTCAGGCCTGGTGTAGGCGCCAGGGGCTCCACAGCTTCCAATCCCCAGCGTGGACGGGAGTCTCCCAGGCCGCCGGAGCCTGCCACGGACTCTGCTTCCAAGCCCGCGGAGCCCACAGATGTGCCCACAGTCGATTTCGGTGGAGCGGAGCCCCAAGAAAAGGCTCCTAGGAGCAGGTAAGAGGTTGCAGAGGGAAGAATTTTCATTTGTCCCGCCTCTCCGGGCATGTCACCTGGAAGCTGAGCAAATGAATTTTATCACAGGAGTCCGCTCTCGTTTGCAGTAAGCCTTTCAGTTGAGGCTTGATGAAACCACTCCAAACTGCAGTTTAGTTGTCTGACCTGCAGGGTGTGGCTTGTGTGGATTTTGTCACGGTCTATAGATTCTCCGAGAGGAGACCATGTCTTCAAGTGGTGGTAGGGAGAATCGGGGTATGGCAGTCCTGAAGTGAAGAATATCCACACTATTCATTTGAGAATTTAGGTCACTATAGTTTTCATCCTTCTGGAGTGCTTTGCAGGGAAGTGTTTTTGTCTTTCAATTTATAAAATATTTATTTTTTAAAGGAGAAGATAAGTATTGCTTTGGCTTTACCGATTTATGTCAGTGAGTAAGAGTTCTGGTCACTTAATTGAAGTGTGCCTCTTTAACTATGGTGACCGTGTTTCCTGAATAGAGAAGCATGGCTTTAGCGTCATGTATCATATTTGGATTCAGGACTCTTTTAGTCTACAGGTAAACTTTTCTCAGGCAGAATTTGCTCATCTGCAAAATGGGAATAATATTGCCTACTTGGAGCGTTTTGGTGCAGATTGGAGATAATTCATATTAACTACCTTGCAGGGGATATAGCAGAATAGTTGCCCGCAAAAAGTTACTAGTTTTTTAGAAAGGTGATGGAGTAAATTTAAGACATGTTAGGCTAAGATGGTCTCTGTTTCTATATATATGAGGAAATCAGTAAACAGCCTTGTTAAGTGAAGTGAGATAGTACAAATTCTGTTTATGCTGTGATAGGAAGGTGAAAAATTTATTTATTTTTGGAACATCTTCCTCTATTGGCCTGAACTGGTGCTGAGTGTATGGTGTTACGTTGATAGTTCAGTGATGGTTAGTAATTTCCAAGTTTATTACATGAATCTGTTTCAAAATTTCTACACAGAAAGGAGATACCGATACTAGTCGCTGTTACATTAATAAAGTTCTCAGAGATTTCGTTAATTATGTGTGAGTGCGTGATGGTTGATAATTTAATAAATTGCCCAAAGATTGTAGTTTTGAGATATTTATGGTCAAGGATATTTAATTTTTTTTTTTGAGTTGACATTTACGTTTGGGGAATATAATTTGTTTTTTAGTCACTTTTTTTGCCATTACTGACTCTGGGAAAGTGGTTTTTTTTTTTTTTTTTAATTAGTTTTTTTTTTAGATGGAGTCTTGCTCTGTCGCCCAGGCTGAAGTGCAGTGGTACGGCTCACTGCAACCTCCACCTCCCGGGTTCTTGCAATTCTCCTGTCTCAGGCTCCCAAGTATCTGGGACTACAGGCGTGCCCCACCACGCCCAACTAATTTTTGTATTTTCAGTAGAGACAGGGTTTCACCATGTTGGCCAGGCTGGACTCGAACTCCTGACCTCAAGTGATCCACCTGCCTCAGCCCAAAGTGCTGGGGTTACAGGTGTGAGCCACCGTGCCCAGCCTCTTTTTATTTTTTTGTGGGTCTTTGCTAGTTGTAAAACTCTATAGGATATATATTCTGTCATTATGCATTCAACATAATTGGGTGAAATGCAGATAATGCATGTATCCATAACAGCTAAGATACGAATTTAAATTGAAGTCTTCCTGGAAAGGTTATTCTATAAGTTAAGGCATTTTCTAATTTTTTATAAGTAATTATAAAATAGGAAAAAAGTAGACTGTTTTTAATTATTGACTTATACCACCTCTTTTCTTGACTTAAGTTGCATTTATAGACCATTCCTGAAATACTTATATCTGAGGTATACCATACCTAATATGCAATTTGGGGTGACTGAGTACTTTTTTTGACTGAAGTTTATTCTGATGGCTGTATAAGTAGAGTTGTACCTGACAAAAGATAAATGATTTCTGCCTCAAAGGGAATTGGGTTTGGCTACTGTAACTAAATGTTTTTCTTCAAATACTGCAATACAGATATTTCAGAGGTTTGAAGTTTTGCATATTTGATTTGACTGACCTCGGGTTGATAAGTAAAGTAAAATGCCGGTAGTTTAGACCAGTTTAAAATGTCAGAGTGAATTAAAATTTTTTTAAATTTTATATAGAAATTAATTATAAATTATTACTTTGTTACTTAGTAATTCAAATTAGGTTGACTAAGCTTTGTTCTGTAAGTTGGTTATTTGTTTTGAGGGGGGTAAGCCTATAATTATGTGCTCTAATGTGCCTAGGGACTTTATGTTTGAAAAAGATTAAGAGTCTATTAGAATTTACGTATATTTAAAAGATTTACTAAACAAATTTTTTTGTAACCTGTCATAATTATCATAAATCTCAAGTTACTAATTTTTTTTTTTTAATTACGAGATTGCAGTTTTGGATTTTCACCAGACTAGGTTTTAAAACTAGCATGTGTAACAGAAGATTCATGTGCCCTCTTTTTTCTTTTTTAATTTCAACAGTACTGAAAAGACTGGTGGTGACAATGATGTTGAAGAATCCAGTAGATCTTCCTCTACTGTTTCACAGAGAAGAAAGCGAATATCAAGTACTTCTAGCCTGGTTAAGTCTAGTGTCAGTGTTCCTTCAGAATCTCATCCCTTATCTACAATTAATCAAGAGGCTCCACAGCCAACTGCCACTTCAACAAAAGAGAAACAGCCATGCTCAGACAGATACCGAATATACAAAGCCCAGAAACTGAGGGAAATGTTAAAAGAAGAATTGAGAAAAGAGAAGGTAAGGGAGGAGAATCAGGATTTTGATGTTGCCTTCTATTTATGTTAGTAAGGAATCATTGGGAAGAAAAGCATTTGTAGCATTTTGATGGGGGAACAAAACCACATAACATCCCTTAGTCAATAGAACATCCCTTCTTGTTAATGGATTGATTGATACACCGTGGACTTAAATTACATTTTTCACTGATAGTAATTTTTACATTATTTATTTATGTTTTCACTGTTTTTGGTGAAGACCACAAATAAGTTTCATACGCATACACATAGATGCACATACACAAACATATTTATAAAATAAACCTTCAGTCTGATTTTTCACATAAAGATGTCCAAGTGATAAGTGATATATTTATTTGAATTAAGACAAGTATAGGCCGGGCGTGGTGGCTCATGCCTGTAATCCCAGCACTTTGGGAGGACTAGGGGGGCAGATCACTTGAGGTCAGGAGTTCAAGACCAGCCTGGCCAACATGGCAAAACCCTGTCTCTACTAAAAATACAAAAATTAGCTGGGCCTGGTGACGTGCATCTGTAATCCCAACTACTGGGGAGGCTGAGGCATGAGAATTGCTTGAACCTGGGAGGTGGAAGTTGCAGTGAGCCGAGATTGTGCCTCTGCATTCCAGCCTGGGTGATAGAGTGAAACTGTCTCCAAAAAAAAGACGAATATAGTTGAGCAGAATGAATTGGTAATGTTTTCTAAATTGACTATGGAAAATTACAAGTGGGAAAAATTTGTGTTATGCATATATTAGAGTCCATGTTCTTTTTAATCTTGAGGATTGATTTCTTTTCTAGAAGGGCAGGTAACAGCAGTAGAGCATGCTGGCCCTGGAGTTAAATACTTAGGGATTGAATCTCAGCTTCATTTCTTTACTAGCTTTGTGACCTTGGGTAATTTAATTAATCTATTTCCTCATCTGTAAAATAGACCAATAATAGTTCAGGTTGAGCATCCCTGAAATTGAAAATGCTCCAAAGTCTAAAATGTTTTGAGTGCCAAAGTGATGCTCCAGGGAAATGCTCATTGGAGCATATTGGATTTCAAATTTTCAGGTTAGAGATGCTCAGCCAGCATGTATTCTGCAAGTATTCAAAAATGTGAAAAAATCCAAAATGTGAATCATTTCTGGTCTCAAGTATTTCAGATAAGAGATGCTCAACCTCTGTCTAGCTCATTAGAGGGTTGTGAAGATTAAATGAGTCAATACATGTAAAACACACTTAAACTGGTGTCTTGGGCCTTGTGCAGTGGCTCACGCCTGTAATCCCAGCACTTTGGGAGGCCGAGGTGGGCGGATCACCTGAGGTCAGGAGTTCGAGACCAGCCTGGCCAACATGGTGAAACCCCGTCTCTACTAAAAATACAAACATTATCTGGTCGTGGTGGTGCACGCCTGTAATCCCAGCTACTCAGGAGGCTGAGACAGGAGAATCGCTTGAACCTGGGAGGCAGAGGTTGCGGTGAGCCAAAATCGTGCCATTGCACTCCAGCATGAGTGACAGAGCGAGACTCCGTCTCAAAAAAAACCAACCAAACAAAAAAACTAGTGTCATGAAAATAGTAAGTGTCCAACCAGTGTCAGCTTCTGTTATGAATTATAAAATGCCTCTTAGTTTTTTTTAAATTAAGGGAAGGCATTTTGCTTGGTGCTTTATATCTGTTATCTTATGTAATTATATCAACTATGTGAAGTAGATATCACTGTTTCACACAGGAGAAAACAAGCTTTCAATTTATGTCTTCTAAAATGTAAGCCTCACAACAATTGCTTGAACCTGGAAGGCGGAGGTTGCAGTGAGCTGAAATTGTGCTACTGCATTCCAGCCTGGGCGACAGATCAAAGCCTCTAAAAATGTTTTATGGGTTGGGAATTGGGGGTGGGGGGATTAAAAAAAAGTTCTGTATTTTACAGAAACTGCTTATTTGCTTATTTAATTTATTTTGGGGAATTAAAGATTAAACATTTGCTTCAAGAATTTTACAAAATACACAGAATTTCAAGTCACTACAGGGTAAAAAAAAAAGCTGTGTAAGCATAAATTCTCAGTGAGCTATTAAGATGTTTAGTTAGAAGGCATCAGTAAGCATTTTATACATTGAGCTTTATTAGTTTTATTCTTTGGTTATTTATTTAGTTTTGAGACAAGGTCTCACTGTCACCCAGGATGGAGTGCGCTAGTATAATTGCAGTTCACTGCAGCCTCAACCTCCCAGGCTCAAGTGATCCTCCCACCTCAGCCTCCCAAGTAGCTGTGGCTATAGGCATATGCCACCACATCCAGCTAATTTTTTTGTATTTTTTTGTAGAGATAGGGTCTCATTTATGTTGCCCAGGCTGGTAACTCCTGAGCTCAAGCGATCCTCCTGCCTCAGCCTCCCAAAGTGCTGGGATTAGAGAAATAAGCCACTGTGCCTGGCCACATTGAGCTTTTATCTAGTCCTAGTCACTTTAATTGTTAAAATCTAAATACTGCCTGGGTGTGTGGTTCACTCCAGTGCTTTAGGAGTGTGAGGCAGGAGGATCACTTGAGCCCAGGAATTTGAGAGCAGCCTTGGCAACGTAGGGAGACTCCATCTCTACCAAAAAAAAAAAAACCCCACAAAATTAGCCAGGTGTTAGGCAAGCATCTGTAGTCCCAGCTACTTGGGAGGCTGAGGTGGGAGGACTGCTTGAGCTCAGGAGTTCAAGGCTGCAGTGAGCTATGATTGCGCCACTGCACTTTAGCCTGGATGACAGAGCAAAACCCCATCTCAAAAGTAGATAAATAAAAACTAAAAGCTATTGAGGGTAATGTGCTACAACTTTTTAATATTCCATCTACAAAATTACATAATTGGGGTGAGAATAATATTAAAGCACTTACAGTGAACGCAACAGTGGACTGTATATTTGCATATAGTACATCTGAAATTCTTTAATATTTATAAAAGTGGATCTGTGTGTTTATGTATACAGAAACAATGGAAAAACAAATATGCTATAAATGAAAGTCAGAGGCCACCAGATCGTTCAAAAATGACTATGAGAGACTTCATATATTATCTACCAGATAATAATCCAATGACGTAAGTAAAATTTATTTCTGCTTTACTATCTCTTTTTTTTTTTTTTTTTTTTTTGGAGGTGGAGTCTCGCTCTGTCACCCGGGCTGGAGTGCAGTGGTGCAATCTTGGCTCACTGCAACCTCTGCCTCCCAGGTTCAAGCGATTCTCCTGCCTCAGATTCGCGGGTAGCTGGGATTACAGATGCTCGCCACCACACCCGGCTAATTTTTGTATTTTTAGTAGAGACTGGGTTTCGCCATGTTGGCTTGCCTGGTTTTAAACTCCTTACCTCGGGTGATCCACCCGCTTCGGCTTTCCAAAGTGCTGAGATTACAGGCGTGAGCCACTGCACCTGGCCTTCTGTTTTACTTTATTTGGGTATGTAGTTATATAAATAGCACTTTTATAGTAAATTTTTTAGTTTTCCAAAAACATGTTGACAAAATTTGGAACACATATGTCCTTTTAAATAGAATTTCATAACAAAAAGTAGCAGTATTTCAAGTAACTGCTTTCTGGGGATGGTAGATTATGCCCTTTATTTCTGAGATTAAAAATAAATTTCCTGGCTGGGCACAGTGGCTCATGCCTGTAATCCCAGCACTTTAGGAGACCAAGGTGTGTGGGCCGCCTGAGTCCAGGAGTTTGAGACCAGCCCGGGCAACATGGTGAAACCCTGTCTCTACAAAAAGTACAAAAATTAGCCAGGCATGGTGGCATGTGCCTGTAGTTCCAGCTATTTGGGAGGCTGAGGCAGGAGGACTGCTTGAACCCTGGCATTTGAGGCTGCAGTGAACCATGTTCATGCCACTGCATTCTGGGTGCACTCAGGGTGACAGAGCGAGATCCTGTCTCAAAAAAAAAAATGTTTTTTCTTTGTTATATTAGTTACCAAGGCATAGTGAAACCAACTAAGCCACTTTTCTGTAATCAAGATTGCAATTTTGGCCAGGCGAGGTGGCTCATCCCTGTAATCACAGCATTTTAGGAGGCCAAGGCGAGAGAATTGCTTGAGCCCAGGAGTTTGAGACCAGCCTGGGCAATGTAGTGAGACCCCATCTCTACAAAAAATACAAAAATTACCTGGGCATTGTGGCGCACAGGAGGCTGAGGTGGGAGGATCACTTGAGCCTGGGAGTTCAAGGCAGCAGTGAGCCAAGATTGCACCACTGCACTCCAGCCTGGGAGACAGCGAGACTCTGTCTCATTTAAAAAAAAAATGTTTGAAAGGATTGGAATTTCTATTTTTAACATACTATAAACTGATCTAAAGGAGTGATCCAAGTTTTATGCCCTGCCTTCTAATAAAGACAGTAGTAGTGTGATTAATAAATCCTCCAAGAACAAAGCTTCTTTATTAAAGTTAGCCTGGGGTTTCTGAGGCAGGTTTATAATAAATCTCATTGTTGTATTGTTGATGGTTTAGCAGGTAGAGGTAGGAGTTGGGACAGTTCCTCAGCATAGCCCTTTTTCAGATTCACCAGGTCTTTGGCCCTGTTGAAGAAAGGGCCAGAAACCTAGGTTTTGAGTTGTTTAACATCCAGGAGTTGGAGACAAGTCACCTAAGTAAGCTGCTTCATGCCTTGGGATTGGGAGCCTCCTTTCACTGAGAAGTTAGAGGATAAGAACATTCTCTGTTGGGCGTGGTGGCTCATGCCTGTAATCTCAGTGTTTTGGGAAGCTAAGGTGGGAGGATTGCATGATCCCAGGAGTTTGAGACCAGCCTGGGCGATATGGTGAGACCTCGTCTCTACAAAAAATTAAAAGACAAAAATTAGCCTGGTGTGGTGGCATGCACCTGTAGTCCCAGCTACGTGGGAGGCTGAGGTGGGAGGATTGCTTGAGCTCAAGAAGTAGAGGTTACATGGAGCTGAGATCACAGCACTGCACTTCAGTCTGACACAGCAAGACCCTGTTGTTGTATTAAAAAAAAAAAAAAAGTATTCTTTACTTAGGACCTAACAAATTATTTGTATGTGATGACAAGCTTTTGACTGAAAAGTTGATTGTTGGATTGTACTGTCATTAACGAAATGCTGTGATATATCATTAAAAATTAGAAGTTAGAATAATTTTCTTCTTGCCTACAGATAGAATTGGGAAGATATAAATTAATAATTTATTAAAGATATTGTTATTTATGTTCAATAGTTCTTCACTGGAACAAGAAAAGAAAACTGAAAAGCCATCGACTCCAGTCCAGACAAGAGAGTAAGTATTTTATTTTTGAATATATTCTATTCCTACATTTTTTAAGAAATGAGATCAAATGGTGCTTCCTGTTATAGTTGAATTACATTTGATTGGGGTTGGGCACAGTGGTTCACTCCTGTAATCTCAGCACTTTGCGAAGCCAAGATGGGAGGATTGCCAGAAGCCAGGAGTTGAGACCAGCCTGGGCATCATAGTGACATTTTGTCTCTACAAAAAATGTAAAAATAAGCTGTGCATGGTGGTGTGTACATGTAGTCCTAGTTATTCAGGAGGCTGAGGTGGGAGGATCGCTCGAGCCCACATGTTCAAGGCTGTAGTGAACTATGATCACGCCACTGCATTCCAGCCTGGGTGACAGAGCAAGACTTTGTCTCTTAAAAAAAAATTACATTTGGTTGGGCTATTGTTTTTGTAATTTTAAAATTTTAATTTAATTTTTGAGACAGGATGTTGCTGTGTCACCTAGGCTGGAGTGCAGTGGTGTGAACATAGCTCACTGCAGCCTTGACCTCCTGGGCTCGTGATCCTCCTGCCTCAGCCTCCTGAGTAGCTGGGAGTACAGGTGTGTGCCACCACGGTTGGCTAAATTTTTTAGTTTTTTTTTTTTTTTTTTTTTTGAGATGGAGTCTTGCTCTGTCACCAGGCGGGAGTGCAGTGGTGCGATCTCGGCTCACTGCAGCCTCTGCCTCCCGGGTTCAAGCGATTCTGCTGCCTCAGCCTCCCGAGCAGCTGGGACTACGGGTGTGCGCCACCATGCCCAGCTAATTTTTGTATTTTTAGTAGAGACGGGGTTTTACCACGTTGGTCAGGATGGTCTCCATCTCTTGACCTCGTGATCGGCCCGCCTCGGCCTCCCAAAGTGCTGGGATTACAGGTGTAAGCCACCATGCCCAGCCTAAAGTTTTTAGTTTTTGAAGAGTTTTTTTTCATAGAGATAAGGTTTCACTATGTCGCCCAGGCTGGTGGTCTTGAACTTCTAAGCTCAAGTAATCCTCTCGCCTCAGCCTCCAAAAGTACTAGGATTACAGGCATGAGCTGCTGCATTTGGCCATTTTCCTTAAGGCTCAAATGAGCATGAAAATACTAACCCTGAAGGATTGTACTGAAAAGTTAATCAAATAATCTAGAAACTAATGCTATATAACTATAAGCATTATTATTATTATTATTATTTTTACAGATAGGGTCTTGCACTGTCACCTAGGCTGGGGTGCAGTGGTGTGATTAAACTCTTGGCCTCAAGAGATACTCCTGCCTCAGTCTCCTGAGTAGCTGGGACTATAGGCACGCATCACCATGCTGGGCTAATTTTTAAATTTTTTTTGTAGTGGTAAGGTCTTGCTATGTTGCCCAGGCTGATCTCAACTCCTGGCCTCGAGTGATTTTCCTGCCTTGGCCTCTGAAATTGCTAGGATTACAGGCCTGAACCACCATGTCCTGTCTGTTTCTCTTTATTTTAAAAGAGAGTAAAGACTGC
The DNA here is from genome assembly GCF_000001405.40 of Homo sapiens. Classification (NCBI taxonomy): domain Eukaryota; kingdom Metazoa; phylum Chordata; class Mammalia; order Primates; family Hominidae; genus Homo; species Homo sapiens. The sequence goes on from NT_187651.1 coordinate 995,582, forward strand.
TTGGGCCAGGCACGGTGGCTCACGCCTGTAATCCCGGCACTTTGGGAGGCTGAGGCGGGTGGATCACGAGGTCAGGAGTTTGAGACCAGCCTGGCCAACATCGTGAAAACCCGTCTCTACTAAAAATACAAAAATTAGCTAGGTGTGGAGGTGCGCGCCTGTAATCCCAGCTACTGGGGAGGCTGAGGCAGTAGAATGGTGTGAACCCAGGAGGCGGAGGTTGCAGTAAGTCGAGATCATGCCACTGCACTCCAGCCTGGGTGACAGGGCGAAACTCCATCTAAAAAAAAAAATAAGACTTCTTACTAAATGTCTCGAGATAAAACTTGAGAAAATCCTCTAATTGCGTCCTTAATAACACATACTGTTTTCATTTGGATTATAGGGAAAGTTGGAAATAGCTAGAAGGTTGAGTTTGTAATCATTTATTTTAAGTTTTATACTATTTAGGCACACTTTTCATGCCTTTGTGAATTAACTTATCTTTATATGTGGTAGGCAAGAAGGTAAGAGTACTCCTAATGCTGAAGATAATGAAATGGAAGAAGAGACAGATGATGGGCCATTACTGGTTCCTCGAGTAAAAGTGGCAGAAGATGGTTCCATTATTTTGGATGAAGAAAGGTATTTAGAAAAGAGAAAAAGTGAGATTGTGGTTACATGAGAACAAACATGCTTTGTCTAGTGAAAGAGGTCCTCTTTCTGTATTGGCCTTTGTCACTTAGACCTTGATGTTCTTATTTGCATAATGAATATTGTAAATAGAAAAGTGGGTTAGATTAATTTGTAAATTTTAGTAATTTTTATAACTATTTTGTATGAGAAGATGCCCTATCATCTATTAACCTAACACCATTGTTTTATTATCTTTACTGGTCATTGAGTCAGGCTGTTGAACTAATCATATGCTGTCTTCCACTGAGGATAAATTTCTAAGATTGACACAGTCTTGAAGTCAATATTCAAGTTCTCATATTATTAAGAGCATATCCTGGTGTGTGGTGATAACTAATGGATATACAGTGAAATGTAGGTTTAACATATTTTATGATTTTTGTTATGGTGAGGTATAATTCATCTTTTGGTTTAATTTCTCAGTTATAACATTAAATTTTGCACATTGGGCATTGTGGAATTTAGTTGTCTTAAGGGTTTTTTTTTAAAAGATGATAAATTAGTAAGTAAATAAATAAAGCAATGGAAGGTCTTTGAAAGTTTAGCCAGTGAAAAATAATTTTATAGCATTCACATTCTATAATTAAACATAAATGTAATACTGCTAATAATAGTTGTTTTTGTGTGCTATTTTCCATTAGTTTGTGATGATGATTTTACTGGTCATTAAATAGTTAGAGCATATTTAACTGCTTTCTCTGCAGGAATGTAAAATATAAAGTGCTTGTGTTTTTCAAAATTTCCATGGAGTCCAGCACAGTAATACATATTGAATATCAAAGACATGTGGAAGTCAATAATACAAATACCGTTTTATAATACGTAGCCCAAAGATATTTTGTAAATATTATACTGCTGTTATGGATTTTGAAAATGAGTTGACATTTCTTTCTACCCTCTTGGAATCACATTGTAGGTAAAACTTAGCAGATGCTTGGAAAATACCCATATTTCACATAAGTATTATTATGCCTTTGATATGATTGCCGTGCTAAACCTCAAAATATAACTATTTACATCTCATTTGCTATTTGTTTCCTTGTTTTTAGTATACATCTATTTAAAAATGTGTTTATTTCAGTTTAACTGTAGAAGTTTTAAGAACAAAAGGCCCTTGTGTTGTTGAAGAAAATGACCCCATATTTGAGCGCGGTTCTACAACTACATACTCCAGCTTTAGGAAAAACTATTACTCTAAACCATGGTCAAATAAAGGTAACTAATTTTCATTTAAAAATGTGTAAGTTCTCTATTTGAAATGAATTGACTGTTTCTGAATTAAATCAGTTCTCCCCTAAGTACATAAAATGCAAACTACCATTTTATTCCAGCTAATTTTATTGACACCTCTATCTTATGCCTTCCATGGAATGGTATCTCTGACTTTGTCTTACAAATCTTCAAAAAAATTTTATTTTTTATAGCAACTGGGTCTCAGCCAGGTGCAGTGGCTTACACCTGTAATCCCTGCACTTTGGGAGGTTGAGGCAGGAGGATCACTTGAGGCCAGGAGTTTGAGACCAACTTGGGCAACAAAGCAAGACCTCATCTCTACAAAAAAATTAAGAAAAAAAATTAGAAAGTAGAGATAGGGTCTTGATTGATTGCCGAGGCTGGAGTGCAGTGAAACTATCTTAGCTTACTGCAGCCTTGAACTCTTGGGCTCATGTGATCTTCCTGCCTCAGCCTCCCAGAGTAGCTGGCACTACAGGCGTGTGCCACCAAACCCAGCTAATTTTTTGAAAAAAATTTTTTTATTTTTTGAGACGGAGTTTCCCTCTTGTTGCCCAGGCTGAAGTACAATGGCACGATCTCGGCTCACTGCAACCTCTGCCTCCTGGGTTCAAGCGATTCTCCTGCCTCAGCTTCCCAAGTAGCTGGGATTACAGGCATCTGCCACCACCCCCAGCTAATTTTTGTATTTTTAGTAGAGATGGGGTTTTATCATGTTGGCCAGGCTGCTCTCAAACTCCTGACCTCAGGTGATCTGCTCACCTTGGCCTCCCAAAGTGCTGGGATTACAGGCATGAGCCACCGCACCTGGCCTGTGTTTTGGATTTTTTGAAGAAATAAGGTCTCAGTATGTTGCCCAGGCTGGTCTCCAATGCCTAGGCTCAAGCGATCCTTTGCCTCCCGAAGTGTTGAGATTATAGGCGTGAGTCGTTGTGCCCAGCCCAGAAATTTTTTTTTTTTTTTAATTTCTTTCAGTCACTGTTCTGCTGAAAGAAATATTTTTTAAGAATTACCTTTATAGTCGTTTTGGCTGGAATGTTCCTCTCTGTCAAATCTCTACAGTAAATACCATTTAAATAAAAATTAACAATACAATATTTCCTTTTTTTTTTTTTTTTTGAGATGGAGTTTCGCTCTTGTCGCCTAGGCTGGAGTGCGGTGGCGCGATCTCGGCTCACTGCAACCTCTGCTTCCTGGGTTCAAGCGATTCTCCTGCCTCAGCCTCCCGAGCAGCTGGGATTACAGGCGCCTGCCACCATGCCCAGCTAATTTTTGTGTTTTTGGTAGAGATGGGGTTTCACCATGTTGGCCAGGCTGGTCTCGAACTCCTGACCTCAGGTGATCCGCCTGCCTCAGCCTCCCAAAGTGCTGGGATTACACGCGTGAGCCACTGTGCCCAGCCAACAATACAACATTTCTAATGCGAATAATGTTCTACCTCAGATAATATTGTATAATAAAGCTTCTATAGATAAATACGCTGTTAAAAATCTGTTGCATGTTGGTGCTTATTGTTTTTATTTTAAAAACAGTAGTTTTGAGGAAAAATTCAAACAGCAGGATATAGAGTAAAAAGATTCTATACTTCCCTTCTTTCACTTCCCTATTCCTATTCTCCTGAAGTGTAACTTCTGTTAGTAGTTTCTTTTTTTGAGACCGAGTCTCACTCTGTCACCCAGGCTGGAGTGCAGTGGTGCGATCTTGGCTCACTGCAGCCGCCACCTCCTAGGTTCAGGTGATTCTCCTTCCTCAGTCTCCCGAGTAGCTGGGATTACAGGCATATGTCACCATGCCCAGCTAATTTTTGTGTTTTTAGTAGAGACGGGGTTTCACCATGTTGGCCAGGATGGTCTGGAACTCCTGACCTCAAGTGATCTGCCCGCCTCGGCCTCCCAAAGTGCTGGTATTTACAAGCGTGAGCCACCGTGCGTGGCCTCTTGTGTATTTTTCTAGCTACTTTCTTTATATACTACTTAGCACATCTTAGTTGCCTATGTAGTGTAACCCTATCCTGAGTATGACTCATAGCTTTCTTCAGAGCACTTTGAATAAGATCAGCTAGGCAGAATGAATGTTTTAAAAAAAAAATTCCAGATGCTTTTGTATGATTTCTTTTTCTTTTTTTTTGAGGTGGAGTCTCGCTCTTTCGCCCAGGCTGGAGTGCAGTGGCGCCATCTCAGCTCACTGTAACCTCCGCCTCCCGGGTTCAAGCTATTCTTCTGCCTCAGCCTCCCCAGTAGCTGGGATTACAGGTGCACGCCACCACGCCCAGCTCATTTTTTTTTTATTTTTAGCAGAGACAGGGTTTCACCATGTTGGCCCGGCTGGTCTCAAACTCTTTTTTTTTTTTTTTTTGAGATGGAATTTCACTTTTGTTGCCCAGGTTGGAGTGCAATGGCACGATCTCGGCTCACTGCAACCTCCGCTTCCCGGGTTCAAGCGATTCTCCTGCCTCAGCCTCCCACATAGCTGGGATTACAGGCATGTGCCACCATGCCCAGCTAATTTTGTATTTTTAGTAGAGACGGGGTTTCTCCATGTTGGTCAGGCTGGTCTCAAACTCCTGACCTTAGGTGACCCACCCGCCTCAGCCTCCCAAAGTGCTGGGATTACAGGCGTGAACCACCGCGACCGGCCCTGGTCTCTAACTCTTGTCCTCAAATGATCTGCCTGCCTTGGCCTCCCAAAGTTCTGGGATTATAGGTGTGAGCCACCATGCCCAGCCTACGATTTCTTATACTGAAAAGTTTTTATTTATAATAAGGTGTTTTTAGGTATTGCATGGGGATCTTTCTAGTAAAATTAAGTACTGTCAAATTCTGTAAGATTTCTTTTCTCTGAAATATTGATATAATTAATTTTCAATCATTCTAAATCTTTTATTTTCACAGAAACAGATATGTTTTTTTTAGCCATCAGCATGGTAGGAACTGACTTTTCTATGATCGGACAACTTTTTCCTCACAGAGCAAGGATAGAAATTAAGGTAAAGTAAACCCATCACATTTGTTGATTGGAAAGAGACCAAACATTACAAATGTTAGTAGTATTATTCGCTTACCTTTGGTTTAAATCTTAGTTCATCTTTTTTTTTTTTTTCATTGAGACAGAGTTTCACTTTGTTGCCCAGGCTGGAGTGCAGTGGCACAGTCTCGGCTCACTGCAACCTCTGCCTCCGGGTTCAAGCAATTCTCATGCCTCAGCATGTCACATAGCTGGTATTACAGGCACCTGCCACCACGCCCGGCTGATTTTTTTACTGTTTTAGTAGAGACGGGGTTTTACCATGTTGCCCAGGCTGCTGTCGAACTCTTGAGCTCAGGTTAATCCCCCCATCTTGGCCTCCCAAAGTGTTAGAATTACAGGCTAGAGCCACCGTGCCCAGCCCTTTTTTTTTTTTTAAACTGTTATGATGGTTTTGTTACATTTATCCCTCTTTATTGAAAAGTAATATTTATCAGTTCTGATATGGGTATAATCTTCTTTATGTTAGTTTCATATTTTCTTATATCTTCTTCATTTCTAAAATGAATTTGAGGCAGTACCAATAAAAATGCACTGCAACTAAGATATAAGAAGAGTTACATAATGAAAAGAGAAGATAAATGTACCAGAGTACTTTGGTTAAGGGTAGCTTTTTTTTTTTTTTTTTTTTTTGAGATGGAGTCTCACTCTGTTGCCCAGGCTGGAGTGCAGTGGTGCGATATCGGCTCACTGCAACCTCTGCCTCCTAAATTCAAGTGATTCTCCTGCCTCAGCCTCCCTAGTAGCTAGGATTACAGGCGTACACCACCACGCCCAGCTAATTTTTTATTTTTCGTAGAGAGGGGGTTTTACCATGTTCGTCAGCCTGGTCTTGAACTCTTGACCTCTGGTGATTCACCCACCTTGGCCTCCCACCAAGTGCTGGAATTACAGGCGTGAGCCATCATGCCCGGCTGAGGGTAGCTTTTTCAATGCAAAATGTATTTCAGAATTTCCTAGGAAAGCTTAAAGAGAAGAAATCTGAGTTTACACAGTTCTCATTTTCTGATCCGTTGCTTTCCTAGGCCCCCTTAACTTTGGGACAACCAGTGGCACTAATAACAACAGTGATGTCAGTTACAGCTATTATATGCCCAAGAGGATGAGCTTTCTCTGTTTTTTAGTTTCTTTGCTTGAGAAACTTTATACAAGTTTTCTGGGTTTAAGTGCATTTGAGTGTCATCACACTATGTTGCCATAATGCATTCTCAATTGATAGTGAGATCTTTACTCAACCATGGGCTTTTTACTTCATTTCTCATCCCTATCATGTTCATTACATTAATAAAAGGAACCATTAGGAAGGTATGTTTTTTCCACTAGAACTAAATTAGGCATGGATTGTCTGGGGACATTACATAAGGGGCATTGTACAGTGTAATGAAATAGTCTTGTTATTTCTGCAAGAGATGAGGAACTTTATATTCTTCATGTTCATTTTCTAATGTTGATCTTTGATAAAAGAACAAAATGTTAAAATTCTGTGAAGGCTAGAAATTGATTTTCTGGAATTGGAGTGCTCTGCTGATCTGTGTAATTAATTATAAATTTGTCACTGGGCTATTTGTCTCAAAAATCATGTATATTCTTTTCCTGAAAGGTTACTATGGCTCTAGCAGGTCGTTGGGTAAAGTGTAGAAAAGTGAGAGTAGGCTGGGCATGGTGGCTCACGCCTGTAATCCCAGCACTTTGGGAGGCCAAGGCAGGTGGATCACCTGAGGTCAGGAGTTCAAGACCAGCCAGGCCAACATGGTGAAACCCCGTCTCTACTAAAAATACAAAAATTAGCCGGACGTGGTGGCGCATGCCTGTAATCCCAGCTACTCGGGAGGCTGAGGAAGGAGAATCGCCTGAACCCGGGAGGTGGAGGTTGCAGTGAGCTGAGATTGTACCACTGCACTCCAGTCTGTGCAATGGGAGTGAGACTCCATCTCAAAAATGAGAATAGACTGTATTTAAAGCTACTGAATTACATTACCTTGATTTTCAAATATTGGACTAATGTATTCCTGTATAACTTCCATTTGGTCATAGTGTATTCTTTTTCTGTGTTGCTCTATTTTGCTACATTTTCTTGAGGATTTTTTTGCTACTTTGTTCATAAGGGATACTGATTTGTAATTTTCTTTTACAAAGTCTGTCCTATTTTGATATGAGGCTTATACTGGTTACAGAAATTGAGCTGAAAAGTGTTCCCTCTTCTATTTTCTGAAATAATTTGTTGAAGATCAGTATTATTCTGTCTTTAATATTTGATAGAATTTACCTGTGAAACTATATGATCCTGTAGTTTTCTTTGGAGGAAGAGTTTATTTTATAAATATACTCTTTCATTGATAATTTGTATTTTCTCTCTCTCTTTTTTTTTTTTTTTTTTTTTTTGGAGACAGGGTCTCACTCTGTCACCCAAGCTGGAGTGCAGTGGTGCTATCATGGCTCACCTCCTGGGCTTGAGTGATCCTCCCACCTCAGCCTCCTGAGTAGTTGGGACTACGGGCACGTGCCACAATGCCCGGCTAATTTTTCGTATTTTTTTGTAGAGACTGGCTTTTGCCATGTTGCTCAGGCTGGTCTGGGACTCCTGTGCCCGAGTGATCTGCCTGCTTTGGCCTCCCAAAGTTCTGGAATGACAGGTGTGAGCCACTTGTCCTAGCCTCTTTTTTTCTTAATTCATCTTGCTAAGTGTTTATTAATCTAAACATCTTTTTAATGAACCAACTTTTCTTAATGTAATTTTTTTTTTTTTTTTTTTTTTTGAGATGGAGTCTTGTTCTGTAGCCCAGGCTGGAGTGCAGTGGTGACATCTGGGCTCACTGCAAGCTCCGCCTCCTGGGTTCATGCCCTTCTCCTGCCTCAGCCTCCCGAGTAGCTGGGACTACAGGCACCCGCCACCACGCCCAGCTAATTTTTTGTATTTTTAGTTGAGACGGAGTTTCACTGTGTTAGCCAGGATGATCCTATCTCCTGACCTTGTGATCCGCCTGCCTCGGCCTCCCAAAGTGCTGGAATTATGGGCGTGAGCCACTGCGCCTGGCTTCTTAATGTAAGTTTTAGGTTTCCAATTGTTGGTGTGTTTTTATTGATTTTTTTTTGTTACTGTTTAGCACTTCCTTCCATTTACTTTGTGTTTGTTTTTCTAGCTTCTTTATTTATTTATTATACTTTAAGTTTTAGGGTACATGTGCACAACGTGCAGATTTGTTACATATATGTACATGTGCCATGTTGGTGTGCTGCACCCATTGACTCGTCATTTAACATTAGGTATATCTCCTAATGCTATCCCTCCGCCCTCCCACCACCCCACAACAGGCCCCGGTGTGTGATGTTCCCCTTCCTGTGTCCATGTGTTCTCATTGTTCAATTCCCTTTTCTAGCTTCTTAAGATGAAAACTTAGAGCACTGATTTTAAAGCCTTCTTTTTTAAAGTAGACATTTAAAGCTATACATTTCCTTTTTTTTGACACAGAGTCTTGCTCTGTCGCCCAGGCTGGAGTGCAGTGGCGGATCTCGGCTCACTGCAAGCTCCGCCTCCCGGGTTCACGCCATTCTCCTGCCTCAGCCTCCCGAGTAGCTGGGACTACAGGCGCCCACCACCATGCCCAGCTAATTTTTTTGTATTTTTAGTAGAGATGGGGTTTCACCATGTTAGCCAGGGTGGTCTCGATCTCCTGACCTCGTGATCCTCCTGCCTCAGCCTCCCAAAGTGCTAAGATTACAGGCATGAGCCACCGTGCCTGGCCTGTACATTTCCTTTTAAGCATCACTAGAGCTGTGTCCCACAAATTTTGATTTTTTTTTTTTTTGAGACAGTCTTGCTCTGTTGTCCAGGCTGGAGTGCAATGGCATGATCTTGGCTGACTGCAAACTCCACCTCCCAGGCTCAAGCAATCCCCTGCCTTAGCCTCCCAAGAAGTTGGGACTATAGGTGCACACCACTAACACCACTATGCCCAGCTAATTTTTGTATTTTTTTGTACAGATGAGTTTTCATCAGGTTGCTCAGGTGGGTCTCTGACTCCTGAGGTTGGCCAGGCGTGGTGACTCACGCCTGTAATCCTAGCACTTTAGGAGGCTGAGGGGGGTGGGTCACTTGAGGTGTGGAGTCCAAGACCAGCCTGGCCAACATGATGAAACCCCGATCCTATTAAAATACAAAAATTAGCCAGGTGTGGTGGCAGGCACTTGTAGTCCTAGCTACTCGGGAGGCTAAGGCAAGAGAATTGCTTGAACCCGGGAGGGAGAGGTTGCAGTGAACCGAAATTGCATCACTGCACTCCAGCGTAGGCAACAGAGCAAGACTCTGTCTGAAAAAAAAAAAAAATATGATCCACCCTCCTTGGCCTCCCAAAGTGCTGGGATTACAGGCGTGAGCCACCATGCCTGGCCCCCAGTATAAAATTTTAAGAATTATTAATTATTACTGATTAAGGTTATTAAATGCATAACACTAATTACTTGCCAGCTATTGGTAGTCTTTTTCTTCTCTAGTTCATCCAGGGAACTCTTAAATTACATCTTCAGCAGAATAATTCTTAAATGTACTTTATTTTAATTTTTTTTTTGAGACAGAGCCTCGCTCTGTTACACAGTGTGGAGTACATGGGCATGATTACGGCTCACTGCAGCCTCTGTCCTGGCTCACTGCAGCCTCTTACCTGCTGGGCTCAAATGATCCTCCCACCTCGGCTTCCTAGGTAGCTGGGACTACAGGCACATGCCACTATGCCCAGCTAATTAAAAAAATTTTTTTGTAGAGACTAAGTCTCACTGTGTTGCCCAGGTTGGTTTCGAACTCCTTGACTCAAGTGATCCTCTTGCCTTGCCCTCCCAAAGTGTTGGGATTACAGGCATGAGCCACTGTGCCTGGCCCTTCAGTGCACTTCATAAGCAAAATGGGAGCTTTTGTTTATGTACTTTTTTTGTATTTTGCTGTTCCTAATTTTATTCTGAAGCTCAGTTTTACTCCAGGCCATAAATAACGTATTAACTTTGTAATGCACAGTTGTTTCCAGTTCAGCAAAGCAGTAGTTCATTATCAGGCTGTATTCACCCAGAGGTTAGGAAAACCAGGATTGGTCACACCTTTTAAAACAAATCTATCTCATGTTATTTTTCAATGTGTAGTTTCAGCCTAAATTCTGACAATGAAATTGTATGAATTCCTATCTGTGAGATGAGATATCTTGATTTTCAAAAGTAGCCAAAGGGAGTTCCTCGCAGCTTACCTTTGCTCGGCTGAAGCTGAAAACTTTGTAACTTCATATTGCCAGTGATTTTCCCTTTGCCTTGAAAGAAGGAGAACTGAGGATTCATTTTACCACTTCAATCACTAAAGCCAGTAAATCCTAGTCAGTCTTTGTGATTGTGTGGTCAGCTTTCTCATCTGAGTTAGAGTTAGAAAGCACTGATCCTTTGTGTTCTTTACCTCCACCACTAGGTGGCTTCTTTACCCCCTAGGCCATTCATTCTTCACCTTAAAGGCAAAAATACCACGGATTTTCTTCACAATCTGTCCACTTTCCTCTTCAGGCTTCCTCTAAATCTCTTTAAACACAAGATTTGCCTTAAATCCATTCCCTGTAAAGCTGGTTGGAGCAGCCTAATTTGATGAGTTCTAAAAGAACTGGCAGCTTTGAGAAAACACATCTTGTGAAGTGTTAAAACCCCAGCTTCTCTAAGGCCTAAATTATGCTGCACGCCAACCTTTGCATCAGGAGCTTGCCTCTTTCTAGCTTCCTTTCTCAGCTGCTAGCAAAGTTCAGCACACTGAACCAGCTGTTTATTGGTTTATTATAAAGGATATTATAAGGGATACAGATGAAGAGATTCATAGAGTACGGTCTGGAAGGGTCTTGAATGCAGGCACTTCTGCTGGAGGAGTTGGGGTGCACTGACCTCCCAGCACGTGGTTGCATTCACCAACCACGAAGCTCCTGAAAATCTCAGCCTTTTATTTGTTTGTTTTTTCCATAGCCCCAAATAACATGGCCAGCTTTGACTTTTTTTTCCCTTTTTTTTTTAGACAGAGTCTCGCTCTGTCATCCAGGCTGGAGTGCAGTGGCACGATCTCAGTTCACTGCATCCTCTGCTTTCCAGGTTCAAGCCCTTCTCCTGCTTCAGCCTCCTGAGTAGCTTGGAATTACAGGCGCGTGCCACCACGCCCAGCTAATTTTCTTTTTTTTGAGATGGAGTCTCGCTCTGTCACCCAGGCTGGAGTGCAGTGGCGCGGTCTAGGCTCACTGCAAGCTCCGCCTCCCGGGTTCACACCATTCTCCTGCCTCAGCCTTCCGAGTAGCTGGGACTACAGGCGCCCGCCACCACGCCTGGCTAATTTTTCGTATTTTTAGTAGAGACGGGGTTTCACCCTGTTAGCCAGGATGGTCTTGATCTCTTGACCTCGTGATCTGCCCACCTCGGCCTCCCAAAGTGCTGGGAATTACAGGCGTGAGCCATCGTGCCCGGCCCCCCCACCTTTTTTTTTTTTTAAGTAGAGATGGGGTTTTGCTATGTTGGCCAGGCTCGTCTCAAACTTCCTTACTTCAAGTGGTCTGCCTACCTCAGCCTCCCAAAGTGCGGGGATTATAGGCATGAGCCACCGAGCCCAGCCTCTTTTTCCTTTCCTTTTCTTTTTTTTTCTTTCGAGACAGGGTCTTTGTTGCTCGGGCTGGAGTGCAGCGGTGCAACCATAGCTCACTGCCGCCATGACCTCCTGGGCTCAAGCAATCCTCCTGCCTCAGCCTCCTGGACCACAGGTGTGCGCTACTGTGCTTGACTAAATTTTTTATTTTTTGTAGAGAAGAGGTCTTACTGTGTTGCCTAGGCTTGTCTCAAATTCCTAGGCTCAAGCAATCCTCCTGCTTCAGCCTCTCAAAGTGCTGGCGTTACAGGCATGAGACACTGCACTTAGCCCTATATATTTTTAAATTCACCTTACAGTGAACTTATTTTATAATAGTTTAATGAGGCAGCTGGTCCAAGTGCACTGGTGTTTACAACTAAATGATCACAACTGATTACAGATTTCTTTTTTAATATTAAAAATTTTTTTTAAACACCAGCTGACCCATGTTCAGACAAATTTTTTCTTTTTTTTTTCTTTTTTTTTTTTGATATAGGGTCTCACTCTCTGTTGCCCAGGCTGGAGTGCAGTAGTGTGATTGTGGCTACCTGCAGCTTCAGCCTCTTGAGCTCAAGTAATCCTTCCATCTCAGCATCCCAAGTGCCCAACTACAGGCATGTGTCACTATGCCCACCTAATTTTTCTATTTTTTTGTAGAGATGGGGTTTTGCCATGTCGCCCAGGCTGGTCTCAAACTCCTGGGCTCAAGCAATCTGCCGCCTCAGCCTCCCAGAGTGCAGGGATTGCAGGCTGAGCCACCATACCTGGCCCAGATAAATTTCTTTTATCCTACTCTACTGGCCTTAAAAACAAAAATAAACAGCCGGGTGTGGTGATTCACGCCTGTAATCCGAGCACTTTGGGAGGCCGAGGCAGGCGGATCACCTGAGGTTGGGAGTTCGAGACCAGGCTGACCAACATGGAGGAACCCTGTCTCTACTAAAAATACAAAATTAGCCAGGCGTGGTGGCACATGCCTGTAATCCCAGCTACTCGGGAGGCTGAGGCAGGAGAGTCGCTTGAACCCGGGAGGTGGAGGTTGCGATGGCCAAAATCATGCCATTGGACTCTAGCCTGGGTAACAAGAGCAAAACTCTGTCTCAAAAACAAAAACTAAAACAAGCAAACAAAAAAACAGCTCTCTCTCTCTACATATAGATATATATGAGTCTTTTGTCTTTTAAGGAAATCAAGTAGAAAAAAGCTAGTTTTTAGCATTTAACTATTTATTTACCATTTTTGGTGTTTTCATTTCTTCCTGTAGGTCCAAATGACAGGTCTACTGTTGAAAAATTTTCTGAGCTTTCATTTATCTGAATGTTTTTATTTCAGCCTTTCAGCCTTGTTTTTGAATGATATATTTTGCCAGTTTGACAGTTTTTTCTTTTTGGTCTTTTAAAGATGTCATTGTATCGTCTCCTGGCTTTCAGTGTTGCTGATGAAAAGTCGACAGTAATCATATCGTTCTTGCCTCATATATGATTAATTATATTTCTCTGGCTGTTTTCAGGATTTTTTTTTTTTAATTTTAGTATTCAGCTGTATGACGATGATATGCCTAGCTTTAGTTTTGAGTTTGCTCAGCTTCTTGCATCTTTTACTGTATTAGGGAAATTTTAAATTACTTTTAATAGTTTCTCTGTTTAATCCTCTCGTTCTGGAACTCCACCAACATAGTTTACCCCATGTGACATTCTACAGGTTACCAAAGCTCTGACCACCTTTTTCCAATCTTTTTTCCTCCATTTCAGTTTTGATAGTTTCTATTGTCATAGCGTCAAGTTCACTGACTCTGTCTTTTGTCTTCAATCTGCTGTTAAACCCATTTAGTGAATATTTTATTTCTGATACTGTATTTCTTATTTCTGTAATTTTCACCTGGTTTTTATTTTATTTTATTTTATTTTATTTTTGAGATGGAGTCTCGCTCTGTTGCCCAGGCTGGAGTGCAGTGGTGCGATCTCGGCTCACTGCAAGCTCTGCCTCCCAGGTTTACGCCATTCTCCTGCCTCAGCCTCCCGAGTAGCTGGGACCACAGGTGCCCGTCATGCGCCCGGCTAATTTTTTGTATTTTTAGTAGAGACGGGGTTTCACTATGTTAGCCAGGATGGTCTTGATCTCCTGACCTAGTGATCCGCCTGCCTCAGCCTCCCAAAGTGCTGGGATTACAGGTGTGAGCCACTGCACCTGGCCTCCTCCTGGTTATTTTTTATAGTTTCCATTTCTCTGCTGAGATTTCCCCATCTCTTCACTATACTTTCCTCTGAATCGTGAAACATCTCTATAATGAATGGCTCCTTTAACTTTTTTGTTTGTTTATTCTAATATCTAGATCATATTGGAATCTGTTTCTTTTTTTCTTTTTTTTCTGAGTCTGCTTGCCAGGGAATGGGATCTTTTTCTTTTTCTTTTTTTTTGAGGCGGAGTCTCGCTCTTTTGCCCAGGCCAGAGTGCAGTGGCGCAATCTTGGCTCACTGCAAGCTCCGCCTCCCGGGTTCACGCCATTCTCCTGCCTCAGCCTCCCAAGTAGCTGGGACAACAGGCGCCCACCACCACGCCCGGCTAATTTTTTGTATTTTTAGTAGAGACGGGGTTTCACTGTGTTAGCCAGGATGGTCTCGATCTCCTGACCTCGTGATCTGCCTGCCTCGGCCTCCCAAAGTACTGGGATTACAGGCGTGAGCCACCGTGCCCAGGCTTGACTTTTTCTTTTCTTTTCCTATCACATTTTCCTATCTTTTCTCATGGCATGTGGGTTTTAAAAAATAATTAATTTTTTGGTCTGTCACGGGTTTTTTTGTTTGTTTTTGTTTGAGACAGAGTCTTGCTATGTCACCCAGTCTAGAGTATAGTGGCGTGATCTTGGCTCACTGCAACCTCCGCCTCCCAGGTTCAATCGATTCTCCTTCCTCAGCCTCCTGAGTAGCTGGGACTACAGGTGCGCACCACCATGCCTGGCTAATTTTTTTTTTTTTATTTTGAGACGGAGTCTCACTCTCTCGCCAGGCTGGAGTGCAGTGGTGCTGTCTCAACTCACTGCAACCTCTGTCTCCTGGGTTCAGGTGATTCTCCTGCCTCAGCTTCCCAAGTAGCTGGGACTACAGGCGCGCACCACCATGCCCAGCTAATTTTTTTTTTTTTTTTGTATTTTTAGTAGAGACAGGGTTTCACCATGTTGGCCAGGATGGTCTCAATCTCTTGACCTTGTGATCCACCCGCCTTGGCCTCCCAAAGTGCTGGGATTACAGACGTGAGCCACCGTGCCCAGCCTAATTTTTATATTTTTAGTAGAGGTGGGGTTTCATCACGTTGGCCAGGCTGGTCTCGAACTCCTGACCTCAAGTGATCCACCTATCTTGGCCTCCCAAAGGGCTGGGATTATAGGCGTGAGCCACTGTGCCCGGCCATTTTTTTTTTTTTGAGATGGAATCTCACTCTGTTGCCCAGGCTGGAGTTCAGTAGCATGATCTCAGCTCACTGCAACCTCTGCTTCCTGGGTTCAGGTGATTCTTCTGCCTCAGCCTCCCAAGTTGGGATTACAGGTGCATGCCACCATGCCTGGCTAATTTTTGTATTTTTAGCAGAGATGTGGTTTCACCATGTTGGCTAGGCTGGTCTCGAACTCCTGACCTCAAGTGATCCACTCACCTCAGCCTCCCACAGTGCTAGGATTATAAGAAGTGAACCACCATGCCCGGCCAACCGTGAGTTTTTTTGAAATTGCATACTAGGCCAGGCGTAGTGGCTCATGCCTGTAGTCCCAACACTTTGGGAGGCCAAGGCGGGTGGATCACGAGGTCAGGAGATAAAGACCATCCTGGCTAACACAGAAACCCTGTCTCTACTAAAAATGTGAAAAATTAGCCAGGCGTGGTGGCGTGCGCCTGTAGTCCCAGCTACTTGGGAGGCTGAGGCAGGAGAATGGCATGAACCCGGGATGCAGAGGTTGCAGTGAGCTGAGATCGCGCCACTGCGCTCCAGCCTGTGAGACAGAGCAAGATTCCGTCTCAAAAAAAAAAAATGAAATCACATACCAGACATTGTGAATGATGTGTTGTAGAGTGTCTGGATTATGTTTTTTCTTTTTTTTTTTAAAGCGCAGTGGGCCAGGCGCGGTGGTTCACACCTCTAATCCTAGTATTTTGGGAGGCTGAGACGGGAGGATTGCTTGAGCCCAGAAGTTCAAACCCAGACTGAGCAACATGGCAAGATCCCATCTCTACAAAGAAAAAAAAAAAAAAAAAAAAAAAGCCAGGCTTGGTGGCACATGTCCCCTAGCAATTCAGGAGGCTGAGGCAGGAGGATTGCTTGAGCCTGGGAGATCAAGGCTGCAGTGAGCTGTGATCACAGCACTGCATTCCAGTCTGGAAGACATCAAGACTCTGTTTCAATAAACAAAACAGAATAAAAAATAGTGTTGACTTTTGTTCTGGAAAACTGTTAATGTACTGCCAACTTCTTTGTTCCTGTTAAGGCTTGTCTTAAAGCTTTGTTGAGGCAGATCTAGACTGGTCTTTAATCTAGGACATCCTTTCTCCAATGGGATTTCTCATCTGATTTACAGAAAATAATTTGAATTACTATTATATTTTATTATTTTCTTCTTTTCCCAGAACAGTCTCATGGTAGGCATGAGTTATTATTTTCTAAGTTCTCTAAGGATGGTTATACTAATACTATACTATTAATAGATAAGTGAGAGAAGGGAATGCATTGCATACAGTGGCTGCTTTAATGCATTAGTACTTAATTCTCATGCTACATCCCTGGTAGAGAAAGGCTACTCTAGGGTATCGTTTTTATCTCTAATGGTGATCTTTCTGGTGTCTGAGGTGAATGTATTTGGGTATTAATGAGGTCTTTCCATTAGGATGCACCTGAACTCTATTGTCATATGGTGTTTTATGACTTTTAGCATCTTCCTTCTGCCTTCATGGCTTTAGCAGCTGTTCTCTTTTAAGCCTTATATTCTGGACATATGCAACCCATACTTAGGCCAAGGTATCATGGGGTATTTCCACCAGGCCTGTGAGGTACCCCTCTACACAGTTCCTTTTTAGAACTATGCTCCTAAAGATTCCCTACCTCTGCAGCCTAGTTGGATTGCTGTACCCTGTTTGGCCTTCACCTCCCTTTCCTTGGTTAGGAAATTGAGCCCAGGCAGAGAGCCAAGGTAAACATGGGCACATCTTGTCTGTTTTCCTTCTCTCCGTGATTGTAGTCTTGCTCTCACTATTGTCCTTTGCTTGAAAATAATTGATGCATATATTTTGTCAGTGTTAAAAGTCATTCGTGGTGGAGTTGGATATGTAGGACCTGTCCATAATGAGTTACTTTGCCAAGGCCAGAAGTGGAAATTATGGGATTTATTTTGTGATCATGGAATTTGGCCTGTTACTGGTTCTTACCTATGAAATCATTGACTAGTTTCAATATATTTCTTTGAGAAAGTTTTAAATTGTTCTGAGTTATATTACCAATTAAGTAAAATATGAGGTAGCACTGTTTTAGAATTAAATGCCTGAAGCCTATTGATATTTCTTTTAGGACATTTAATTTAGTGTTTATAGCCAATCATTTTTTGTGGAGGTAACATTTGTTAACTTTTGAGGAAATGTTTAAATAACAGTATGATCTTTTAAGGCAGAAATAAGATTATCTTTGAAAACTTCTGTATTGATAATAAGTTTTGTGAAGAAAAACAAAAGAATGGGAAAGAAGGGCAACCTGTACATTAAAAGATGTTAATGTCATATCAGGTTTTAAAAATATGGGCAAGGCTAAACTGTATCATCTAAGAATACACACTTGGGTCATAAACAATAAGGAAATACAAGAAAGTGATTGCTTTACAAGTCATATTAGTGGTTAAGTTCTTTTGAAGGGAGGAAGGGGGCATGAAGTACTTCCTTTGTTTTATGTGATATTCTCTCTCTCTTTTTTGCAATTAAAAAGCTTTATTTTTGTGCTTTTAATAAAAACTTGTAGATCACTGACGTGTAGATGGGAAACATTGGCTGTTTGTTTCCTCTCCTACGATGTGTCTGCGTGATCAGACGTCTTCAGACACAAACTTATGCCCTCAGTCTTCCTAATGACTTTAGGATGGATTGAGCCTTAAGCCTTAAACATCTCCCTCTTAATGGAAGTAATCTGGTAGTAAACTGAGGACAGGGATTTTTGGGGCTGAGAAAAATGTGAGGAAATGTGCCTTAATATATAGAAGTTTGTCAGGATAAACTTGGCCTGCTTCAAAATTTCACTTAGTTGTTTCTCTATAGTCTTCTCTCCATGCTACTTGAAATATATTAGAACAATGATGTCAGAGGTTTAACCTGTTACGAATACTTAATTTTTTAAAAGTTAATACCAGTGAGCTTAGTCATAGGTTTGATCTGCTTTCATGTTTGTTGACTTTATTTTTTTCTGTCCTCTGTAAATCCAGCTTCCATTGCTGATTCATGCTATTGGTAATGAGAATCAAGAAGCTCAGTAAAAATCTTTCATCCTTATTTTTAAAAAGCCGAAGGTTTAAGTAACTTGCCTATTGGCAAAGACATATTAAGTAGAGAGCAGTATGTTATTCCTAAGAGTTTCATTTTAATGCTTACTGCATTTAAAAAAAAATGCTTGTTTTATGAGAGAAAATTACCATAGGGTTTTTTGTTGTTAACAGAATAAATTTAAACGGGAAGAGAAAACAAATGGATGGAGAATAGACAAAGCATTCCGTAAGTATTAAGACCTCTTTTACAAAGTATTACTTGAAGAGCCTAAAAAATGACCAGTCTTTTGTCTTTGGCTTTAGTGTGTTTTAGATTTGTTTTGTTCCTGTATTGGCATTAAGAGGAAGCAGTCTGAAATTTTTCTGTTTAGCAGTATGGGTCTGGCACTTGCTACAAATATATTGGCAGGAGATTATCCAGAACATCTAGGTGCAGGTAAACAGTTCTAAGTCCAAGAAGTTATGGAGGGATTGATGCTACCACTTCTAAGTGTTATTTATTCTGAAGGAACTGTATGGGAGGAGATCATTGTTTCTGGAAGACAGTACTATTAGTTATATAGATGGTTCTTTCTGGTTCTGAATGACTAATCAGTCATTCAGTCAATAACACTGACCACCTACTATATGGTAGTCATTGTTCTAGGTATTGAGCATGTAATGGTGGAAGATAAATGGCAGATGAGAATCCTGCATTTAGAACCTTAAGTCTGATTGGATGGGGGAAGAAATATAGTTGATAAGCATAATTTTAGGTAGTGATTCATTTCCAAAAAGAAGAAAAAAGAGAGGGTGGATGTTTAGGTCTCTTTTTTCCTAATGATCATTGGATCATTAGGGAAGTTCTGTCTGAAGAGATACACTAGCATTTGAATTTAGATCTCATCTGAAGGAATGATAGATATCTTGCAATTTCTAACTAAAATCCTCATTAAAATTAACATATTTTTCTTCAAGTCTAGAGAAAGATATCAAAGGATCTATAAAGAAAAATACATTTACTGTTAAAAATAGTTCTTGTATTTTTTGATTACAAGATAGGTCTTTTTTTCACCACAGCTGTGGACAGGAATATATTTTTTGTGGATTTATAATTATCAGTATTTTATGATTAATAAATGTATTCAATGTCTATTTAGTCGTAAGATTAGCCATAGTGCTAATTTTAGAAAAAAAAAATCCAAATGTAGAGAGTACCTACATTATGTAGCATGTATATTTATTTTATGAGTAGACACTAAGGTAGGTGGGTGGATCCTACACCCAGTGTTTTATCGGGTCTTTAGGGAAACTGCTTTGAGGAATGGCTCTTAGAAGATCTGGAATATTGTGCTCCTCAGCCCATTCCATATTAGAGAAGTGGTCCTGAAACTTCATTAAGTGTAACACATTATAGTCAGAAAATAATTCGTAAATCTATAAACAGTCTATTTGGATTGTGAAGCATTTTTATAGACTATTATAATAGATATTTTTAAAATTTATTGATCTTAAACAGGATACAGTGTTGTATGCCTATAGGCCCAGCTACTCTCAGGAGTCGCTGAGGCAGGAGGATCTTTTCAGCCGAAGAATTCGAGGCCAGCCTGGGCAACACAGCAAGATCCTATCTCAAAACTAGAAACAACTCATTGATTTGGAGGCTTTCTATTGGAAATTTTTTTTTTAAATTAAAACCTATATAAGTTTTTTGAGAGAACTTATGTTTTGAATTTCTCTGAGAACCATGTGGAGATCCTTTATGATTCTTTGAGTGCTATGTCTTTCAGAATCATTGTGGAGAGTCAGAACAAATGAAGTCTGGGTCAACAGTGAAATAGGGTCTTCAGGAATCCCAGATTTGGGTTTAGTTTCCAGAGATTCTTTTTATTTTAGTATATACCTTCTTTTCTGAGGCTATCTTGTAATCAAACCAGTCTTCGGCTTATGTGCATAGAGCACCATTTTCTCTACATTGACTTTAAGTTCAAGCAAGGATTTGCCTCCTGGTCTGGATTCATTCCTGGAGTGTTCACTGATTACTTTCAGATATAATGCTGTTGATAGGTATTTAGTGGGCATGTTCCTGATTAAATTCATTTACTTCCCACTTTGCTGATACTTATAAGAGTAAATGGTGAAATGGTTGTGATAAAGGTAGGGCATATGGTGGTGAACAGGCATTTCAAGGACTTCTCAGTCCATAAAAAAATTGATTTATATTTATACACAGCTCAAAGTGTAGTTCAAGTTTTGACAAAGAATATGCCTGTGTAACCACTACCCCAAACAATAGAGGAAATGTTTTCATCACTTCACAAGGTCTATTATGTCCCTTTCTGAACAATCAAATGCTGTCCTCCTGGCCCAAGGCAACCACTATTTTCATTTTAATCACCATAGATAGCTTAGTGTGTTCTAGAATATCTTATACATGGTATCATATAGTATGTACCCTAGTATCTGTTTTCTTCCACTCAGTATGTTTTTGAGATTCCCTCATATTATTGCATGTATCAGTAGTTTGTTCCTTTTGTTTTGTTTAAAACTAGTTTATTTGCAATAAACAAATTATTACAAATTTGTAATAAATTATTATTTGTAATAAACTAGTTTATTTGTTTCGTTGCTGAGTGGTGTTCTGATGTGAACTAATCTATTTCCCTGCTAAGACCAACCTATTCTGTTGCTGAGTGGTGTTCTGTTGTGTATTTGTTTTTCTGTTCTCCTACTGATAAACAAACCCATTTGCTTTTGATGTTATGATACTTTAAAAGCTAGAAGTAGCTTTTAAAAATAAAAACTTGAAAGTTCTTTTCCTTTTCTTTAAACAGAGGAAAAGCGCCCTTTTGACTTCGATTTTTTTGCTCATTTGCTTCAGAAAGTTCTTGCTGAAGAAGAGAAAAGAAAACAAAAATCTGTTAAAAATCACAGTTTAAAGGAGAAGAAATCCACCAAACCACGGAAAAATGTAAAAGGTATTGATTTTAAAAGGAAGTGTGATAGTTTACTTAGTAGTAATAAACTTGCAATATTGTCCCTCAGGCCTTTGAGAGTTCATGTGTAGCTCAGGTAGTTAAGATCATCAAAGCATCCAGTTGGAGGGAGTATATGTTTTTTCAATCAACTAGTTATCTGGTCCAAAACAATAGCTTTCTTTTAAAATTTTTAACTGGCGTGATTGGGTTATTTGATATCTCTCTAGCATAGAGGATAGTTGTAGCCAGTCAAAGAGCATCAGAATTTGGAGTGTTGTATTTCATGTTTGATTATTTATTATCATTTTCCTCTGTAAAACAAATCTGGTATAAAATTCTAGGATTAAAAAAAGGAACTCTAATCTTCTGGGGTTGTGACTAGACTGTATTGGTTGAGCGTAACTTATTTCTGAAGGCTAATGTTGAGTTGTAACAGGTAGAAATTGTATATATGTAGGTATTTTTATTTTTAGGCTTATGTTTTCTTAACTATTTGAACTCTGGTCTATAAGGACAATGTTTAGCTATAATCACATAAAGAAGACGCTCGGAACTATAGGGAACCTTATATGTTAGCTAGCTTACATTTTAGCCCCCTTTGTGTTGTTTTTTTCTTTTTTTCTGTTTTTTTTGAGACAGAGTTTCGCTCTGTTGCCCAGGCTGGAGTGCAGTGGCACGATCTCGACTCACTGCAAGCTCCGCCTTCCGGGTTCACGCCATTCTCCTGCCTCAGCCTCCCGAGTAGCTGGGATTACAGGTGCCCGTCACCACACCCGGCTAATTTTTTTTGTATTTTTAGTAGAGACGGGGTTTCACCATGTTAGCCAGGATGGTCTTGATCTCTTGACCTCATGATATGCCTGCCTCGGCCTCCCAAAGTGCTGGGATTACAGGCGTGAGCCACCGTGCCCGGCCCTTTGTATTGGTTTTAATCACCAAGAAACAGCCCCAGAGATCGTAAGACACTTTTTCCTAAGGACTCACAGTGTGTGTAGTGGCAGAGGCAGAACTGAAACCTGGGATGGTGAGAGCCTGTGTTGGGGGTCCCCACGACCACCACCGGGGTTCGATTATCCACTAGGAAGACTAAGGATTCAGCATCCTCTGCCTGGAACATACAAAAATTTCGGATTTTCAAAAGAAAAGCAGTTCAGCATAAACCACATTGTACAGCTAAGGCACAGTGAGCCACTCTTATCAGTTAGGGTGGTAGGAACCCTTCCCAGAACCAAATTCTGAGACATGGCCCAAGGGCCAACCTTATAAGAAGGATTTTCAAAGGATAGCAGTCAAGCCTGCAAAATTAACTCTTTACTGTTCAAAGCTAGGCTAGAATTTCTTCTTCTGGGGCATATCTTTTAAAAAGTAGTATTGATAACTACAAAATACCTTTATTCTTAGTAGTCTTTTTTTTTTACTTACACATAATCGTAGAAGATTATGTATCTTCTTGTATGTTACAGGTGATAACATGAGTAACTCACTGTATCTTACTTAATGTAAGAACTTTTTTTTTGAGACAGGGTCTCACTTTGTTGCCCAGGCTGGAGTGCAGTGGCCTGATCTCGGCTCACTGAATCCTTCACTGCTCGAGTTCAAGCAGTTCTTTCACCTCAGCCTCCTGAGTAGCTGGAATTACAGGCATGTGCCACCATGCCCAGCTAATTTTTGTAATTTTTTTGTAGAGATGGGATTTTATCATATTGGCCAGACTGGTCTTAAACCCCTGACCTCAAATGATCGCCCACCTTGGCCTCCCAAAGTACTGGGATTGCAGGTGTGAGCCACCACGCCCAGCCAGAACTTTTTTTTTTTTTTGAGACGGAGTTTTGCTCTTGTTGCCCAGGCTGGAGTGCCATGGTGCCATCTCAGCTCACTGCAGCCTCCACCTCTCCAGTTGAAGCGATTCTCCTGCCTCAGCTTCCCAAGTAGCTGGGATTACAGGCAAGTACCACCACACCCAGCTAATTTTTGTATTTTTAGTAGAGACGGGGTTTCACCATGTTGGCCAGCCTGGTCTTGAGCTCCTGACCTCAAGTGATCTGCCTGTGTCAGCCTCCCAAAGTGCTAGGATTACAGGCGTGAGCCACCATGCCCAGCCCAGAGTTTTGCTCTTGTTGCCCAGGCTGGAGTGCAATGGTGCGATCTTGGCTCACTGCAACCTCCGCCTCCCGTGTTCAAGTGATTCTCCTGCCTCAGCCTCCCGAGCAGCTGGGATTACAGGCGCCTGCCACCATGTCCAGCTAATTTCTGTATTTTTGGTAGAGATGGGGTTTCACCATGTTGGCCAGGCTGGTCTCGAACTGCTGACCTCAGATGATCCACCCTCCTCAGCCTCCCAAAGTGCTGGGATTACAGGTGTGAGCCACCATGCCCAGCCTGTATTAAATGCATTTTCAATTTACAGTATACTCAACTTATGATGGGTTTATTGGGATGAAACCCAGTGTAAGTCAAGGAGCATCTCTATATGTAACTGTTTTTGTTTAATAAAAATGAGATTTTATGTGTATCTTGTTCTGCTTGGTTTTTTAAATGCAACAATATGCTTTGAAATTTTTCACATGACTACATATAATCTTACCTCATTATTATTATTGGCTCCGTGGATTTTTATATATTATTTAGTCATTTCCCATTAGACATTTTAGGTTGTCTTTAGGTTTTTTGTTCATACAAATAAATAATACAGAGGACATCTTTGAGTCTCTTTCCCACCTTTACAAATTTTTCTTTAGGTTGTTTAAATATTTATAGTAATTTCTCTTGTTTTCAGTGAAAAAAGTTGCCTGTGAAGGAGTGAATAATGATCCAGATGAGTCTATGAGTTCTAGAATTTCAGACACGGAAAGATCTCAGAAGGATGCTCAGACAGTTGAAGAAGAGTCTCTGACCTTATCAAGGGAGGATGCAGAGCAGGTTGCATTAGAAGTAGACCTAAATCAAAAGAAAAGAAGGAGGAAGAAGCAAGATGGAGCTAATGAACTGGGAGTAAACAATCTTTTAGAAAATGCCACTGTTCAGGCGGGTCCTTCTAAAGGAGAAAAACACAAGAGTAAGTTTCTTACATATTTAAAAAGCCTCTATATTACTTGAGAAGACATGTACAGTAATATGGTATGTAACTTAATTTTCTGTCTAGATAGCAATTAATGATGCTTATTAATTGGTTCTGTACTAATGGTACTGTGCTAACGCTGTTTATTTTTAATTAAAAAAGTTTATGTAAAAAAATTAAACAAATTAAAGTGGGGAGATTGTTCTCTAAAGTTTGTTTCTAAGATGTATCACCTCCTGTGCATTCCCATTAACTATGATTAGAAATCACATCTATATAGAGTTAAAAGTATGTTGCTATGTCTGTCAATAAAGCACAGATTTTCATGTTGTACCTCTACAGAGCACCTCTGTGAACCCACAAGGGGTTAGTTCCTATAAAAGAACTAGTGGAATATGTATTCCTTCCCTTTTTCTTTTTTACTCTTTGAATGCAAACATATTGCCACTTATGAGTTGCTTGGGGATGAGGGCTAAGAGTTTGAGGGGGAGTCTTGGTCCCTTTCCTTAAGAGTTCATATGTAGATTATTTAAAGCTGATAACCAAGGAAAAGGTAGGAGCAGACCAGAACAACCTTTCTATAAAATTTATGTTTTCTGTAGTTCAGATTTACCCATCTGATTTTAATAAAAGAGTACTGGTAGCTAACATAGTATGCTTTGTAGGCATCTCAATATTATGCTCTTTTTTGGCTTATTGGAGTCATTACGTATAATGCAGAACAGCTTAATGATTCACAACCAGGTTTTAGAAATCAAACAGACCTTGCTTTAAATTCCAGCTTTTTTACTTGCTTAAGTATTGCATTGGGAAAGTTACTTAAGATCTCTGAACTCAGGGGGTTCTCTATGAGGTTAATGTTAATATATTTTAATAGGATTGTTTCAAGTATTAAATGAGATAATGCATCTGATGGACTTAAGGGTTCCTGCCGCTTAGTAAGTACTTAATAAATGATAGCTATTACTGTGTTACTAATTAGTATACTTCTGAAGGAGCAAAAGAATAGTTAAGTCAACTTTTAGTTTCCCTACTTGACATATAAAATAAGCCACTTTAAATACTTAGAATTTAAGATAAAAGGAAGATGCTACAAATTGCCCAAGAAGCTTGAGCTGATCCTCATATATGTTAAGTTTTTATTATGGTCTAAAAATAAGATGTGTGCCTTGCAAATAGGGACTTGAATGTTGCTTAAGGTTTTGTAGGAAAAGACAGTGTTATAGGTAAATTCCTTTGTGCTCTAAAAAAGATGTTTTTGCTGTCATTTTTTAGAATAACATGCATTTTGTATTTGTAGATAAATGTCAGGCTATAAGGCCTGAGCTAAAGGAAGGTGAATGCAGTAAGGAGCAGATGCTTTCCTGCACACAAAACATAGATGGCATTGTGGGTTTTGCCTCCACTGAAAAAGTTGAGAAAAGAACTGACCCCATCCTTTCATTAAGGTATTTTCTGTGTCTTTTCTGGTTTTATCCACATCTGTTGATTACTGAGAAAGGAGTGTTGAAGTCTCCATCTGTAACTGTGGATTTGCCTGTTTCTTTTTTTCAGTTCTATTTGTTTTTGCTCCATATATTTTGAAGCTCTGTTGTTAGGTGTGTACATATCTAGGATTGTTTTGTCTTGGTGAAATTCCCTTTATCATTATGTACTATCCTTCTGGTATTGCTCTTTTTTTCTGATGTTTACTTTGCTATTGTAGCTTTCTTTTGGTTGGCGTTTGCATGGGTTTATCATTTTCTGTAATGATTTTCTCTATTTTTGGTTTTCGTTAGTTTGAATGTGATGTGTCTTGCTGTGTGTGTGTGTGTTTTTAAATTTTATTTTGTAATATAAAATCATGAGATTTACCCTCAATAGATTTTTTATGTGTACTATACAGTGTTGTTAACTATAAGCACAGTGTTGTATTGCTGATCTCTGGAATTTTTTTTTACCTTGCATAACTGCACCTCTATACCTATTGAACAGCAACTCCTATTTCCTCCGCCTCCCAGCCCTTGGCAATCATGATTCTTTCTTTGTTTTGTTTTGTTTTGTTTTGTTTTTGAGATGGGGTCGGTCTCTGTCACCCAGGCTGGAGTGCAGTGGCACGATCTCAGCTCACTGCAACTTCCACCTCCCAGGCTCAAGCAATCCTCCCATCTCAGCCTCCTGAGAAGCTGGGACCACAGGCATGTACCACCGTACCTGGATAATTTCTTGTATTTTTGGTAGAGACAGGGTTTCACCATTTTGCTCAGGCTGGTCTTGAACTGAGCTCAGGTGATCCACCTGCCCTGGCCTCCCAAAGTGCTGGGATTACAGGTGTGAGTCACAGCGCCCAGCCTCATGCAGTATTTTTCTTTCTGTGACTGGCTTATTTCACTTAATGTAATGTCCTCAAGGTTCATCCATGGTGTAGCATATGAGAAGATTTCCTTTTTTATGAGCAAATAATATTCTAGTACATGTATAGACCACATTTTCTTTATGGACATTTAGGTTGTTTTTGTCTGTTGGCATCACTGAACATGGGAGTGCAAATATCTCTTTGAGATCCTGATTTCAGTTCTTGTGGATAAATACCCAGAAGTGGGGTTGCTAGATCATATGGTAGTTCTACTTTTAATTTTTTGAGGACCCTCCATACTGTTTCCAATAGCGGGTACACCATTTTACATAACCACCAACAATGTACAGGGTTCCAGTTTTTTTCACATCTTCTTCAATACTTGTTATCTTTTATTTTATTAATAATGTCCTTCTGAACAGGTAGAAGGTGGTTTCTTATGGTTGTTTTGATTTGCATTTCCCGGATAATTATTGAGTTGAGCATCTTTCATAGCTGTTAGCCATTTGTATATCTTCTTTGGAGACATGTCTATTCAGGTCCTGTGCCCAATTTTTTAATTAGGTTATTTTCTTTTTTGCTATTGAGTTTTGAGAATTATTTATATAGTTTGGATTTTAGGACCTTATCAGAAATATGATTTACACATTTTCTCCCATTCCATAGGTTGCCTTTTCACTCTGCTGTTTCCTTTGGCGTACAGAAGTTTTTTAGTTCAATGTAGTCCCATTTGTCTAATTTTGCTTTTGTTGCCTATACTTTTGGTGTCATATCTAAGAAACTATTGCCAAAAACAAACTTAAAGCTGTTTACTATTTTTAAGCATACAATTTAGTGGCATTATTTACATTTACATTGTTGTGCAGCCATCAGCACTATTTCTAAAGCTATTTTATCACTGGAAACAGAAAACCTGTACCCATTATGCAGTAATTCCTCATTCTCCCCTCCCTGCAACCACTGATAATCTCTAATCTGCTTTCTGTTTCTCATCCAAGTATTAATCAGGACCAGACTTGCTTAGTTTGAGATCAAATTAGGCTCATTGAGAGCGGTAAGGATGTAGACAACTTTCTGTCTCTATGACTCTGTCTAATCTAGATATTCACATAAGTGGAATCATATGCTATTTCTCATAGTTGTTTGTTCCTAGGTGACAGATAATCTAAAGTGTGAGTTCAGAGATACACCTAATTTCATAAACTACACAAAACTGTACTCGTGACTTTTTCTAATTTTTAAAATAATTAAAAAATGTTGTGACAGGGTCTTACTCTGTTGCTCAGGCTAGAGTGTAGTAGCGTGATCACAGCTCACCACAACCTTGAACTCTTGGGCTCAAATGATTCTATCACCTCAGCATCTCGAGTAGCTGGGACTACAGTCATGGGACACCATGACTGGCTAATTTTAAAAACATTTTTTAGTAGAGATGTTTTCCAGGCTGGTCTCAAACTCCTGGGCTCAAGCAATCCTCGCACCTCAGCATGAGCCACTGTGTCTGGCCCTAGCTTTTTCTAATTTAGGGGAAAAACAACCTTGTAATGACTGTTAAAGTCCCAGTTGGTTTTGGAAAACAAAGAGTTGATTCTAAAATTGTCATGTACACAAGAACAAAGGCTCAAGAATGGTAAAGACAGTTTTAAAAAACACCAACTTTGCAGAGGGACTGTGCTAGTAGACTAATTTTCGAGCTAGAGTAACTAAAGCAGCATGGTATTGGTGTAGGGTTAGATGAATTGACTCAGTGGAACTGAATATAGAGTTTAGGAAGAGACATTTAGGAATCTGTTATATGGCAGAGGTAGCTTTAGAAATTAGCGGGCAAAGATAGAACTAACTTCATTAGATTGAGCTGAGATTTGAAAAACATAATATTTGATCCTTGTGTTACCATATCCGCTAACTTCCTGATGGATTGAAGACTACATGTATAAAACAAATCTTTACAACTTTTAGAAGAAATGTAGAAAAATATCTTTGTAATGTGAAGGCCTCAGGTAAGACATTTCTATTAAGATGTAGAAAACACAGACTTTAAAAGATAAGATTGATAAGTTTGATGGTAGTAAAATTAAATACTTCTGTTAACAAATCCTCCATAAAGAAAATAAAAGGCAAGTTACTGATCGGGAGATTTTATGTGTAATATCTAGACAATAAAAATATATAGAGAACTCTTGCTGATAAGTCAGGAAAACATAAACACCTAGTAGAAAAAATGAACAAGAAAAAAAGAAAAAGGTATGGCTAAATGTGAATATGTGTTGAAATGGTCAGTGCGTGGCTATCAGTTATATTATTGTTAGTTGAAATTTATTTTGTGACAGAGTCTTGCTCTATCGCCCAGGCTGGAATGCAGTGGTGCAATCTCAGCTCACTGCAGCCTTGACTTCCTGGGCTTAAGCAATCCTCTCACCTCAGTCTTCTGAGTAGCTAGGACTACAGGCACGTGCTACCACACCTGGCTGATATTTGAAATATTTTTTAATATAGTAGTTCTCACTTTGCGTAGGACTATGTTAACTCAACTTGAGCTTATTGGAGCTGTATCTTTGCTTTATTTGACTTTTGGTTACACAGTACCCTGCATAGCAAGGATTGCCTATATAAATTTTAATGAAAGCTAATTCCTAAATATTAGTATTATTTTACGCATGTTTGATTTGTGAACCACATTTAATAATTTCTCATTTTGAAGCCTTTTCTTTTTTTGAAACAGAGCTTTGCTCTGTCACCCAGTCTGGAGTGCAGTGGTGTGATTCCACCTCCCGGGTTCAAGTGATTCTTTTGCCTCAGCCTCCTGAGTAGGTGGGATTATAGGCCTGCACCACCATGCCCAGCTAGTTTTTGTATTTTTAGTAGAGATGGGATTTAACCATGTTGGCCAGGATGTTCCAAACTCCTGGCCTCAAGTGATCTGCCCGCCCTGGCTTCCCAAAGTGCTGGGATTACAGGCGTGAGCCACCTTGTCCGGCCTTCATTTTGAAACTTCTTGAGCATGTTCCTAAGCGTGTAAATTTGTGGCTGCTGCTTTCTCTGGAGGTACAGTTTTTATAACATGATGCAAGATGGATCATAGAAAAGCTAATGTAGCAGTTTGTATTACTCTATAATGTGAAGCAGCATCTTGCAAAATGGTGATTTTGTGTGTTTAACATTTTTAAAAATAATTATAAAATATATATCATTAGGAATTCTTTTCTCTCTGAAATATTTTCTTTTTTTTAGTAATCAACAAGATGCCACATCAGTAGCAACTGAGTCTTCAGAATCAAGCACTTCAGATTTGCCTTCATTCGAAGTTGGAATTAGAGCATTGTGTGAGGTGAATAATGCTGAGGGTAGTTGTATAGAAGAAAGAAATGTTGACCTAAAAAATAATTCACTGTAAGTATTTTATACGATAGGATTTATTTATAAAATTTTGATAAGGTTCTTAAATGATAATAATGTTGCTTCATTTAGGGATTCGAGGGGATTATTAATACATACTTTATTAATAGTAGAGGGAATCATTTAATATGTAATTATACTGTAGTCTGTTCAGAGTGTAACATCAGGTGTTTTACTTTATATTTCTTTGCAGAAAGATTCTCTTTCATATCTGTTATATAATAATGATATGAATTTTAGGAAGGTGGTAACTTACGAAATTCTAAAACAATTTGGAAGCCTAAATATTTGCCATGAGATTTTACTTTTACTTGGTTTGAGTTATTTTTTATGCCTGGTGTCAAAATAATATTTTGATATTGGTGATTTCAAGGAAGTATATCTTCCAGTATGCAGATACTGGTTAAATTAGTATCTTCCCAAGAAACGATTAAAAACATCATAAAAATCTCCCTTTGAAGAGGTATCTGAAAGTTTTATACTTCCTTTTAGTCTTCCTTGTAATTCCTCATCTCATATGGGCTTAAAAGCTATTAATAGTTTATGGGCTGGGCGCAGTGGCTCACACCTGTAATCCCAGCACTTTGGGAGGCCGAGGCGGGCGGATCAGGAGGTCAGGAGATTGAGACCATCCTGGCTAACACAGTGAAACGCTGTCTCTGCTAAAAATACAAAAAATTAGCCGGGTGTGGTGGCATGCACCTGTAGTCCCAGCTACTTGGGAGGCTGAGGCAGGAGAATGGCGTGAACCTGGGAGGTAGAACCTGCAGTGAGCTGAGATCATGCCACTGCACTCCAGCCTGGGCGACAGAGCGAGACTCCATTTCAAAAAAAAAAAAAAAAAAGAAAGCTATTCAGTTCATAAATTCTTATTTTTCAGTAAAGTACTGTCACAATGGAAATCAAACTTAAAAATGTCAGTCTTTGAAATAGACAATACATTCATAGGGTTCAAACATCGAAAAGTATAAAAAGGTATGATTGAGCTCTCCCTCACACACACATACACATTTAAACATTTATGAATTTTTTTTTTTTTTTTTTTTTGAGACAGGGTTGCACTCTGTTGCCCAGGCAGGAGTGCAGTGGTGTGATCATAGCTCATTGCAACCTCAACCTCCCAGGCTTAGGTGATCCTCCCACCTTAGTCTCCCAGGTAGCTGGGACTATAGGTGCTCGCCACCACATCCAGAGACGGAGTCTTGCTCTTGTCACCCAGGCTGGAGTGCAGTGGCACCATCTTGGCTCACTGCAACCCCCGCCTCCCGGGTTCAAGGGATTCACCTGCCTCAGCCTCCCAAGTAGTTGGGACTACAGGCACGTGCCGCCATGCATGGCTAATTATTGTATTTTTAGTAGAAACGGGGTTTCACCATGTTTGCCAGGCTGGTCTCGAACTCCTGACCTCAGGTGATCCACCTGCCTCAGCCTCCCAAAGTGCTGGGATTATAGGCGTGAGCCACTGCGCCCGGCCTTCCCATCATCATTTAATCTTACTTAATATTTCTTACGTTTTATCCTCACTGTATTGTATTGCATTTCATCTTATCCTCCCTATTATGAGTTGCTACCTTCAATATATACCAAAATCATGTCTATTTTGAAGTTATTTTCTGGATTTTAAATTTGTTTCATTTATCTGTTTATTCATATGTTAGTACCACACTGTTTTAATTACTGATGATGAATGGTGTATTTTTAATATCAGATAGAACAAGTTAGTCTCTTTAAGTTTTCTTTGCTACTCTTGTTCTAAGTAAGCTCTTAAAGGAGTTCTTCCTAATTCTCAGTAGGTTATTTTAGAAGTTCATTTGGACATGACTGCATGTTTGATGCTATTTAAATAATGTTAATTTTTCAGGGAAATTGATCAAACAGAAAATGTTAAACCAATGTTGAGAGGTCGCTTCCAAAGACCTAAACCCAATTTGTCAAGGGCTGGGAAGAAATCAGTTCTTTCACAAGGCAAAACAGAGTCAGAGAGCAAGAATTCACATTCAAAAACTTCAGTTGAAAAGGTATGGGGTAAGAGATTTCATGGAAATTAAAATTATAAAAATTTTCTTTAGATAGTTGGGAATAAAAGTTGTTGACTTGAAATTACAAAGTACTGTTACTGATATTAAAACAGATACAAGAACTTACATTAACATTAGATTTGTTCGTATCTTATTAGTCTCCTGTTTACACATTTTCTTTAACCTGGGATGTAATCATTTCAGATATCCTCAGTGGTGATAAATCTGTCTTCTGTTTACTTCTATAAAATTTTTATTTAAAATATTTCATAAACCAGCTATATATTAAATTCTGCCCACAACATTCTCATCTACACACAGGCAGTCTCATTTCTGTTTGTCTTTTACAAACTTTCTGTTTGTTTTTTCTGAGACAGGGTCTTGCTCTATTGCCCAGGCAACAGAGTCCAGGAGTGCAATGGCAGTATTATGGCTCTCTGCAGCCTCGAAATCCTGAGCTCAAGTGATTCTCCCACATCACCCTCCCCAGTAGCTGGGACTACAGGTGTGTGCCACCAAACCCAGATAATTTTTTTTTTTTTTTGAGACGGAGTCTCACTGTCTCCCAGGCTGGAGTGCAGTGGCGTGATCTTGGCTCACTACAAGCTCTGCCTCCCAGGTTCACGCCATTCTCCTGCCTCAGCCTCCTGAGTAGCTGGGACTGCAGGTGCCCACCACCATGCCCGGCTAATTTTTTGTATTTTTAGTAGAGATGGGGTTTCACCGCATTAGCCAGGATGGTCTCTGTCTCCTGACCTCGTGATCTGCCTGCTTTGGCCTCCCAAAGTGCTGGGATTACAGGCGTGAGCCACCGCACCCGGCCTGATTTTCTGTTTTAAGTTAGCAAAAATTTGGAATGGAGTTTCACTGTGTTCACCAGGCTGGTTTCTAACTCCTGGCCTCAAGTGATTCTCCTGCCTCAGCTTCCCAGTGTGCTGGGGTTATAGGCATGAGCCAGCTCACCTGGTCAATAAATTTCTTTATTCTTTTTCTTTCTTTATTTCTTTTTTTTTTTGAGATGGAGTCTTGCTCTGTTGCCCAGGCTGGAGTGCAGTGGCACGATCTTGGCTCACTGCAGCCTCTGCCTCCCAGGTTCAAGCAATTCTTCTGCCTCAGTCTCCCAAGTAGCTGGGATTACAGGCATCTGCCACCATGCCTGGCTAATTTTTGTATTTTTAGTAGAGACAGGGTTTCACCTTGTTGGCCAGGCTGGTCTCGAACTCCTGACCTCATGTGATCCACCTGCCTCAGCCTCCCAAAGTGCTGGGATTACAGGCGTGAGCCACCACGCCTGCCGTCTTTTTTTTTTTTTTTTGACATAGGATCTCGCCCAGTCGCCCAGGCTGGAGTGCAATGGCATGATCCTGGCTCACTGCAGCCTCTGTCTCCCAGGTTCAAGCTATTCTTGTGCCTCAGCCTCCTAAGTAGCTGGGATTGCAGGCATGCACCACCACGCCCAGCTAATTTTTGTATTTTCAGTTGAGACGAGGTTTTGTCATGTTGGCCAAGCTTGTCTTGAATTCCTGACCTCAAGTGATCCGTGTGCGTTGGCCTCTCAGAATGCTGGGATTACAGGCATGAGGGCACCATGCCTGGCCAATAACTTTATCTATGTATGCACACATTTCTATAATTTTTAACCATAATGTGTATAATGTTTAAAACCTTTTTCTTTTCTTTGTTTTGTTTTTGAGACGGAGTCTCGCCCTGTCGCCCAGGCTGTGGTGCGATGGCGTGATCTCGGCTCACCGCAACCTCTGCCTCCTGGGTTCAAGAGATTCTCCTGCCTCAGCCTTCCAAGTAGCTGAGATTACAGGCGCGCGCCTCTATGCCCAGCCAATTTTTGTATTTTTAGTAGAGACTAGGTTTCACCATATTGAGCCACCGTGCCCTGCCAAAACCTTTTTCAGCTGACCACGGTGGCACACACCTGTAATCCCAGCACTTTGTGAGGCCAAGGCTGGTGGCTTACTTTAGGCCAGGAGTTTGAAACCAGCCTGGCCAACATGGCGAAATCCCATCTCTACTAAAAATACAAAAAAATTAGCTGGGCATTGTGACACATGCTTGTAATCCCAACTACTCGGGAGTTTGAGGCAAAAGAACCACTTGTACCCGGAAGGGAAGAGGTTGCATTGAGCCAAGATTGCACCACTGCACTCCAGCCTGGGCAACAGAGCGAAACTCTGTCTCAAAAAAATAAAAAATTAAAAAAAAACCCTTTTCCTCTGAAACTATTAATTTACATTTTTTTGGGTCCAATTGATCTTTTTAATAGCTGTGTCATGTTAACATGTTATTGATTTACCTAATCAGTTCTCTACTAATGGATGTTCAGATTGTTTCTATTTTTGTTTGTTTTTTTAACTCTTGTACATTAGAAGCAAACAATTTTGTAAGTAAGGCTTTCTCAAGGAAACAAAGTATAAATTTCTAGAGACGGGTGGGATCGTTGGGTCAAATAATGTTTTAAATATTTTTGTGATTCTTGTTATGCATTGTCTTTTGTTATTTGTTATTTTTATTACTTTAAAAAATTTTCTGGTATGTCTGAGTCTCCTGAATTGTTATGCATTGTGAAACTGACAGTCATAAATAATCTATTTACATTGCTAAATGAATCTTTCTGTTTCCTTATAACTTTTCCAGAATTCTATTGTTACCATTTTTTTTAAACTAAAACACTTTTTAAGATGTTGGTTTGCTTCTTTTCCTGTTTTGTGAAATATCTTTTATCATAATCTTTATAGTACAGTTACATTATTCTAATCTTATGTTTATTGAATTGTAGAAAATTTGGAAAATACAGATTCATGTAAAAGTTAAAACAAAAATTACTTGTAATTTTTTTCTTTACCTTTTTTTCTTTGAAGTGTTGTAATCTTGTTTCTTTTTTTTTTTTTTTTTTTTTTTTGAGGTTTAGTTTCACTCTTGTTGCCCCAGCTGGAGTGCATGGTGTGATTTCGGCTCACAGCAACCTCCGCCTCCTGGGTTCAGGCGATTCCCCTGCCCTCAGCCTCCTGAGTGGCTGGGATTACAGGCATGCGCCACCATGCCCGGCTAATTTTTTGTATATTTAATAGAAACGGGGTTTCACCATGTTAGCCAGGCTGCTCTCGAACTTCTGACCTCAGGTGGTCCACCTGCCTCAGCCTCCGAAAGTGCTGGGATTACAGGCGTGAGCCACCATGCCCAGCCATTCCTTCTAATACTTGTAATTTCATTATTCCCTTGCAACCAATCTTTTCACATATCTCCTTACAGATTTTCTTTTACACAACTGAATCATGGTTTCAATACAGTTTTGTATCCTTTGGTAATTAACATTTCAGAAATATTTTTCTGAAATATTTAGTGTGATTCCATTTTTCTTAAAAAAAAAAAATGTACATCAGGTGTGGTGGCTCACACCTGTAAGCCCAGCCCTTTGGGAGGCTGAGGCGGGCTAATCACCTGAGCCCAGGAATTTGAAACAAGCCTGGGCAACATGGCAAGATCTGGTCTCTACAAAAAATGAAAAAATTAGCTGGGCATAGTGTGCACCTGTAGTCCCAGCTACTCAGGAGGCTGAGGTGGGAGGATCACCTGAGCCTTGGGGGTCAAGGCTGCAGTGAGCTATGATCATGTCACTGTACTCTAGCCTGGGCGACAGAGCATGACCCTGTCTCAAAAAAAAAAAAAAATTCTCATCTGCATTTAGGATTTTTAGAAAATCTCCTCTAGTTAGAAGTACAAAAAATGAAGTTCTTATTTATTCATTTATTGAGATGGAGTCTCACTCTGTCACCCAGGCTGGAGTATAGTGGTGTGACCTCGGCTCACTGCAACCTCTACCTTTTGCGTTCAAAGAATTCTCCTGCCTTAGCCTCCCAAGTAACTGGGA
Organism: Homo sapiens; assembly: GCF_000001405.40. Classification (NCBI taxonomy): domain Eukaryota; kingdom Metazoa; phylum Chordata; class Mammalia; order Primates; family Hominidae; genus Homo; species Homo sapiens. The sequence continues at coordinate 1,031,288 of NT_187651.1, forward strand.
CTACAGGCACACGCTGCCATGCCTGGCTAATTTTTTGTATTTTAGTAGAGACAGTTTCACCATGTTCCCCAGGCTGGTCTTGAACTCCTGAGCTCAGGCAATCCGCCTGCCTTGGCCTCCCAAAGTGCTAGGATTACAGGCTTGAGCCACCGTGCCCGGCCAGTTCTGTTGTTTTAATTTCCATTTGTTTATTACAAAGTTTGAACTGTTTATTGTAAGTAGATAAATTGTAGCAAATTAAATTCACAGAACCACGTGGAAAAAGATAAAATGAATACATTGGACATTTTGAGAATGGAGACTACAGAGAGAGAGAATCCAGAAGCTGAAACTGTATCTGTGTGAGTATTCAGGAAGTAGTAAAAAAAAAAAAAAAAAAAAGTAACTCTTAGGAATGATGGTAATAATTTGTTTTCTACTTAATAAGGTCTGAATTTAATTTTCAAGCAGCATACTTTAAGTTCGTTTTCAACCATAGGTGGTTTTGAAACATTCATAATACTCTCTCTGCTTGATATTGCTTATATAAATTTTATGAGTCTATTGAGTTAGCCATTACATTTGAATGTTTACAGTATATGCCCCTGGATAATTTTATTTATACTAAGAGATTTTAAAAGGGAATATTTAACTTGAAATAGAAATCTAAAATAGAATGTGAATCTGACTGGTGGATTCTGGGCTCTTCCAGGGGTTACCATTTATACTATGATTTGGGACTAATCCCCTGGAGTTCTACATTATTCTATAGTATCCTTAGTCAGGAGTAGTATTCTATGCTTGGCAGATGTAGATTTTTCCAATTTTGTAATAAAATTCTATTTAAAAGTGCTTTTTCAAGAGGGCTTCCAGGATTATGTCTTTTTTTTTCTCTCTCTTTTTTTTTTTTTTTGAGATGGAATCTCGCTCTGTCACGTAGTGGTGCAGTCTCTGCTCACTGCAACCTCTGCCTCCCGGTTTCAAGCGATTCTTCTGCCTCAGCCTCCCAAGTAGCTGATATTGCAGGCGCCCACCACCACACCTGGCTAATTTTTGTATTTTTAGTAGAGACAGGTTTAACCATGTCGGCCAGGCTGGTCTCGAACTTCTGACCTCAAATGATTCGCCCGCCTCGGCCTCCCAAAGTGCTGGGATTACAGGTGCGAGCCACTGCGCCCGGGCGGATTATGTCTTTTCAGGAAACTTGTGAATTATTTCATATTCCAAATGGTTTACTTATTCATGCCAGGGAGAAGGAAATTGGTGACTTCAAAATAAACATTAATTTTATTTCTTTGTGGTTCTAGTTTGGGTGAAAAAAATTGTCTGCAGGAAGGGAGTCAACTAAAGGCTTTAAGACCTGTACAAGTGAGGGGCCGATTGCAAAAGCCAAAGCCAAATGCAGGTAAAGCTGCTGAAAGAAAAGAAATTCTCATATCACAGGAAGAAATTGGGGCCAATGTAGAGAAGAATGAAAATGAATCCTGTGCTGATAGAGATGTAAGTACTCTGATTCCTCCTCACATTTTTGGTAAGCAAGTACATGAGCCTTAATATAAGCTTCCCTTCACCCACATACTTACATACATACATACATACATTTATTTATTTATTTATGACGGAGTCTTGCTCTGTCGCCCAGGCTGGAATGCAGTGTCGCGATCTTGCCTCACTGCAACCTCTGCCACCCAGGTTCAAGTGATTCTCCTGCCTCAGCCACCTGAGATCGTGCCACCGCACTCCAGCCTAGGCGACAGAGCAAGACTCTGTCTCAAAAAAAAAAAAAAAAAATTCACATGATCTATAATGTTTTTGTATTTTTAGTTGTGCGACTGCAGGCTCACACCACCACGCCTGGCTAATTTTTGTATTTTTAGTAGAGACAGTGTTTTGCCATATTGGCCAGGCTGGTCTCAAACTCCTGACCTCAGGTGATCCACCCGCCTTGGCCTCCCAAAGTGCTAGGATTACAGGCATGAGCCACTGTGCCCAACCCCTTTACCCCCTTTTCAAAACAGTACTGCACAATTTGTGTGCATCATTTATTACATTTTTGGTCAAAATCTCATAGCCAGCAGCTTTGCTAGTTGTAAAGCCATTTTAGATTTTGGGCATTTACATGATAGATAATCTGTTTCACCTGACCTCATATTTGGAGTTGCTTTTCCGTATCACTTAGTGGATGTTTGAATTAATCTTTTGTTTTGAAGAAATAAGTACATATGTGAGTTTTAACATTGGCTTAAACAGCATAAAGTGTTAAAAGCTCCCTAGTAAGATACAATTCCAAGAACAAAGACTGTGAATTTTAGATTATTTACATAGCCTTTGTGATAAAGATAAAAGTTGTCATGTTTTGAGATTTCAATTTCTTATAATTCCCATGGTCTCTAGGCCAGGCATGGTGACTCATGCCTGAAATCCCAGCATTTTGGGAGGCCGAGGTGAGAGGATTGCTTGAGGCCAGGTGTCTGAGACCAGTCTGGGCAACATAGTGACACTCTGTCTCTACAAACAAAAATTTTTTTAATTAGCTGGGCTTGGTGGTGTGCTCCTATAGTCCCAGCTACTTGGGAGGCTGAGGCAGGAGGATCAATTGAGCCCAGGAGTTCAAGCCTCCAGTGAGCTATCTATAATTATGCCGTTGCACTCTAGCGTGGGTGACAGAGTGAGACCCTGTCTTAAAAAAAAAAAATTCTGACCAGGCGCAGTGGCTCATGCCTGTAATCCTAGCACTCTGGGAGGCCGAGGTGGGCGGATCACGAGGTCAGGAGATTGAGACCATCCTGGCTAACACGGTGAAACCCCTTCTCTACTAAAAATACAAAAACGTTAGCTGGGTGTGGTGGTGGACGCCTGTAGTCCTAGCTACTCGGGAGGCTGAGGCAGGAGAATGGCATGAACCTGGGAGGCAGAGCTTGCAGTGAGCCGAGATCATACCACTGCACTCCAGCCTGGGCGACCGAGCAAGACTCCGTCTCAAAAAAAAAAAAAAAGAAAAAAAAATTCCCGTGATCTATAATGCATTTATAGTAATCAAAAGAATTCAGAAAGATAGACCCCACAGGGGTATTTCTAACAGATGAAACCAAGGCAGTTACTTGTTTTTTGATTGGGAGGAAAAGAATGGGGCTTTGAGATATCCTAAAAGGAGTAACTCATGAAATTTTCTAAGATAGCTAAAGAAAAAACATTAAAAGTATTTTAAAGTCTCCATTTTATAATGTTGAATTTTTTACCATTTTATACTTAAATTGGACATTTTCAATGAAATCTGTTATGCCTCATTGTGAAACCTAAAACATTAGAAAAATTTGTTTGTTTTTAAGACTCCTCAACACATGGAAGATCAATCGCGTAAAGATTTTGAAGAGGAAGATGTCATATTACAGCCTGAGAAAAATGATTCTTTTCAAAATGTGCAGCCAGATGAGCCCAAGGTTCTTAATGAATGTCTAAGGTAAGCATCATTTTGTTGATATATAATCTTTGGATTTTGTAAAAAGTTTTAGAACTCAATCAGTTTTTTAAAGCAGAAGCAATTTAGATGGATTTGTTGTCTGCGTGTCTAGTTATGTAGTGTTTAAAAATATAACTTCACCTTTCAAGAAAGTTTATGTTGTAGCCTTTATGTGAATTTCTCAGATGGTTTGAAGAAAGCTACTCATCGTAAATTAGTACTTGAGTTAACATGAATAGCCTTATCACTTTATTTTATTTTATTTTACTTTTTATTTTTTGAGACGGAGTTTCACTCTTCTTGCCTGGGCTGGAGTATAATCTCAGCTCACTGCAACCACTGCTTCCCAGGTTCAAACAATTCTCCTGCCTCAGCCTCCCGAGTAGCTGGGATTACAGGTGCCTGCCACCAAGCCCAGCTAATTTTTGTATTTTTAGTAGAAACAGGGTTTTACCATGTTGGCCAGGCTGGTCTCGAACTCCTGACCTCAAGTGATCCACCTGTCTCGGCCTCCTAAAGTGGTGGGATTACAGGTGTGAGCCATCACACCCAGCCAGCTTTATCACTTAACATGCATATTGAAATATATGTTTATGTTCAAATGTAAAATGCTACTTATTTTTAAAATATTTGTTTCTTTGGAATTAGATTGAGCACATATTGCCTTTATTTAAGATTTATAAATTTTATTTAAAACTTATGTATAGAAACCCATACTGCTTATAGTCAAAGTCTTTTCTATTTTTTATTTCTTCCTTGGAGGGTACCAAGCCAGACTGATGGAATTACTGGTATACTATTTCAACTTTTCAACTTGGAAATGTTTAATGTGCGCAAAAGTGCAGTAGTGGACTCCCATATACCTGCTGTCCAGTTTCAGTAATTAATATTTACCAGTCTTTACGTTTAAAGGCTAGCCTATGCTATACTTTCTTACAGCTGTATTAGCCTATTTAAATAGTACCTAGCTGGGCATGGTGGCTCATGCCTATCTAGCTACATGGAAGGCTGAAGGAAGAGGATTGCTTGAGCCCAGGAATTAGAAGCTGCAGGGAGCTATGAATGGGCCACTTTACTCCAGCCAGGGCAACAAAGTGAGACAGACTCCTGTCCCTCCAAAAAAGAAAAGTACCTAACCTGAGAGTGAAAGCTAGGTTTCCTGAACTACTTTAAAGATCTTCATTGGAAGACAAAAAAATTTCTCTATTTCTTGTTGCCTTCACTATTCCTTTGCTTCTTATTCCTCCCCACTGCCCGGATTATTTTACTAATGTGCACACAGTCTCTAGGTAGAAGTTTGTATGACTACATTGCTTGCTGCATATCTCTGATATGGATTTTAATTACAGTTAGCTAACAAATTATTCTTTTTATTTATATTTTTTCAGTTTAAACTAGAGTCTATTAATAGATACTGTGGCTTGGTAGAAAATTAAACTTTTCTGAATGGCCTCTGGGTTTTAGAACACTGGTGGACACTGTAACTAATACTCAATCTGATCTCAACAACTTTCCTCTCCATGGGCAGTGTCATTTTTGCTTTGTCATGTGACCTTTCTAGCCTTTGAATCTCCAGAATCCTCAAAAGCAATTCTAAGATTCTGTGTTTTATCAAATTATACACCTATGTCTAACAGAAAGTTTTCCCCCTCTCCTACTCCACATATGTTGGCCTGTTCAAGATGCTATGTAAGAGAGATAGTAGGAAAATAGTCTCTCAAAGAATGCATTAAAAATTCTTTAGGCTGGGCATGGTGACTCACACCTATAATCCCAGCACTTTGGGAGGCTGAGACAGGAGGATCACTTGAGGCCAGGAACTCAAGACAAGCCTGGACAACATAGCAAGACCCATCTCTATTAAAGAAAAGGTACTTTATTAGATAAACTAGTGAGTATTTCTTTGAAATTTAATCTTCTAGGTTAATTTTGCATCTTACCTACTTCATATAAATATTTTAAGTTTTTTGTCATGATTGGTGATTTGGTGATGTTTGTTTGGAGGTTTATATATATATATATATATATATTTGAAACACACACACACACACACACACACACACACACACACACCCATATTTTTTTAAAGACAAGGGTCTTGCTCTGTCACCCAGGCTGGAGTGCAGTGGTGTGATCATGGCTTACTGCAGCATTCACCTTTTGGGCTCAATTGATCCTCTTGCCTCAGCCTCCCAAGTAGCTGGGACTACAGGTGCATGCCACCACATCTGGCTAATTTTTAAATTTTTTTGTAGAGACAGGGTTTCGCCATGTTGCCCAGGCTGGTCTTGAACTCCTGGGCTGAAGGGATCCTCCTTCCTTGGCCTCCCAAAGTGCTGGGATTATAGGTGTGAGCCACCACGCCTGGCCATGAATATTTTATAGATTCTTAAACTCCGTGTTTTAGAAAAACACATATGCAGACCTTAAAGCACATTTATAGTTTTGTGCTCATTCCATACCTTATTTTCTCCATTCATGATCCTCTTGTTTTGCCTTTCTTCTCAAATTTGTGATCTGAGGAAAGTTCGTAGATCCACTGTATATTTTAAGTTGAGAAATAATCTAGTTCAATTTTATATCTGATATCCAGTCTCAGATACTGCCCTTCAGTTAATTCTGTACTTCTTTTGTTACTTAGAAACAATCAATCTATTGCTTTGGTGGAATGGCAGTTTAAAAAATCTAAGCACATAGAATATAATTATAACATTGCATATCTGTATCTTACAATCTGAACTGTTATGGAAATAATGAAATTATTAATAAAGCCTTTGCTTCAAGCATTTATATGTTTAAATAATACGCCTGTTTTCAAAATGTGACTTTATAAAGATAGTTTATTTTATCTCTTCCCATGGTACCCAAACCAAGATTGCTAGCACAGTAATCTCACTAAAAGCTAGATGTTTCTGGATGGAGATGAAAAGTATCATAAATCAAAAAATGGAATGCGGTCCATTCAGGACTAATCAAATTAAATTTCCTTTATTGATTGCTGTTAATTTTACATTTAACGTTGTCAATTGCTAAAGTTAATGATGGATATAAACACTTCAGTTATGTAAACAAGTACAATTTGAAAAGCAATCTTATTCCTAAGGACCTGTCTTACAGTATCAAAAATTGCATTATTGAAAACAGTTATTTCAGTGAGGAAGGATAGTATAGGACCTAAAGAAGTTGAAACAAGCAATAGCATACTTTTGTTGTTTTGTTTTTGTTTCTGTTTGAGACAGAGTCTTACTCTGTTGCCCAGGTGGAGTGCAGTGGCATGATCTTGGCTCACTGCAACCTCCGCCCCCTGGGTTCCAGCTATTTTCCTGCTTTAGCCTCCCATGTAGCTGAGATTACAGGCGCGTGCCACCACGCCCTGCTAATTTTTGTATTTTGAGTAGAGACAGGGTTTCATCATGTTGGCCAGGCTGGTCTCAAACTCTTGACCTTAAGTGATCCACCTGTCTCAGCCTTCCAAAATGCTGGGATTACAGGCTGAGCCACCATGCCCAGCCTAGCATACTTTTAAGTAAATCTTTTGCTTATTTGTTTTGTTTTTTGTTTGTTTGTTTTGAGATGGGATCTTGCTCTCTTGCCCAATCTGGAGTGCAGTGGCATGATCATGGCTTACTGCAGCCTCATCCTTCCTGGGCTCAGGTGATCCTCCCACCTCAGCCTCCTGAATAGCTGGGACTACAGGTGCACGCCACCTCACTTGACTAATTTTTTTTTTTTTTGTAGAGATGGGATTTCTACCAAAAACTCATGGGCTCAAGCCATCTGCTTCAGCCTCCTGAAGTGCTAGGAGTACAGGCATGAAGCATCATGCCCAGCTCAATACGTCTTTTTTTAAGCTGTTGAATGTATAGTTATATACCTGTTCAGTCCGACATGGCCGAATACAATCTAGTGTTTCATTTGATCTAGCTTTTGCCCAATATTAATAACTTTTCCTAACCAGTCATTTAAAAGCCCTTTCATTCATTTATATGTTTATTGATTTTACCATCTATTATAATAAACAGAAAGCAAAACAAAAAGTGCTGCTGCTTTTCTGGAGAGCAAGGTGCTTGCTTTGGATAGTGGTTGTGTGCCCAGTAGCATTCAGCAAAGTATTATTGTGTATTTGGTCTGTCCTTTGATTCTTTACTTATGTTATGAAATAACAAGCCTTTAGAGAACTATCTGTATAGGAAATCTCATATAAAATTGGTTTTAAAAGGTGAGGAGGGCAGACCTCATTTGTAGTCCTAAGATTTAATCTTGGTCAAGTCATACTTGTATCCAGGTATTTGAGGTGGTCAGGTCTATTATGGCAAACCATTTGTCTGTATAAAAGATAGAAGGGATGAAGAGGTAGAAATAGCAGACATACATCAATCTAGCTCCAATGCAGAGAACTGGAGAGTCTTTCCCAGTCAGTATTTATAAATGGTAGTGTGAATGACAATTGGAAAGACACTGTTAGGATCAAATAGCTTCTATACTGATTGACCTTACTAGATATATATATATATTTAAACTTATTGCTGTGATTTCAAAAGGTGGGATTTTTTTTCTTTTAATTTTTAAATTTTACCCAGCGATTCCTAGGCCTTCCTTAATTTTTTTGAATTTGAGAGTTTCTGGTGTTTCTGTAGTGATTTCTCAAACATCATCTCTTCAGCAGGCAGTCTGGTTTAAAACTTGATTGTGTGCCCCCTTTTTTTTTTATAGCGTTCAAGAGAATAATAAGGCAAATAAACTTAACCAAGTCCCAATTCTAAGGACTCGATTTCAGAAACCAAAGCCAAATATAGGAAGAGGAACTGGAAGGAGAGAAATTTCCTCAAAGGAAGAGGTACTAGAGAAGATTCTTGTCTCTGGGGAAATGGCGGCAGCATTGAGAGAAACTGTAAGACTAGACACCTCACCAAAGGAGATGGTACCAGCAGAGATTAATACTAAAGAAATGCAGTCAGATTTAAAAGAAACTGGAAGAAGAGCCATTTCTCCCAGGGAGAAGATTCTAGATGTGATTGATGACACCATAGAAATGGAGACAGGTCTGAAAGCAATGGGAAGAGAGATTTGTCTAAGGGAGAAGACGCCAGAGGTGATTGATGCCACTGAGGAAATAGACAAAGATTTGGAAGAAGCTGGAAGAAGAGAAATATCCCCACAGAAAAATGGCCCAGAGGAGGTTAAGCCTCTAGGTGAAGTGGAGACAGATTTGAAAGCAACTGGAAATGAGAGTTCCCCAAGGGAGAAGACACCAGAGGTGACTGATGCCACTGAGGAAATAGACAAAAATTTGGAAGAAACTGGAAGAAGAAAAATATCCCCAAGGGAAAATGGCCCAGAGGAGGTCAAGCCTGTAGATGAAATGGAGACAGATTTGAACGCAACTGGAAGAGAGAGTTCTCCAAGGGAGAAGACACCAGAGGTGATTGATGCTACTGAGGAAATAGATTTGGAAGAAACTGAAAGAGAAGTATCCCCACAGGAAAATGGACTAGAGGAGGTCAAGCCTCTAGGTGAAATGGAGACGGATTTGAAAGCAACTGGAAGAGACAGTTTCCCAAGGGGGAAGACACCAGAGGTGATTGATGCCATTGAGGAAATAGAGATAGATTTGGAAGAAACTGAAAGAGAAATATCCCCACAGGAAAATGGCCTAGAGGAGGTTAAGCCTCTAGGTGAAATGCAAACAGATTTGAAAGCAACCGGAAGGGAGATTTCCCCAAGGGAGAAGACACCAGAGGTGATTGATGCCACTGAGGAAATAGACAAAGATCTGGAAGAAACTGGAAGAAGAGAAATATCCCCAGAGGAAAATGGCCCAGAGGAGGTCAAGCCTGTAGATGAAATGGAGACAGACTTGAAAACAACTGGAAGAGAGGGTTCCTCAAGGGAGAAGACACGAGAGGTGATTGATGCTGCTGAGGTAATAGAGACAGATTTGGAAGAAACTGAAAGAGAAATATCGCCACAGGAAAATGGCCCAGAGGAGGTCAAGCCTGTAGGTAAAATGGAGACAGATTTGAAAGAAATTAGAGAAGAAATTTCCCAAAGGGAAAAGGTGCTAGCAGAGTTCAGTGCTATAAGGGAAAAGGAGATTGATTTGAAAGAAACTGGAAAAAGAGACATTCCCATCATGGAGAAAGTATCAGGAAAGATGGCTGTTGTTGAAGAAATGGAGGCAGATTTGAAAGAAACTGGAAAAGAAAATTTTAGAGAGAGAGGATCTGAAGAGATCTGTGTTACTGAGGAAAAGGTGGCAGAATTGAAACAAACTGGAAAAACAGACATTTCTCCAAGGGAAAACGAGCTAGAGGAGACCAGTACCTCAAGACAAACTGACACACATTTAATGCAGAGCGGTAGCAATGACTTCAGTGCTGTGCCTTCACTAGATATTCAGGTATGTATTTTTCTGTCCTTTAAAAGTTTTTTGAATGCTTTTTTCAGAGGAAATAAATAATTCCATGATTATTTTGTCCTTAAGTCCAACAACACTTAAAAATCTCTAAAAGTCTAAAGTCTTTTGTAGCCCTAAGTTTCTATGTTTCAGTGCCTTGAAGAAACTGTATGTTCTTTTTTAAAAAGATAACTTTAGGCTGGGCACACCTTTAAACCCAACACTTTGGGAGGCCAAGGTGGAAGGATTACTTGAGCCCAGGAGTTTGAGACCAGCCTGGGCAACATAGAGAGACCTTGTCTCTACAAAAAATAAGATAAAATAAAAATAAATAAAATAAATAAAAAATAAAATACAATAACAAGGTGTAAGCCTGTAGTCCCAGCTACTTGGGAGGCTGAGGTGAGAGGATCACTTGAACCCTGGAGGTTGAGGCTGCAGTGAGCTGTGATTGTGCCATTGTACTCCACCCTGGGTGACAGAGTGAGACCCTGTCTCAAAAAGAAATAAAAATAATTTCCAACTGTGAAAAAGTCACTGTTATTATTATTATTTTTTTTCTTTAAGTCAGATGGGCAAGGATCAAACTTTTCTTTTGGCTTAGGTTTGAGATCTCAAAAATGTCACTGTTCTTAATATCATTTGAAGTTACTCTTTTAGGTAAAAGAAGAATAGGAAATTAGACTGAATTTGTACTAACCCTAGCGTGAACACACATTATTTCTTTTGGCCACATCTGTATCTGCTTTTGTTTCTTGCCCCACCTGACTTACTTCACTTCTAAAAGTTCTTTTTGTTTTTTCAAGTTACTTTGAAGTTCATGATCTTCTAACATTTTCAAGGACTTTTTTTTTTTTCTAACTTTTAAAAATAGATAATGACATTTGTGGTTTGGGAAAGTAATAATATGCAACATAAAAGGGTTTCCTGAATTCCAAGTTTTAACATTTGGAAATTAAATTTTATTCAAAAATTAAAAACTTCTAAAGTTTTAAAGGAAAGTGTTTAGAATTTAGTAGACTTTTGTTTTAAATATATAAGATGTTTAAATACTCTTTTATTTGTGCTGATTTACTATGACTGTTCCTCTAGAACATTAGCAGTGAAGTACTGTCGATGATGCATACACCTGTAGAAGAAAAAAGAAATTCTGAAAAAGAAGTATCAAGTCACTTCAGTCATTTCAAGATTTCTTCACAGACTCATGAATCTGATAAAACAGAAGTCCAGGGGATTCAATCTCCAGATGTTCCAGAGCAGTTTTCAGATATTAATTTAAGGTACAAGTGTGTTTTTAAAGAAAAAGATATTAAGTTATAGTTGCAGATTACGTTAAACTAAGTGAGGTTTCAAGATATAACATATACAGGATAGTGTTAGAGCTTTTAAGATAGTTTTGGGAAGACTGGGAGAGAGGATTGAGGTCACTCTGACAGTCAATTGTGAAAGTTACTGACATACAAAATTGTATGTAACAGTCTTAAATCAATACAGGTTTGATAGACTCATATTTTCTTTGTGCAGAGATGGTGTAATTCCTAGGCTCATACCTGGATTGTACCACTCATGGTTTTCAGGATCTGCCAGATAGTTCGATTTGTTTTCCTGTTAAGAATTAGAATTAGGCCAAGTATGGTGGCTCACACCTGTAATCCTAGCAATTTGGGAGGCTGAGGTGGGTGGATCCTTTGAGCCTAGGAGTTTGAGACCAGCCTGGGCAACACGCTGTAGAAACCCCATCTCTATAAAATAAAAAAACAAAAACTAGCTGGGTGTGGTGGCACATGCCTGTAGTCCCAGCTACTTGGGAGGCTCAGATGGGAAGATCACTTGAGCCCGCGGAGGTCAAGGCTGCAGTGAGCTATGATTGTGTCATTGCACTCCAGCCTGGGGGATAGAACAAGACCCTGTCTCCAAAAAAAAAAAAAAAAAAAAAAAAATTAAATGTTTACCGCCAGTCTCTAAGGTTGTACTGAGACTCCGTTTCCACTGCCCCTTCAGTTCATTCTAAAGCTTGATAATCCTTGTTCCAAAAGCAAATCTCTTCCTCAAGAACAGAAGCCACTTGAAATTAAACCAGCACCTTTTGTGAGGAGCCGATTCAAAAGACCAAAACCAAACTTAGCAAGAGCAGCTTTGAAGAGAGAGACTACAGAATCAGAAAAATATATATATGAGAAGAAATCAGAAACCAAGAAAATGGAGACTATTGTGATGCAAGAAAATAATGAACAAACTGATACTCTCCCTTCTCAACATGTGAGTGTATTTGAGATGGAAGTTCTGTGTGGGTGTTTTTTTTTTTTTTTAAGTTATTAGGACTACTAAAAGCACCTGGCATTAAAATTCTACAAATATTTCTGTGTAATTTTTGCTGCATGTGATATTGCTCCCATGCTTAATGTGCCTCATTGTTCCACATAATTTGTGTAAGAATCTCAGATATCTGATAATGGGCAAACGTGTTGTGGGAAAGCGTTCAGGTCTGGGCTCTGGTTCCAGTTCCAGCTATGTGACCATTGATTAAACAATTTTCTTCATAGAAAAAATGACAATAATAGTTTTTTATTTTTTTTATTTTTATTTTTTTGAGATGAAGTCTCACTCTGTTCCCAGGCTGGAGTGCAGTGGCGCGATCTCGGCTCACTGCAACTTCCACCTCCCAGGTTCAAGCGATTCTCCTGCCTCAGCCTCCTGAATGCTGGGACTACAGGCGCGTGCTGCCATGTCCGGCTAATTTTTTTTTTTGTATTTTTAGTAGAGATGGGGTTTCACTATGTTAGCCAGGCTGATCTCGAACTCCTAACCTCGTGATCTGCCTGCTTTGGCCTCCCAAAGTGCTGGGATTACGCTGAGCCGTGGCGCCCAGCGAGAATAATCGTTTTTTATTTCACTCTCTTGTGAAGGTGAAATGAAGAGTTAAAAGCTTGATTTGAGTTAAAGGTGATATTTTATTTACTTTATTAACTTGGTCCATAACAGATTAAGATTGTGTGACATACCATCAAAAAAACATTGAAACGAAATGAATAATTATAAACTGAATGTTTTCCACATTCAGTGGAAGTCCTTCTTAGAATTAAAATTCTTATTTGATGTCTTAAAATAGCTCAGTACTTTACTGTGCATCAACATTTGTACTATTTCTCCTAAGCTTATATTCATAAAAGATAAGTTACATTTGTATTATACTTTCTGATTATAGAAATTTTAATTTGGAAAAATATATGTATTCTAAAAAGTGAGAGTCTTTTATAATGTCACGTCCCTTTCCCCCAAGTTAATCATACAGCAATTTTGAATATATCCACTTACACTTTTTCGTCTTACAGTTATAAAATGATAAAATGGGAAGGTATTTTTATTGTTTTCCAAAATGACATTAATTCTTGCTTTCTGATTTTTCCACTTACAGTATTGTGAGCTTCTTTTTAGATCAGTACAAAGAGATATATCTTCTTTTAAATGATTAGGTACTATTGCATTGTAAAGAAATTAAAATTTATTTATTCCATCCCCTAATGATATATCTGTTTTATTTCTGATTTTTTTGTTTGTCTTTTCCGGTGAGGGAGGTGGTGCTTAAATTGTTACAATAAATATTTTTGTGTGTATATTTCTACTTGTTGAGTATTTATAAGATACATTTCTAGAAGTGGAATTGCTGGGAATTTAGAATTTTGGTATAGACTACCCTATTATTCTTCACGAAGATGATATCAGTTTATACTTGTAAAGTTCTTATTTCCTTATACTTTTAGCAACTGTGAATGAAATTTTTTTTCTGTCTTCTAGGATGAAGCTTCCCTAATGATATCAAGAGAAAAAGACACATTAGGTCACAGGAATGAGGAGGCTGTGATATTGCCATGTACACAGACTGAAAGGAACCTTTCACCTTCAAATTCTTGTGAACCTAAAGAGGAGTCTCAGTCAGCACCAGTCCAGAAAAATGACTCAGTTGTTTCTGTGGGGTAAACAGTGATTTTCTTTGACAATATAAAATAAGAGAGATACTTCTTTTAAATATTTCTAATTTTTATTGAGATATGTTAATGCATTTAAAAAGTGAACATAAAGAATATTGGTTTAATTTTATTGATACAGCAGACTGCCTAAAATATAATATCAGATTGAATTCAACACCTTCTAATGGTTGCCTGCTTATCTGCATTGTCAGCTGCGTAAGAGTGTATACAAAGCAATGCATTTAAAAACTACAAGTTGAGCATCCCTAATAAAAAATTCTGAAATGTGCCACAATTTAAAACTTTTTGAGAGCTGACATGATGCTCAAGAAATGCTCAGTGGAGCATTTTGGATTTTCAAAGTAGGGATGCTCAACTGATAAGTATAATGCAAATATTTCCAAATCTAAAAAAATCTGAAATCTGAAACATTTCTGGTCCTAAGCATTTTGGATAGGGCTACTCAGCTTATATGTATATAAGCTATATATATTCATTAACTTTTAAAAATTAGTATACACATAAGATAAAATTTACCATTTTAACTATTTTTTAATATACAGTGGCATTAAGTGTATTCACATTGTTGTCCCGTTGCCACCACCATTCATCTCTAGACTTTCTTTTTCATCTTCATAAAATGAAACTCTCTACCCATTAAATACTAACTCATTCTCCTCCTCTTCCAGCTCCTGGCAACCACCATTCTATCTGTATATTTAGCTACTTTAGGCATATTATATAAGTTTATTACCTTTTAAGAATTGACATAACTGTTTTCTTTTGTAAAATAAGATGTTTATAATCAGAAAGCAATTTCCCTTTAATGGTACAAAGTATTTTTTAGAGTGTTTATTAGAGGAGATCCAAATTTTACATTTTTACATTAGTTTTCAGCTTTTTACAGTCAAGCGCCCTGCCTTTCTCCCTGTCCCCTTGTTTAGGACTAATAATGTAAACACTTTCCAGCAAGAAATGAAGGAAAGTGTTATCCAAACTGCTCGACAAGTAAGGGGCCGACTTCAGAGACCGAGACCAAATATAAGAAAGACAGGACAGAGGCAAATAGTAGACAAAGGTGAAGCCAAAGGCATAATTAAGGAAGGAAGAACGATATTACCAAAAGATGAAACTGAAAAGAAAGTCTTAACTGTGGTGAGTTATTGTTATGTAATTAAATTTAGCCTTTTAATGCATTTAAAATGTCAAGTTATAGCTCAGACATAGCTTAGAAATACAGGCATCTGACACTTATTCTACTCAATGAATACAGTTTCCAGTTTTGTTTCAGATTTGCTCTTCTGGATTTTTTTTTTAAGTGAAAATAGATTTATTTCTTTTCTAATTAATGAAGCTATTCATCGTAAAATGTTCCATTAGGACAAAATAATATAAATACCGCAAATCTTACTCTGAGATAACCACTGAAAACCTTTTGACATATCTTACTGGATTTATTTCCATGCACACATTATGTGCACACTTATGCAAATTTAAACAATAAAGTCATTACGTACTATAACTTTCTGTTATTCACTGAATACTATGTTAAGTGGCTTTCTGGATCAAGAAATATGTTAGTTACATCATTTTTGCTGTATAACATGCTGTTTTGAGTAACAGTTTAATCTCTTATTAATGGGTCTTTTGGTATTAGGGAAAAAGTCTAAGTAGTGTAATGTCTAAAAATGTTCATTTTAGGTAGTTCTTATTTTTCTGTTAAACAATGCAAAGTCTAGATTTAAAATAATCTTTATTTGAACCAAAAAGCTCTTTCTTAAAAAAAAAAATTAAACTTTGTTTATTTTTAATTTCATAGCAGGTGACTATTATAGTTTTCAAAGTATTATGTAAACATATTACTGCAATAATCTTTGAAACTTTTCTCTGAACTAGGCATCCTTGTTTTTGGCAACAGAATGTGAACATTACATATCCAGTTTGAATCTAATTTTAAAGAATTAACCACCCATGGTGGTATCTGCCTGTAATCCCAGTTACTCAGGAGGCTGAGGAAGGAGGATCGTTTGAGCCTAGGACTTTGAGACTAGCCTGGGCAGTATGATGAGACTATCTCAAAATGCATAAATAAAAATTTAAAAAAGAAAAGGGATTTTAAAAAACTAAATATCTTAATGGTGGAAATATTTTAAGAGGTATATTCTGCTATAAAAATAACATACTAATATGATTTTGTCTTTTCAGTCAAATTCTCAAATTGAAACTGAAATTGAAGTTCCATCGTCCGCAGTTCCAGAACACAGAATGTATGAAAATCAAAGTCAGGTGGTTCTTGTAGAAAACCTTCATGTTAACAAAACAAATGAAACAATCAGGTGAGTTTGCTTTTAATGAGAAAAAATAAGACTTTTCAAAGATAAAAGTTATATTTTTGCATAGTTGACTTTATATATTAATAACTTCACATCCTGAAAATGTTAAAAGGATAAAGTAATAAATACTTGTGATACTAGAGTCTTTTAAATCTGCTTCTCGAATACTGTATGAATTGCATGGCTGATATTCTCTTAAGTATATGATATTCCCTTAAGTATATGTAATTTCTCTGAAAAGTTTGACAAGCATCCTACTTTTTGGTACCAAAACTAAATTTTTAATAGTAGACAAAGATTCTTAAGTTCTCTGTATCTTTTTTAGAAATTTAGGCCAGGCGCAGTGGTTCACGCCTGTAATCTCCCAGCACTTTGGGAAGCCAAGACGAGAGGATCGCTTGAGTCCAGGAGTTCAAGACCAGCCTGGGCAACATAGTGAGACCTCGTCTCTATAAAAATAACAAATAAAAAAAAGAAAAGAAGTTTATAACCTACTGACTAAAATTCATTAATAGGTAGTGCTATAAAGTATACTTAACAGTATACTATATTTAGAGGTAACTACATCGAAGCCAAATGGTAAGAATGATATCTTTTAATTGAGATGAGCTAGTAGGGTGAAGAAGTTTTAACATTACCACTTTTATTTATTACTTGCTATCTGCCTTCTTATTATTAAAGCAAGATGTGTTCTTTTCTTTAGTAAAAACGCCTTTCCTTTCTGTATATAGTTCTTGGTCCATCTAACTTACTGTCTTAGTAACTAGAACATGTTTTAGTGAAGTATTTATTAATTTTCCTCCAGGATGTTTTCAGCACTTATGAATATACTTTAAATATTTCAGCTTCCTTTAATTAGGTAGAGTGACTTTGGCTTTCTGGGAAATGCAGAGGAGATGTTATTGTATCCTTTTTTAACCCTCTCTAGTTAGGTGAAGCTAGAATTTGGGCATGTTAGGTCATCTGTCAAAACAGGTGCTATTGATTTATATTTTCTTTTTATTATATTTACTTTTTGAGACAAGGTGTCTCACTGTGTCGCCCAGGATGGAGTGCAGTGGCGCAGTCACAGCTCACTGCAGCCTCAACTTCCTGGGCTCAAGCAATTCTCCCACCTCAACCTCTCGAGTAGCTGGGACCACAGGTGCACACCATCATGCCTGGCTAATATTTTTGTATCTTTTTGTAGAGATGGGGTTTCACCATGTTGCCCAGGCTGGTCCTGAACTCCTGAGCTCAAGTGAACCGCCCATCTCGGCCTCCCAAAATCTTGGGATTACATGGTGAGCCACCGTGCCCGACCTCTGTTAATTTTAGATGCTTGAAGCAGTTTGCTTTCATTTAGACGAGTTTCTAATGTGAAGTTTTTATTTTAGTATGGATTACTTTTTTTTTTTTTTTTTTGGAGACAGAGTCTCAGAGTGCAGTGGCTTGATCGTGGCTCATTGCAACCTTCGCCTCCTGGATTCAAGTGATTCTTGTGCTTCAGCCTCCCGAGTAGTTGGGATTGCAGGCACCCACCACCACACCCTACTAATTTTTGTATTTTTAGTAGAGATGGGGTTTCACCATGTTGGCCAACCTGGTCTCGAACTCCTGACCTCAGGTGATCCACCCACCTCAGCCTCCCAAAGTGCTGGGATTACAGGCATGAGCCACTGCGCCCAACCTGGATTACTTTTGTTTTCAATATTACAGCCCCTCCCCCTGCTTTTTGTCTTAAAAAGCCTTAAATTTTTTTTTGATATATAATAGTTATACATATTTTTGGACTACATGTGATATTTTGATACATTATACACAATATATAATTACCAGATCAGAGTAACTGGGATATCCATCACTTCATACTTTTATCTTTATATTGGCAACATAATTTTCTAGCTATTTTGAAATAATACAATAAATGATTGTTAACTATAATTTTTCCTACTGTACTACTGAATACCAGAACTTATTCCTTCTATCTAACTGTATTTTTATACACACTAACCAGCTTCTCATTACTCCCTTCCCTCTTGCCTTCCTAGCCTCTGGTGAGCACCATTCTAATCCCTACCTCCATGAGATCCACTTTTTAAGCTGCTACATATGAGTGAGAACCAGCAATATTTGTCTTTCTGTGCCTGGCTTATTTCACCTAACATAATGACCTCTAGTTCCATCTATGTCACTGTGAATGACAGGATTTCATTCTTTTTTATGGTTAAATAATATTCCATTGTGTATATATACCACACTTTCTCACTTTCTTTATTCATTTGTTGCTGGACACTTAGGTTGATATTATGTGTTGGCTATTGTGAATACCACTGCAGTAAACATGAGAGTTCAGATATCTCTTTGATACAGTGATTTCCTTTCTTTTGGACATACACCTGGCAGTAGGATGGCTCAATCAAATGGTAGTTCTATTTTTAGTTTTTTGAGGAACTTTCATACTTTTTTCCATAATGGCATTCCTACTTTATATTCCCACGAACAGCCTATGAGTTTTCCCATTTCTCCACATCCTGACCAGTATTTGTAATTTTTTGTCTTTTTAACAGTAGCCATTTTAACGGCAGTAGGATATCTCAGTGCAGTTTTGATTTGCGTTTCCGTGATGATTAATGATGTTGAACATTTTGTCAGACACCTGTTGGCCATTTGTATGTCTTTTGAGAACTGTCTGTTCTCTTTTGCCTATTCTTTAATCAGATTATTTGTTTTTTTGCTATTGAGTTGTTTTTGTTCCTTATATATTCTGGTTATTAACTTTTGTGAGATGGATAGTTGGGAATTTTTTCTCCCATTCTGTAGGTTGTCTCTTCACTTTGTTGATTGTTCCCTGTGCTATGCATTGAAAAGTCTTTCCATATTGCTTTTATTTTAAGATTAAGGCCAATTTTTACTTCACATTAATTTTAGGTTCCCTTAGCCATTTTTTCAGTTTTTAAAACTGGATATTTTATTGAAATGTTTTTTACTAAAATGCATTAGACTTATATTACAAATGCTATATTGGATTAGGTTGATGATTGATCTCAGAGCAATTTAACTCTGATAATGTCTAGGAAACATTACAGATGAATTTGTTTACATCATTCACTTCTCCTAATTACTAATTATGGGATTATTTTCTATGTATAATCCCTTTTTGATCTCAAAGAATTATAGAATTTTACCACTGAAAATAACCTTATATACTCATTTATTCCACAAACATTTTAGTGTCTGCTGTGTGCCAGGCATTGTTCTAAGTGCTGATGATGTAGGAATAAATGAAGAAAAAAATGCTGTCACTGTGGAGTTTATATTCTAATTGAGAAACAGATTATAAATGAGAAATAAGTTGAATAAATAAGTGATAAATCAGTAGAGAAAAATAAAGTTTTGAGTAGGGAGTGTTGTGACTGGGGATTCACTTTTTAATCAGCAGTGACCAGAGAAAGCTTCATTGAAAGGGTGCATTGAAGGCCGGGCATGGTGGCTCACACCTGTAATCCCAGCGCTCTGGGAAACCAAGGCGGGCGAATCACCTGAGTTCGGGAGTTTGAGACCAGCCTGACCAACATAGAGAAACCCCATCTCTACTAAAAATACAAAATTAGCCAGCCGTGGTGGCGCATGCCTGTAATCCCAGCTACTTGAGAGACTGAGGCAGGAGAATCGCTTGAACCTGGAGGCGGAGGTTACAGTGAGCCGAGATCGCACCATTGCACTCCAGCCTGGGTGACAAGAGCGAAACTCCGTCTCAAAAAAAAAAAAAAAGATTAGTTTTTAATGCAGATCTTTCAGAGAACTCAAGATAGGTACTTATATATCCAGTTATTCTTTATAAATATTCAGGTTTATATTAGTTTTTTTTTTTTTTTTTGGAGACAGAGTTTTGCTCTTGTTGCCCAGGCTGGAGTGCAGTGGTGCAACTTCGCCTCACTGTAACCTCCACCTCCCAGGTTCAAGTGATTCTCTTGCCTCAGCCTCCCGAGTAGCTGGGACTTCAGGCATGCACGACCATGCCCAGCTAATTTTTTATTTTTGGTAGAGATGGGGTTTTTCCATGTTGGTTAGGCTGGTCTCAAACTCCCGACCTCAGGTGATCCGCCCACCTCGGCGTCCCAAAGTGCTGGGATTACAGGCGTGAGCCACCGTGCCTGGTCTCTATTAGTTTTTAAGCTTCCTAATTCAGATCTTTGCCAGTTGCTAAAATATTGTCCAGGAAACCATTAGATAGCTATTCAGGTTACCTTGGGAGCTCTGGCTACTCTCTTGAATGCTAAAACGTCTTTTTGTTATTTGGCAGATACAGACGGATTATATTGAGAACCTTATGACATTGGTTGTCAGTAAACCCTTTTTAGTGAGAGTTCAGGCATCTGTTAGGAGAATAGACTCTACCCTTCAAGTCTACTTTAGAACTAGAAGTATCGAGTTGGTTATAACTGTCATATATTTGTTCATGCTTTGGGGGCCCAGTTGAAGGCATGTGTTTAAAGTGCCATTATGAAATCCATCTTCAGCTACTTGCCTTTTTTTTTTTGGTATCCTGTGATTTCTCTGAAAATTAAAGTAGCATGAAATCATATAATAGAATGAATAAATGAAAGTTTAAAAAGATTAATATTATTGTAAAACTTTTTCAGGCTCTATAGAAAATGGAAGCTATAAATGCTTTATAAGTTCTTTTCATATCAGCAATGTGTGGTTTCATTTTACATGCTTGATTTTATTGCCAATTTATATATAGTCCTTTGAACATAGAATTGATTTGTATCCAAAATTGTTTGATGTAACAGCTGTTATATCAACAAGAAATTCTGATTTTTGTTCTTCAACATGATTCATACTTCATTCTAGACATGAAAATAAACCGTATGTTCCTAGTTCAGCACAAATGACAAGAAGGAAATTCCAAAAGGCTAAGCCAAATTTGGGAAGAGCACACAGTAAGAAAGAGGAACCAGTTTTAGAAAAAGTCACAACAGATCAGAGCAAGGAAGGCAAGCCAGAAGATCATTTGCTGCAGAAAGGAGCTTCCAACACCCAGCTCCTTCTAAAAGTAAGTTTGGGCAAAAAAAAAAAAAAAATTTTTTTTCTCAATGAGGTCTGTTTTGTCAAGATCATGAAGAGCATGAGTAAAATACAGTTTTGACTTCTGTACTGTAACCATTTTCATGAAAAGTGACTTT
This sequence comes from Homo sapiens, assembly GCF_000001405.40. Taxonomy (NCBI): domain Eukaryota; kingdom Metazoa; phylum Chordata; class Mammalia; order Primates; family Hominidae; genus Homo; species Homo sapiens. The sequence goes on from NT_187651.1 coordinate 1,052,596, forward strand.
CTAGTGTTGTAAAAGATGAGCAACCAACTGCTTGTAGATATGTGTAAACTTAGAGGTTTAGGCCAAACTACCAAACCAAATTAACATAGAGATTGTTTCTGTAGTAATACTAGCTAATTTCTTCTTAAATTTAAGGAAAAAGCTGAGCTTCTGACATCTCTGGAGGTTTCAGCAAGAAAAGATTGTGTAGGTTCCAAAGAGTCTGCTTTGGCAAAAATAGATGCGGAATTAGAAGAAGTTGGACCATCAAGAAGGGTTGGAGAGGAAACTGTAGGAGATAATTCACCATCTTCAGTTGTTGAAGAGCAATATCTCAATAAACTAACAAGGTAACATTTTATTTAACAAAATGTTTCACAATAAGAAATAAAAATCACTTAACTTTTACCTTAACTTACTGGTAGAACAAAATTTTTGGGTGTTGAGTCCATTAGACATGGGTAGAAACTTGACCAAAGAGGAGTATGTATGTATTAGCTAAGTAATTAAGGTGCTCATTCAAATGGAGTCACAAACACAAATAAAGAATACCCTACTTCTATAGTTTTCAAAGAAAATGGAAAGAAACTTAAGTTCTAGAAACCAGCACTGCTCTAGTGGATTTCTGCTGCCTCCTTTTTCTTTTAACCTATCTGTTTACCCAGTAGGATAAACTAATACCACATTTGATCTCATATTCTGTATTTATTGGTCCTGTGTCTTTTTTTGTTTTTGAGACAGTTTCACTCTTCTCGCGCAGGCTGGAGTACAATTGCGTGACTCGGCTCACTGCAACCTCCACCTCCCAGGTACAAGTGATTCTCCTGCCTCATCCTCCCGAGTAGCTGGGATTACAGGCGTGCACCACCGTGCCCAGCTAATTTTTGTATTTTTAGTGGAGATCAGGTTTCACCATGTTGGCCAGGCTGGTCTTGAACTCCTGACCTCAAGTGATCTGCCTGCCTCGTCCTCCCAAAGTGCTGGGAGTAGAGGCGTGAGCTACTGCGCCCAGCCGGTTCTGTGTCTTTTATCCCTTTTTCTTCTAATAATTTTCAGTTTTGTGTTTATTTTATCTTCACTTTCATATTACAGGAAAGAATGGTCCAGAATTAAAAACTTACTATGAAAAATTTGTAGGTAGATAACTAAGAATTAACTCTGAGTGAGAAACTAGTAGTTAATTCCTTTTTTATTTTCACAGCATAAGATTTTAAAAGAATGGGTGGTGGGAATTTTCATTTTAATGACTGGAACTGGAATTTCACTCTAAAAGTTTGGTTTTCATTAAAATTATCCTTGCATGCATATGACCTTATTGTTGTTTTGATTAAATATCTAGCTGTCCACAACCGTTAAACGAAACAAGTTACTCTAAAATTGCCCTGGATGGGAAAACAACTATCTCTTCTACATCTGAGTATGAGAGAAATCGTGGTGAAAGGAGAAGTCATAAAAAGTTCAAACCAAATGTCACCAGAGGTCGTGGATCAAAACGAGTTCGGGGTAAGACCTCTAAGAAGGAACCTAGAGCTTCCAAGGCCATGCTGGTGACTCTTCGGGCTTCCCAGGAAGAAGATGATGATGCTGACGATTTTGAGTCTGACTATGAGGAAGAAAGCTATCATCTTGCTCCCGAAGAAGTAAACAAAGCTCCAGTATTTGTACCTGTTGGTCTCAGATCTCCTGAACCTGTTTCTGCTCAGATTGAGGAAACAATGGAAGAGGTTCGGTTTTTTTTTAAAACCTTGGTACTTTATCTTACTTGGTTTTCACCTCTTGTTTCTTTTAGGGGATCATTATTTCTTCTCGTAGTGATTATTAGGATTTGAAGAGTTCATTCTCTAAATAACCTCTACCAAATATAATTTGGGGCCTTGTATAACCTTTTGTGATTGCTCAGTCCCTATGGCCCAGGCCCAGCAAGGGAGTCAGTGTAACAACGAGAGAAATCTGCTTACACTTGTACCTGGAAGCTGTTTAGTCTACTTTCTGATAATCTTTCTTTTTTTTTATTTTTTATTTTTTATTTATTTATTTTTTATTTATTTTTTTTTATTGATCATTCTTGGGTGTTTCTCGCAGAGGGGGATTTGGCAGGGTCATAGGACAATAGTGGAGGGAAGGTCAGCAGATAAACAAGTGAACAAAGGTCTCTGGTTTTCCTAGGCAGAGGACCCTGCGGCCTTCCGCAGTGTTTGTGTCCCTGGGTACTTGAGATTAGGGAGTGGCGATGACTCTTAACGAGCATGCTGCCTTCAAGCATCTGTTTAACAAAGCACATCTTGCACCACCCTTAATCCATTCAACCCTGAGTGGACACAGCACATGTTTCAGAGAGCACAGGGTTGGGGGTAAGGTCACAGATCAACAGGATCCCAAGGCAGAAGAATTTTTCTTAGTACAGAACAAAATGAAAAGTCTCCCATGTCTACCTCTTTCTACACAGACACGGCAACCATCCGATTTCTCAATCTTTTCCCCACTGTTCCCCCCTTTCTATTCCACAAAACCGCCATTGTCATCATGGCCTGTTCTCAATGAGCTGTTGAGTACACCTCGCAGACGGGGTGGTGGCCGGGCAGAGGGGCTACTCACTTCCCAGCAGGGGCGGCCGGGCAGAGGCGCCCCTCACCTCCCGGATGGGGTGGCTGGCCAGGCGGGGGGCTGACCCCCCCCACCTCCCTCCCGGACGGGGCGGCTGGCCGGGCAGAGGGGCTCCTCACTTCCCAGTAGGGGCGGCCGGGCAGAGGCACCCCTCACCTCCCGGATGGGGCGGCTGGCCGGGCGGGGGGCTGACCCCCCCACCTCCCTCCCGGACGGGGCGGCTGGCCGGGCGGGGGGCTGACACCCCCCACCTCCCTCCCGGACGGGGCGGCTGGCCGGGCGGGGGGCTGACACCCCTACCTCCCTCCCGGACGGGGCGGCTGGCCGGGCGGGGGGCTGACCTCCCCACCTCCCTCCCGGATGGGGCGGCTGGCCGGGCGGGGGGCTGACCCCCCAACCTCCTTCCCGGACGGGGCGGCTGGCCGGGCGGGGGGCTGACCCCCCCACCTCCCTTCCGGACGGGGTGGCTGGCCGGGCGGGGGGCTGACCCCCCACCTCCCTTCCGGACGGGGCGGCTGGCCAGGCGGGGGGCTGACCCCCACCTCCCTCCCGGACGGGGTGGCTGTTGGGCAGAGACGCTCCTCACTTCCCAGACGGGGTGGCTGCTGGGCGGAGGGGCTCCTCACTTCTCAGACGGTGTGGCTGCCGGGCGGAGGGGCTGCTCACTTCTCAGATGGGGCGGTTGCCAGGCAGAGGGTCTCCTCACTTCTCAGACGGGGCGGCCGGGCAGAGACACTCCTCACTTTCCAGACTGGGCAGCCAGGCTGAGAGGCTCCTCACATCCCAGACGATGGGCGGCCAGGCAGAGACGCTCCTCACTTCCCAGACGGGGTGGCGGCCGGGCAGAGGCTGCAATCTCGGCACTTTGGGGGGCCAAGGCAGGCAGCTGGGAGGTGGGGGTTGTAGCGAGCCGAGATCACGCCACTGCACTCCAGCCTGGGCACCATTGAGCACTGAGTGAACGCAACTCCGTCTGCCATCCCGGCACCTCGGGAGGCCGAGGCTGGCGGATCACTCGCGGTTAGGAGCTGGAGACCAGCCCAGCCAACCTCTGATTAATCTTTCAAACATTTTGGTGTTTTCTGGTTGATAGAGAAGCTAGAAGGGACATACTTTTTTTTTTTTGATTTGGACCAGGCATGGTGGCTCACGCCTATAATCCCAGCACTTTGGGAGGCCGAGGTGGGTGGATCATCTGAGGTCAGGAGTTTGAGACTAGCCTGACCAACAAGGTGAAACCCTGTCTCTACTAAAATACAAAAATTAGCTGGGCGTGGTGTCAGGTGCCTGTAGTCCCAGCTACTGGGGAAGCTGAGACAGGAGAATTGCTTGAACCCGGGAAGCGGAGGTTGCAGTGAGCTGAGATCGTGCCACTGCACTCCAGCCTGGGAGACAGAGCGAGACTCTATCTCAAAAAAAAAAAAAAAAAAAAAGAAGAGTGCTAAAATACATGTAACATAAAATTTACTATCTCTCTCTCTGTTTTTTTTTTTTTTTTTTTAAAGACGGGGTCTCAGTCTGTCACCCAGTCTGGAGTGCAGTGGTGGGATCTTGGCTCATTGCAACCTCCACCTCCCAGGTTTAAGTGATTATCCTGCCTCAGCCTCCTGTAGCTGGGACTACAGGTGTGCACCACCAAGCCTGATTAATTTTTGTATTTTTGGTAGAGGCAGGGTTTTACCATGTTGGCCAGGGTGGTTTTGAACTCTTGACCTCAAGCAATCCACCTGCCTCGGCCTCCCAAAGTGCTGGGATTACAGGCGTGAGCCACCATGCCCAGCCATCTTACTCATTTTTAAGTGTACACTTCAGTGGCATTAAGAACATTCACATGTACGTGTTGTCATGCTACCATCACTACCATCCATCCACAGAACTCTTTTTTAAAATTAATTAATTTAGAGATGGGGTTTCGCTATGTTGCACAGTCTGGTCTCAAACTCCTGAGCTCAGGCAATCCTCCTGCCTCGGCCTCCCAAAGTGCGGGGATTACAGGCACGAGCTACTGCGTTCTTTTTTAAGATGATTAAGACATCCCGCAATGAGTGGTTGTCCCCTAGCCTGGCAAAAAACCAAGATACAAGATACAAACACCCAACACCTGTCCCTTGAGCCCCATCTCTATGCCGTCTGGCCTGGTCACTCTCAGGTCTGCCTTGCACCCCTGGCGAACTCTTTTTATTTTGTTAAAACTGAAATTCTATACCCATTAAACAGTAACTCTCCATTCCTCCCACCCCCTAACCTTTTGGCAACCACTTTTCTACATCTTGTCTCTTTAATTTGACTCCTCATGTAAGTGGAATCATACAGTATTTTTTTGTGTGACCATTTTATTTCATTTAGCATAATGTTTTCACAGTTCATCTATGTTGTAGCTTATGTCAGAGTGTTCTTCATTTTCGAGGTTCAATAATATTCCATTGTGTGTGTGTATCATGTTTTGTTTATTCCTTTATCATCAATGGACACTTGGGTTGCTTCCACCTTTTGGCTGTTAGAAATAATGCTGGTATGAACATAGTTGTATAAATACCTCTTTGAATCTCTGCTTTTACTTTTTGCGGGATATACCCAGAAGTGGAATTGCTGGATCGTATGGTAATTCTTTTAATTCTTTTTTTTTTTTTTTGAGATGGAGTCTCTGTTGCCTAGGCTGGAGTAGAGTACAGTGGCGCAATCTTGGCTCACTGTAACCTCCATCTCCCAGGTTCAAGCAATTCTTCTGCCTCAGCCTCCCAAGAAGCTGGGATTACAGGCACCTGCCACCACACCCAGCTAATTTTTTTGTATTTTTAGTAGAGGTGGGGTTTCACCATGTTGGCCAGGCTGGTCTCAAACTCCTGACCTCAAATGATCCATCTGCCTGGGCCTCCCAAAGTGCTGGGATTACAGGTGTGAGCCACTGCACCCGGCCTCGATCTTATGTTAATTCTATACTTAACTTTTCAAGCAACCTTTATACTGTTTTTCATAGGGCTGTTATCATTTTACATCCCTATCAACAGTGTACAAGCATTGCAGTTTCGCTACATCCTCACCAGTCGTAGCTATGTTGTAACTTTGGCTAGTAATCATCCTAAGGGTTGTGAACTAGAGAAACGTGTTGAACATATTTAGCTTCCTTACACTTTTGCCTGTTAGTCTGCCATTCCAACTTTGTAACTTCAAAGTTTTCTGTTCTGCCTTAATTTTCAGTCACTTCTTTGGCTTACTGAGGAGCATATCTGAGTCAGTTTTGTGTAAGCATTCATGATAGTTTCTGAGTAATTTGAAATGAATCAGAGTTAACTAAGATAGTGGCAACAATAAAAGAAGCAGTAAGAAACAGTAAACAATTCAAGTAATGTTTAAGATAATTAAGGTAAACTTTACATGTTAATGTAATTCCATTAAGAATTAACGGATTATCTGAATCTGTAAAGTCACATTTATGAAGGGAAGTCAAAATCTACTTTTATTCAGTGTTAATAATAACCTGGTAAATGTTTTAGAGTAAATGAACTAATAAAATGGTTGAAGCTAATTTAAATGATGCAAAATGAGGTTGTTTCTTACAATTCAAAGTAAAGATAGTAAATGTAAGCATTATGTGAAACCAAGAAAATGCAGAAGGAAGAGTAATTTTGTGGAAAGATATCTGGTTAATGCTGCATGAGAGTTCATTTAGCTATATATTTTGTATTTTTCTTTAAGTGAAGGCAAATTGCTAGTGAAACTATCAGTAATTAATTTCTGAAAATTAGATTCCAGACTGTATCCCTGAATTAATACAGGCTATCTTTTTTAATAGCATTAATCATAGTAATTGACAAGGCTTTCCTTAGATTCTATTCCTTATGGCCAGCCTACTAAACAGGGAAATTCATATATATGTTAGAAAAAATGTTCTTTAAAAAGCATTGAGGCCAGGCACGGTGGCTCACACCTGTAATCCTAGCACTTTGGGAGGTTGAGGTGGGCGAATCACGAGGTCAGGAGTTCGAGACCAGCCTGGCCAACATGGTGAAACCCCATCTCTACTAAAAATACAAAAATTTGCTGGGCGTGGTGGTGGGCGCCTGTAATCCCAGCTACTTGGGAGGCTGAGGCAGGATAATCGCTTGAAACCAGAAGGCAATGGTTGTGGTGAGCCAAGATCACACCACTGCACTCCAGCCTGGGCGAAAGAGCGAAGCTCTGTCTCAAAAAACAAAAGCATTGAAAGGCCAGGCATGGTGGCTCATGTCTGTAATCCCAGTGCTTTGGGAGGTTGAGGCGGAGGATCAGTTGAGGGCAGGAGTTCAAGACCAGCCTATACAACATAGCAAGACCCTGTCTCTACATTCAGTCAATAAATTAGCAAGGTGTGTTGGTGCGTATCTATAATCCCAGCTACTCAGAAGGCTGAGTGGGGAGGGTTGCTTGAACCCAGGAGTTTGAGGTTACAGTAAGCTACAATCATGCCACTGCATTGTAGCCTGGACAACAGGAGGAGACAAAAGCTTTGAAGCACAATGGAATGTTTTTCAGCCCTAAAGGGATATAAAGTGTTGATATGTGTCACAACATGGATGAATTTTGGAAACCTTAGGCCAAGTGAAAGAAGCTAGTTACAAAGTATCGCATACTGTGTGATTCCATTCATATGAAATGTCCAAAATAAGGAAGTCCACAGAGACAGAAAGTAGATTAATGGTTGCCTAGGTTTTGGCAGATGGGGAAGAGAGGGGTTAAGGGAGAGATAGCTAATGGGTATAAGGTTTATTTTTGAAGTGACAAAAATGTTCCACATTTGAATGTGGTGATGATTGCACATATCTGTGAATATCCCAAAATACATTGAATTGTACACCTTAAGTGGGTTAACTGTATGTTATGTGAATTGCAAGTCTTTTTTAAAATAAACTGTATGATGCTTAAAAAACCAACTTTTACTTTATAGAATATTCCCTTTTCCCATCCAGTCCCAACTCTTCAAGAAGTATTTTTTCTTCTCAAATCATCTGAACTTTAAAATTTTTTTTTGTTACATTTATTTATTTTTCTTTTCTTTATTTTTATTTTTTTGAGATAGGGTCTTACTCCATTGCCCAGGCTGGAGTGCAGTGGCATGATTTCAGCTTGCTGCAACCCCCGCCTCCCAGGCTCAAGCAATCCTCCCACCTCAGCCTCCTGAGTAGCTGGGACTACAGGTGCACAACCACCACACCCGGCTAATTTTTTTTTTATTTTATTTTCAATAGAGATGGGGTTTTACCATGTTGTCCAGGCTGGTCTCAAACTCCTGAGCTCAAACAATCTGCCAACCTCAGCCTCCCAAAGTGCTGGGATTACAGGCATGAGCTACCGTGCCTGGCCTATTGTTTTTAAATTCATTTTTTTGGAGACAAGATCTTGCTGTGTTGTCCAGGCTGGCCTCAAACTCCTAGGCTCAAGCGACCCTCACACCTCAGCCTCCGAGTAGCTAGAACTACAGGCATGTGCCCCCGTGCTCACTTGAATTTTTTGGTTCATCCCAGTCCTGTCAGATATTACCAAAGATTTTTCTCTAAATTTTGTATCTGAGGAAACAGATGTGGTACATACAAATGTAATTATAACAAATATGTTGGCTGGGCACAGGGTCTCATGCCCATAGTCCCAGCACTTTGGGAAGCCAAGGTGGGCAGATCGCTTGAGTGCAGGAGTTCGAGACCAGACTAGGCAACATGGCGAAACCTCATCTTTACAAAAAATACAAAAATTAGGCATGGTGGCACATGCCTGTAGTCCCAGCTACTTGGAGGGCTGAGGCGGGAGGATTGCTTGAGCCTGAGAGGTTGAGGCTGTAGTGAACCCTGATAGTGCCACTGCACCGCAGCTTGGGCGATAGAGTGAGGCTTTGTCTCAAAAAAAAAATAACGTATGTCTTGAAGGCAGATTCTCAGACTTGACTCTTTACTCACAGTTTCTACTCAGCCATACAACGTTTTATACTGTTTTTTTCTGTTAATAAGAGAATAGGCCCAGGTGTTGTGGCCATCATCGCACCACCGCAGCTGGGGTGACATGAGTGAGACCCTGCCTCAGAATAACAAAAGAAAAACAAAAAAATAAGATAATAAGAACCAGACTATATTGTATGTATTCTAGTAGGTAAATACCTTTTTAGTGCTCAGATTACACGGCTCTTTAAGTAATAGGACTCACAAATGAAGAGTAAATATGAGTGAACTTCTTATTTTACATGGCTGTTGCCCTGGGTATCAAGAATCGTGCAGGCTTTGGGGTTTTGGGAGAAGGGAGTTGGTGTGGGGGCAGTGGTATGATAAATATTTTATTTATTTATTTATTTATTTTTGAGAACAACTTGTCACTCTGTTGCCCAAGCTAGAGTGCAGTGGCATAATCTCGGCTCAATGCAACCTCCACCTCCTGGGTTCAAGCGATTCTCCTGCCTCAGCCTCCCCAGTAGCTGGGACTACAGGCAGGCACCACCATGCCCGGCTAATTTTTGTATTTTTAGTAGAGATGGGGCTTCGCTGTGTTGGCCAGGCTGGTCTTGAACTCCTGACCTCAGGTGATCCACCTGCCTCGGCCTCCCAAAGTGCTGGGATTACAGGCGTGAGCCACTGCGCCTGGCCCGATAAATACTTCTAAGGGCTTTCAACTCATTATAGATAGCATTTATGACCGTATATAATTAGTTGATTACATGTCTGCTTTTCTGTTAGATTGTGAATTCATTGAGGATAGGGACTACACTTATCTTATTTGACTTTATATCCCTGTACACCTAGCCTTCTATAAATGTTAACAGACTGAACAGAGAAATTAGGGGGAAAGTGAGGACAAAGTGAAGAAAATGGAAAATGAAATGCCAGGCACTAAGAAGATGAGTCTTAGAAAATTTGCTTACTGGTTTTAATAGTCACAGCCACCTCAAAAATTTTAAATGTTTTACTTTTGCCAAGTTGCTGTCAGTCAATAAAAGAATTACTCCATTCCATTTTTTAAGTTATGTATGAATGTGGATTATTTCTTCATTTTAGCGTTTCATCTTACTTATTCATGTTGAAGATGAGGCTTTGTTTTGCTGTTTATAATATGCCAAAATGAAATGATAAAACTTTATTTTGACAGCTTGAAATAACTGTGAATGTCCCAGATGTAGGATGCATAGCTGTTGTTGAACATGAGCTACCAAACACAGATGTGACTACTGAAGAAATGAAACAAGAAGAAAATTTGAGTGTACCGTTTGTAAGCATCCATTTTAATATGTTTTGGCCTTTTATTCTTTGTTTACTTTGAAAAGACTGGAGGTTCCTTTTGATAGCTTTAGGTTTATAAACACTTTACTTAGCTAATTTCTCTTTGTAAGGAGCTGTTAGTCTGAGTAGTAAAAACTAGTGAAAGCAATGATTTTGTTTGTTTGTGGGCAGAGCTCTTAATATCCTCATAGACTTTTACATTAAAATTCAGTTGCATTAAATTTATACTAAGTATAAACAAGTTAAAATATATTCTGTTGCGTTTTATTTGCACTCTTCCATTATTGGTATTTATTTGCCTTTGCAAGCGGAGGCTTGAAATTGTAACTTTTTAAAAACAGCTTTATTGACATATAATTTACACACCATATGATTTTCTCATTATTTAAAGTGCACAATTAAGTGACTTCTAGTATCGTGCAAACATTATCACAGTCAATTTTAGGACATTTTCATCACCTCAAAAAGAAACCTTATTAGCAGTCACTACTCCTTTCCTCCCAACCCTCACTGGCCTGGGGAACCAATAATTTGCCTTCTGTCTTTATAGATTTGCCTGTTCTAGATGTTTCCTAGACATGAAATTATAAAATCTGATCATTTGTGTCTGGCTTTTTTCACTTAATGTAACATTTTTTACTGTTCATCTATGTTGCAGCATGTAGTGGTACTTCCTTACTTTTTGTAGCCTAATAATATTCCATATGGATATGGTACATTTTGTATATCCATTCATCCATTCATGAACATTTGGATTATTTTCATTTTTTGTGTGTTATACATAATGCTGCTGTAAACATTCATGTAGAAGTGTTTGTGTACAATATGTTTTTATTTCTCTTGGGTACATTTCTAAAAATGTAATTGCTGAGTCATATGGTAACTCTATGTTTCATCAGTTGAGGAACTGCCAAACTGTTTTCCAAAGTAGCTATACCCTTTTACATTCCCACCAGCAGTTTATGAGGGTTCCTGTTCTTCCATGTCCTTGCCGGCACTTGTTATTTCACTTTTTTTTTTGTTCGGTGGATTTTTTTTTTTTTTTTTGAGACGGCCTTGCATTGTCACCCAAACTAGAGTGCAGTAACACAATTGTAGCACACTACAGCTTTGACCTCCTGAGTGTAAATGATCCTCTCCACTCAGCATCCCAAGTAGCTGGGACTGCAGGTGTGTGCCACCATGCCCAGCTAATTTTTTTTTTTTGTAGAGGTGGGGTCTTGCTGTGTTGTTCAGGCTGGTCTCGTACTCCTGTCCTCAAGTGATACTTTTACCTCAGCCTTCCAAAGTGTTGGGATTACAGGCATGAGCCACTGTGTCTGGCTTGACTTTTTGGATCTAGCTGTCCTAGTGAGTGTGAAGTGGTGTCACATTGTGGTTTTGATTTGTATTTCCTTGGTGACTAATGATGTCAGGCACATTTTATGTTCCTATTGGCCATTTGTATATCATCTTTGAGAAATGTCTATTCAAATCTTTTGTCTGTTTTTCTTTTATTGTGCTATTTGTCTTTTTATTATTGAGTTGTAAGGAGTCTTTATATAATCTAGATAAAAGTTGCTTAGCAGGTATATGATTTGCAAATATTTCCTCCCTTTCTGTGGGGTTGTCTTTTCACTTTCTTGATTTCCTTTAAAGCAAAAAGTTTTAAATTTTGATGAAGTTCAGTTAATCTGTTTTTTCATTTGTTGCTCATGCTTCTGTTGTCAGATCTGAGTCCTTTGTCAAACCCAAGGTCATGAAGATTTACCCATTTTTCTTCTAAAAGATGATTTTTGCTTTTACGTTTAAGTCTTTGATCCATTTTGAGTTTATTTTTATACATGGATAACCTCATTATCCAACTTATGTCTTTTGCATGTTGCTATCCATTTGTCCTATCACCATTTATTCGAAAAGACTATTCTTTCCCCATTGAATAGTCTTGGCACCCTTATCAAAAATCAGCTGACCATAGATGTATGGGTTTATTTCTGAATTCTCAATTCTGTTGCATAGATCTATATGTCTGTTCTCATGCTGGTGATGCTATATTGATTACTGTTACTTTGTAGTAAGTTTTTTTTTTGTTGTTGTTGTTGAGATGGAGTCTCGTCTGTCGCCCAGGATGGAGTGCAGTGGCATGATCTCAGCTCACTGCAAGCTCCGCCTCCTGGGTTCACACCATTCTCCTGCCTCAGCTTCCCAAGTAGCTGGGACTACAGGCGCCCACCACATTTTGAGACGGAGTTTTCCTCTTGTTGCCCAGGCTGGAGTGCAATGGCGCGATCTTGGCTCACCACAACCTCTGTCTCCCTGGTTCAAGCAATTCTCCTGTCTCAGCTTCCCGAGTAGCTGGGATTACAGGCATATGCCACCACGCCCTGCTAATTTTGTATTTTTCGTAGACACGGGGTTTCTCCATGTTGGTCAGGCTGGTCTCGAACTCCTGATCTCAGGTGATCCACCCGCCTCTGCCTCCCACAGTGCTGGGATTACAGGCATGAGCCACCGTGCCCGGCCTGGGATTGTTTTCTTAATTTCATTTTTGGATTGTTCGTTGCAAGTGTGTAGAAATAAAAATGATTTTTGTATATTAGCTTTATATCCTGCAACTTCTTTGGTGGATTCCTTAGGATTTTCTATTTGTCAAATCATGTCATCTGCAAATAAAGATAGTTTTACTTCTTTCTGTATTAGTTTCCTAGGATCACTGTAACAAAGTACAGATGCTCCTCGACTTATGAGGAGATTATGTCCTGATAAACCCATCATAAAATAACAATTTTTTTTTTTTTTTTAAAGACAGAGTCTCACTCTGTTGCCCAGGCTGGAGTGCAATGGCGCAATCTTGGAGGCTCACTGCACCCTCCGCCTCCCAGTTTCAAGTGATTCTCCTGCCTCAGCCTCCAGAGTAGCTGGGATTACAAGCGCCCGCCACCACATCCAACTAATTTTTGTATTTTTAGTAGAGATGGGGTTTCACCATGTTGGTCAGGCTGGTCTCGAACTTCTGACCTCAGGTGATCTGCCCACCTTGGCCTCCCAAAATGCTGGGATTACAGGTGTGAGCCACCGTGCCCGGCCTAAAATAAAAAAATTTTAAGTCGGGTACTCTTTGCACCACAAACTTGATAGCTTATAACCACAGAGAATTCTCCAGGCACTTATGGAGATGAGAAAAACAAAACAAAACAAATTTATTCTCTCACAGCTTTAGAGTCTAGAAGTCTAAAATCAAGGTGTCACCAATGTTGGTTCCTTCTGGAGGCTCTGAGGAAGAACCATCCCATGCCTTTCTCCTGCCTTCTGGTGGTAGCCGGCAGTCCTTACCATTTCTCAGCATGCAGCAGCATACTTCCACCCTCTGCCTCCATTACCACATGGCATTTTCCCCTTGTGTATGTGTAACCTCTCATCTTATAAGGAAAGGACACCAGTCATATTGGATTAGCACCAACTCTAATCCAATATGACCTCATCTAAATTTGATTATATCTACAAATACCCTATTTTTAAATAATGTCATATTCACATTATTTGGGTTTAAGACTTTGACATATCTTTCTAGGGGACACAATTCAACCTTTGATACTTTCTGACCTGAATGCCTTTTATTTCTTTTTCTTGCCTAACTGCCCTGGCTAGAACCTATAGTTCAAAGTTTAATAGAAGCGAGAGTGGGCATTTTGGTCTTATTCCTGATCTTAGGGGTAAAGTATCCAGTCTTTCATCATTTATTTTTTTCATAATTGAGATTTTATTGGTTGTGTTGAGGATCAGTACACAATTCTTCACATTTATACCGAAAATCTAAAAAGCCATGTATTGTAATTATTTTTAAGTTACTCTGGTGACTTTCCAGCTTAAAATTTGGAGGCAAGTTTTCATTAAAAGGCTATCAAGTACCAGTATCCTTACATGTTGATAAACTGTTACATACTTCCACAATTTGCAGTTAAATAGCATATATACTGCATACTCAAATTTTCAGTCTTTCACAGCACATTAACAAAATTATTAGGAAAACAGGACTACCACAACCAAAGATTTATAGAGTGCATACAATTCTGACAGGGAGAGCCATGATCAAGGAGTGGTTTTCTTTAGGAAGCAATTCTGCTAAAAAACAACATGGGCCCAGGCGCGGTGGCTCATGCCTATAATCTCAGTAATTTGGGAGGTGGGAGGATCACATGGTAGTTCAAGGCCAGCCTGGGCAACAGAGGGAGACTCTGTCTCTACAAATATGTTTTTTAAAAGTTGGCCAGTCATGGTGGCATGCGCCTGTGGTCCCAGCTACTGTGGAGGCTGAGGCAGGAGGATCGCCTGGGCCCAGGAGGTTGAGGTTGCAGTAAGCTGTCATCGCCGTCACTGCACCCCAGTCTGGGCATCAGAGCAAGACTCTGTCTCAAACAAACCTGAACCAGGTCGAGCGCGTTGGCTCACGCCTATAATCCCAGCACTTTGGGAGGCCGAGGCAGGCAGATCACAAGGTCAGGAGTTTGAGACCAGCCTGGCCAACATGGTGAAACCCCGTCTCTACTAAAAATACAAAAAATCAGCCGGGCATGGTGGCACATGTCTGTAATCCCAGTTACTTGGGAGGCTAAGGCAGGAGAATTGCTTGAACCCAGGAGGCGAAGACTGCAGTGAGTGGAGATTGCACCATTGCACTCCAGCCTAGGCAACAGAGCAAGACTCTGTCTCAAAGCCAAAAAACCAAAAAACCAAAAAAAAAAAAAAAAAAAAAAAGAACCAGAACCAAACCATGGGAATAAAAGTAACTTAAAAATTTCAAGACATCAGATACAGGACTGTGACTCCATATTGCCAGTTAATATAGTGGAATGTTAAGATGATACCCAAGACAGTCAAAGCCTCCCATAATTCAATATCGCACACTGTTTTCTGGTTGTACCAAAAAATAAACAACTGGAAAATGATTTTTACCCTTAAAAGCATGTACACTTAAAAAATGGGATGAGGTGGGATTTCCTTCTTCTTAAAAATGTTTCTAGAGTTACTAAAAAACTTGCATTTGTGAAATAGTTGAGAAAAATATTCCTCTGGAATGTACAAGAAGGGAGACAGGTACTATTGGTAAGACATAGTATATGATATTAATCAGACTTGGCTTTTTTTCTCTCTGGGCTTCATCAGAGGCTGGACTTTCCTTGGTTTTTGTTTCTCTGTTTTCTGTAGGTAAATCTGATTTCTTGGTTAGCCACTTTGGTTTGTTTTCCCTTTGTTCCCCGTTTTTCTCTTGTTTGCACTTTTTTTGTCTGGAGATTTATCCTTTCCTGCTGCCTTTTTTGGCTTTGTTTCCACTTTTGCAGGAGCAGGTTTAGCTGACAGTCATACTAATCTCATCTTGGGCTCTTTCCTTCACCGCCCTTCTGCTGAGCTGATCTTCCTCTTGGGCATCTTGTGGTCAGGAGTGTGCATGCTGGGTGCCTGTGAGCCGCACCATGCTGAGAGCCTTCTCAAAGCTGGGCTGCCTGGCTGCTACCACTCCTCCCATCCTGTCTTATCATTAAGTATGATGTTACCATGGATTTTTCATAAACGTCCTTTACCAGGCTAAAGAAGTTACTTTCTATTCCTAGTTTGTTGAATGTTTCTTTCATTAAAGGGTGTTGGAATTTGTCATATGCTTTTTCTGCATTTATGGAGATGATCATGTGAATTTTGTTTTTCATTGTATTTTTTGGACGTTAAACCAACCTTGCTTCCCCAGGATAAATTCTAGGATCATAATGTCTAATTTTTATTCATTGTTGGATTCAGCTTGCTAGTATTTTATTGGTGATTTTTATGTCCATATTCATAATAGATATTGGTCTGTACTTTTCTTGTGATGTCAGGAGATGAAGTCCTACTCCCCTAGGGAAAAATGCTCTCCAGGTGGGACCTTGGGGACTGGGGGCCTTGTATTTTTGGGTGCAGCAGTTTGAGGTGGAGTCTCTGCCATGCTGAGCTGGGAGGAAGGAGAGAGAAAGAGCAGTGTTAGTTCACATAGACTCTCACCTTTGTTAGCAAATTTTCAGATTTTCTTGAACAGATATTTCTTCATTTGCTTTTTGTCGTTAGGATCAGTTTCAGAGGCTTTTAAATGTTTTGTTTTTAAAATCAGTTTCACTGAGGAGTGGGTCAGTGAAGCTTCTCAAGCTGTCGCTCTGGACATTGGTTCTGTAACTTCTTAATTTATTAAAATGCATTTAAGTTTTAAGCTACGTAGTAGTATAAAAATTTTGCAATACCCTTTAGGCCTTGGTTTCCATTGGGTAAAAATTGGCAGCAGATATGACTAGAGTTGAAGGATTATGAAAATGAAGAAGTAAAGTAAGAATGGTAGACGTACATAACAAAATGATAAGAGTTAAAATTTGCACATAATACAAGAAAAAGATAAAGTCAGGAGCAAGAGACACAAGAATTTTGCCTTTAAATTGTTTATGTTCTTGCTGGTGAAATTTTGTGAATAATTATAAATTAAGACAAACCAGTTTACACTATTGTAGCTAAAAGTATGGAAAGACCTCTGAAAATGTAGTGCATGCTGAGAAACAGAACATGTTTGGGGAAGTATTTTAAGATGTTACTTATTTTTTTCCTTTTTAGGAAATGACCACAAGTGAACATATCCAAGATGAACCAGGTAACTGTTATCAAGGAAACTGCTAAGACTACCTTGATTAACACTAGTACAGTGATTTAATAGTGGGGATAATAAATGAATCAGTTTGCTGGAGAGTTTAACAAAAAGATTCAGCTATTGAATGTGTTGTCTCTGTGAGAAATGTGGATTCTTGGAATGTTATTTTAGAAGGTGAATTAAAAAAATGTTTAAGAAGTATTTGAGCATTTCCTCTGGATCTTCACAAATGGGAGAGCATTTTCCTTGAAGATATTATTTAATGGGAGGGAGGCATGGTCAGTGAGTCAAAACCAACAGTGATGATTTATTTATTTGTAGCATATAACCTGAACAAAAGACTACCTTAGTAAGGGATTAATGGCTCAGAGGATATTGGAATCTGCTCCTAGGAGATAAACACCTTAATTAAAAATCTTTTTTAAGTGAACAGATTTCCGGATTCATTCTTTTTTTTAATGTTGATATATTTCCTCACAAGGTACCAATGATGGAAGCACCGAAGCTGCAATAACTTTACTTACAATGGGAGATCTAGTATTGCAGTCAGAGATCAGTAGTGAACAGGGTGATGGTAAGAATGAAAGCTAAGTCCTATCAAAAATAGAAACTTTTAAAACCTAACTTAAGAAATTATACCCACATTTGAGTAATAACCCTTTTACCTTTGAAGTTGTCTCCATTTTGTTGTTCTTCCATAAAATATGATATGTATGTATTGATCCATCCACTATTTTACTACTGTTTAGGTGTAGTGACAGCTAATTCAAGATCATGCTCTTGGTTTATTAAGAATAATTTGTATTCATGGAATAGTTGTATGCATGGAATAGTTGTATGCATGGTAAAGGTAGTGAATACTACCTTTACCATCATAAATGTCATTGGTTAACTGAGCTCATTGATCACTGATATAGTTTATACATGTGTCTTTTGCAAAGGAGTTGCTGCTTGGGATGGTATTCACAATTAGATGACAAATAGAGCACAAAGAGACAATAGCACTCATTGAAATAATTTAGTTTAAACTGTTCTCAGTTTGGACAGAGCCAAAAGATATATCAACCAAGATTTTTAACTTATTAGATGGAAATCACAGACAAGTGATAAATCTTTACTATCTCAATATCTTTTAATTGCATGAAATGAATAATTATACTATTCCTGGTAATTATTTTGCCTGGTTACCATTCATTTTATTTACTTATTTATTTATTTGAGACGGAGTTTGGTTATGAGTAGCCTACCATTCATCTTATTTATTTATTTGAAGCAGAGTTTCGCTCTTGTCACCCAGGCTGGAGTGCAATGGTGCGATCTTGGCTCACTGCAACCTCTGCCTCCCAGGCTCAAGCAATTCTCCTGCCTTAGCCTCTCAAGTAGTTGGGATTACAATCGCATGCCACCATGCCCAGCTAATTTTTGTATTTTTAGTAGAGTTGGGGTTTCACCATCTTGGCCAGGCTGGTCTCGAACTGCTGACCTCAGGTGATCCACCCGTCTTGGCCTCCCAAAG
Source organism: Homo sapiens (assembly GCF_000001405.40). Lineage (NCBI taxonomy): Eukaryota > Metazoa > Chordata > Mammalia > Primates > Hominidae > Homo > Homo sapiens. The sequence goes on from NT_187651.1 coordinate 1,070,567, forward strand.
TGCTGGGATTACAGGCATGAGCCACCGCACCCAGCTTCCATTCATTTTAAGTATTAGACTTTTGGGCCAGATGCAGCAGCTCATGCCAATAATACCAGCACTTTGGGAGGCTGAGGCTGGTGAATGCTTGACTTCAGGAGTTCAAGACCAGCCTGGGCAACATGGTGGAACCCCGTCTCTACAAAAAATACAAAAAATTAGGCAGGCATGGTGGTGTACACTTGTAGTCCTAGCTGCTTGGGAAGCTGAGGTGGGAGGATCGCTTGAGCTCAGGAGGTCAAGGCTGCAGTGAGCTGAGATCGCACCACTGCACTCCAGCCTGGGTGACAAAGTGAGACACTGTCTCAAAAATAGATAAATAAAGACATATTAGACTTTTAGGCTTGGAACCATGTATTTATCAGGAAAGTCTCTGATTTGTGTTCTGTATAGGGCTCCTTTCTTAGTGGCAGAGTATTGCAGTACAGCCTGTCAAAAACATATAGAACATAAAGTACATATAGAACATAAAGGTTTTAAAAATCTTAAATGCTGACAGTGCTGTCTTGAAATCCATCTGAGATTATATAATTACTGAAAGTAACAAAAGAACTCATTTTTACTAATAATCGGATAAAATTCCAGTCTGTAAGGATTATTAAGCTCACAACAGGTCAAATCCCTGGCATGAAATAGGGAGATCATAAATTTACAGCCAACAAGGGCAAAATTTATTTATTTCTAAAATCTTTTTCTATTGCTGCCACACAAATGAAGCAAACTTTAATAATACAGAATTTTACAATTACTAAATGTTGAGGAATTTATTTTGAGCATCTATAATTTGGTCCATTTTAATTTTGTTTTTTTTTTTTTTCTTCAGTAGGAGTATGTATAATTCCTCATGTTCATTCAAAGGATAAAAGCCATATTCCTTCTAGCCTAGATAATGTAAATCACAAAATTGTTCATGAATGTCAGGAACTTTCTTCACCTGTCATTACTACATCTCCTGCATCATTTGAAGAAAACAAGATTGTATTGGAGGAACAAAGTTCCAGAGAAGAAATAAGTTTAATGGAGAAAGTAAAGGAGAATGCTACACCAACCAGGTTTATTTTAGTATTCAATTAATAAATATTACTAAAACCACCATCAAATTAGTTAATAGCTTTGAGTAATGCTTTAAATGTAAAGTAGGCAATGCTAATTTCTTACCCTTTAAAGATAGACTGATTTTGATTTTAGGTTAGTGGTTTGCATGTTTAAATTATAGTAGTAAATGTTGTGTATCTTTGAAGCTTTAATGAAATAGATTTATGTAAATGTCTCTGTTTTACAAATACAGACTAAATTCTCTTCTTAAGACCTCTAGTAAAGTTACTACTTTGTAATTTTAGTATTAAGAAATGAACACTTGTAGACAGTGTGGCACCTAACAGGTCATTCACTCTATCAGTGCTAGACAGACTGTATTAATGTGAGAGAGCAAGATCTAACATGATTCATGAATTTCTCTATCTTCTGTTTTTAGGAATACAATTTCTAAAGTGACCAGTAATTTGAGAATAAGAAGTAGGCTTGCTAAGCCTAAACCAAATCTTGAGAAGACTTTAGGGACCAACAGGCTTGATGATTATCAGGAAGTTTCCAGTTTGTGTGTAACCAAAGGGGCAGAAATGGAAACTCAAAGAGGTAAATTTTATTCTCTTAATATGTTGCAAAATCATTTTGACACAAGAAATTACATTAACATTTCAAAGAAATATTTGGTCATTAAATTGTTTTAACTTACAATAAAATAGTTTCAAATTAAAAAGTAAGACGAGCTATAAAATAAATACCCATAAATCTACCAATTGGTTTTAGTAATTAATACCATTTTGCTACATTTGTTTGATCAATTTTTTGTCCTTTTATTCTCTCTCTGTCTCTCTCTTTCTCTCATTCTCTCTCTCTCATAGTTGACCCTTGAACTAGGGGCACTGACCTCCCCATTCAGTCAGAAATTTGTGTATAGGCTGGGTGCAGTGACTCACACCTGTAATTCCAGCACTTTGGGAGGCTTGAGCCCAAGAGTTCGAGGCCAGCCTGGACAATAGTGACACCCTGTCTCTTATGAATTGAAAACATATATATATATATATTCATGTATAACTTTTGACTCCCCAAAAACTTACCTACTAATGGCTTACTGTTGATCAGAAGCCTTATTGATAAGATAGTTAATTAACACATATTTTGTATTTTATTTGTGTTATATACTGTATTCTTATGATAAAATGGGCTGGAGAAAATTAAAAAAAAATTGTTTTTTCTGTTTTTTCAACTCATGTCCTTGAGCCGTAGAGAAGTGAAAATGTTATGAGCCATAGAGAAATGAAAATGTTATGAGCCATAGAGAAATGAAAATGTTACTAAGAAAGTCAGACTGGGGCTGGGCACAGTGGCTCATGCCTGTAATCCCAGCACTTTGGGAAGCCAAGGTGGGTGGCTCATTTGATGAAACCAGACTGGGCTGGGCCACAAGGCAAAATCCCATCTCTACAAAAGTACAAAAATTAGCCAGGCATGGTGGTGCATGTCTGTAGTCCTAGCTACTCAGGAGGCTGAGGTGGGAGTATCACCTGAGCCTGGGGAGGTTGAGGTCGCAGTGAACTGTGATCATGCCACTGTACTCCGGCCTGGGCAGCAGAGTGAGACTTCATCTCAAAAAAAGAAAAAAGAAAAAAGAAAATCAGGCTGGGCACGGTGGTGGTGCACACCTGAAATCCTAGCCCTTTGGGAGGCAGAGGCAGGAAGATCACGTGAGCCCAGGAGTTTTGAGACCAGCTTGGGCAATATAGGGAGACCTTGTCTCTACAAAATAATTTTTAACAGTTAGCCAGACGTGGTGGCACACACCTGTGGTCCCAGCTACTCAGAGGTTTGAGCTCGCCAGATCAAGGCTGTCGTAAATTGTGATATTGCCACTGCACTCTAGCCTGGGTGACAGAGCAAGACCCTGTCTCAAAGAAAAATAAAAGGAAGAAAATTATAAGGAAGAGAAAATACATTTTCAGTACTGCATTGTATTTATTAGTACCAAAAGTTTATGTCATCTGTTTACAAGATGAAACATCTGTCTGAAATGGTGGGCAACCCCAACTACAGGTGTCAACCTGTAATACATATCAAGCAATTCAGCTTTTTCTTACAATGTTATGACTCTCTCTGCTTCTTGGGAGTGCTTCCAACATCATTAATGATACTTTGTATGGGTCCCATGGGGTTATTCACAATATTGCACTAAACATGATGAAAAATACATGAGAACCATGAGAGGTCACCTTTTCTAAAACCTCTCTCAACGTGCAGTCTCAAATTACCTCTTCTATATAGAAGTCTTTTTTTCCCCGTTTGTGATATTATTCTTTGCAGTGCAGCTCCTTTTCCAAGACTTCCTCTAAAGTGGAACTAGCCCAACCTCGGTGTACCCACCTCGAAGTCTCTTTTATATGTTGAGTTTCTAATTATTGATGCTAGTACCATAAAATGAGGATACAATTATCATGGCAGCCATGAGTGAAATTTTTGTAGAACAGGATTTATTAATCATGTGTTTTACTGTTCAAAAATCTATTAGCTAGGACTTTCTGCCATGTGTATAAGCCTGATTTGTGGAATAAGAGAAGTTTGGAAGAGTCACTATATAGGAATCTTCCTTTTAAGAGGGCATATGTTTCTAATACAGGGATTTTAGCTGTATTATTTTGGTCTATATCGTAAGTGTGCTTTTTGTTTAAGAAACAGAGAAAAATGCTTCCAAAGCAACAGAATTGGAAAATAAAAACCTCGGACCAGTTACAACAGCAGAGAATAAGGATCAGAGCAAATTGGCATGTGTACATGGTATCAAAGGGACCAGTATTTCTTCAGAAGTAAACCTAACTGAAAGGTAAAAGAGTGAAGAGGTTCTGAGATTCAGTTTATATTGTTTCAGCTATAGCCTTAAGTTGTGGCTGTAAGAATTTGAAAAAGAAGTTCTGGCCGGGCACGGTGGCTCACGCCTGTAATCCCGGCACTTTGGGAGGCCAAGACGGGAGGATCACGAGGTCAGGAGATCGAGACCATCCTGGCTAACACGGTGAAACCCCGTCTCTACTAAAAAATACAAAAAATTAGCCGGGCGTGGTGGCGGGCGTCTGTAGTTGTAGCTACTTGGGAGGCCGAGGCAGGAGAATCGTGTGAACCTGGGAGACGGAGCTTGCAGTGAGCCAAGATCGCGCCACTGCACTCCAGCCTGGGCGACAGAGTGAGACTCTGTCTCAAAAAAAAAAAAAAAAAAAAAAAAAAAGTCCTATTGCATTAAATATGTTTTAAAAGTTTGAAAACCATTGAATTAGATGATCTTTTACACACCTAGCTCTAAAAATAATTCCATGATTTGCCTGATTTCAAATGACATGCATGCTAAACTCTCTTTCAGAAACGAAAATCAAGAAGAGAGCTCTCAGGAGGTTCACATGTTGTCAGTTGCTCCAGTTGCTTCCTCTGAGACAGGGCCCTGCACACTTGGTTTGGATAGGGGTCTTGGTGAAAATTCTGTTGAAGAGCCCCAGATAAAGGACTCTAAAGGAGACAGTGTGCTTACACTTCCTGTGCCAGAGGTAAAAGAATGTACAGTATAATAAGGGATAGCAAGGTGTTTTCCTCCATTTAAAAAAAAAAAGGTATAATTTACATACAATAAACTTCACCTCTTTTATCTTCATTTTTCTTTATTTCTTCTTTTTTTTTTGGAGACAGTCTTGTTCTGTTGCCCAGGCAAGAGTGCAGTGGTATGATCTCAGCTCACTGCAACCTCTGCCACCCAGATTCAACAGATTCTCCTGCCTCAGCCTGCCAAGTAGCTGGGACTACAGGCATGTGTCACCACAGCCAGCTAGGTTTTGTATTTTTAGTAGAGACGGGATTCGCCATATTGGCCAGGCTGGTCTTGAACGCCTGGCTTCAAGTGATCCACCTGCGTTGGCCTCCAAAAGTGTTGGGATTACAGGCATGAGCCACTGTGCCTGGCTAACTTCACCCTTTTTAGTGTACAGTTCTTCAGGTTTTTATAACTATGCAGTCATGTAACCAATACATGAACAGTTCCATAAAAAGTTCCCCAAGTGAGAGAAGCCTTGGACTTGAAGAACATGTATACATTATCCAGTTAAAGGGAGAGGAACGTGTGTGTAAAGAACAGGTGTGGACCGGTTGCAGTGGCTCACACTTTTAATGCCATTAAAAAAAAAAAAAGCCAGGCATGGTGGCATTTGCCTGTAGTCCCAGCTACTCAGGAGGCTGAAGTGGGAGGATCGTTTCAGCCTGGGAGGTAGAGGCTGCAGTGAGCTGTGGTCGCCATGCACTCCAGCCTGGGAGACAGAGTGAGACCCTGTTTCCAAGAACAAACCAGTATGAAACAGCATGTAAGCAGTATGAGTGGAATATTAATGAAGAAAGTGATTAGAGATGAACTTAGAAAGATAGCCTGCAGACAGATCATAAAAGGATTTTTATGACTTGCTAAGGAGTTTGGTTACATTTAAAGTTACGAGATTCCTTACCCCACCCTGACTTTTTAATTTTTACTTTTTATTTTGAAAAATTTTAAACTTAGAAGTTACAAAAATCTTACAAAGAATTATCCCATACACTTCACTTTGATTCATTAATTGTCAATATTTTGCCTCATTTGTTTTTTTACTCTGTCTTGCTCTCCATCTGTATAGATAAATACTTGGCTGGGTGGGGTAGCTCACGCCTGTAATCCCAGTACTTTGGGAGGCCGAGGTGGGCAGATCACCTGAGGTCAGGAGTTCAAGAACAGCCTGGCAAACAAGGTGAAACCCCATCACTACAAAAATACAAAAATTAGCCAGTCGTGGTGGCATGCACCTGTAATCCCAGCTACTTGGGAGGCTGAGGTGTGAGAATTGCTTGAACCCAGGAGACAGAGGTTGCAGTGGCCAAAGATCGTGCCATTGTACTCCAGCCTGGGCGACAGAACAAGACTCTGTCTCAAAAAAAAAAAAAAAAAAAAAAAAAAAACCAAAAAACTGAATCATTTGAAAGTAGGTTGAGTCCATAAATACCTCATCTTGTATCTAATAAGGACAAGGAAGTTCTCTTACAGAGAAAGGACAGTACTGTTGTCACACTCAGTATTACTACACTATTTAACATTGTCTCAACAATATGTAATATACAGTTTCATTCCAGTTTCCCTAGTTGTCCCAATCATGTCCATTATAGCTTTTTTTCTTTTTGAGACAGAGTCTTACTCTGTCACCCAGGCTGGAGTGCAGTGGCACGATCTCAGCTCACTGCAACCTCTGCCTCCCAGGCTCAAGTGATTCTTGTGCCTCAGCCTCCCAAGTAGCTGGGATTAAAGGTGTGTCCCACCACACCTGACTAATTTTTTCGTATAATATTTTTAGTAGAGATGGGGTTTCACTATGTTGGCCAGGCTGGTCTTGAGCTCCTGGCCTCAAATGATCTGCCCACCTCAGCCTCCCAAAGTGCTGGGATTACAGGTGTGAGCCACCACGCCTGGCCAGCTTTTTTTTTATTTTTCTTAAATTCAAGATCCAATCAGGGCTCTCACATTGCATTTGATTATCCTTTCTCCTTATTTTCCTTTAATCTAGAGTATTTTTCTTGTCTTTTTGTTCACAAAAGAGAAAAAGCAAGAGAAGTTTAGACCAGTCTAGGCTGGCCTACAGTCTGGATTTCTTTTTTTTAATTGCTTCCTCATTACTAGATTCAACTTACATATTTTAGGGCAAGATTACTATATAGGTAATAATGTGTTCTTCCTTTTATATCACATCGGGAGACACATAATGTCAGTTTGTCCCATTATTGGTGATGCTGACTGATCACTTGGCTAGAATGGTACCTACCAGATTTCTTCATTATAATGGCATCTTTTCCATTCTGTATTAGTAACTTGTCAAATGAGACCAACGCAGCAAGCTGTTACCCTGTAGTTTTAATATCCACTGATGATTCCTGCCTTAATCAGTTACTGACATTGTTGGTTACAAAATGAAAGTTTTAAGATTTTAAGCAGGCCAGGCGCAGTGGCTCACACCTGTATTCCAGCTCTTTGGGAGGCTGAGGCGGGTGGATCATGAGGTCAAGAAATTGAGATCATCCTGGCCAACATGGTGAAACTCTGTCTCTACTAAAAATACAAAAATTAGCTGGGCATGGTGGTGTGTGCCTGTAGTCCCAGCTACTCAGGAGACTGAGGCAGGAGAATTGCTCGGACCCAGGAGGCAGAGGGGCGGAGGTTGCAGTGAGCCGAGATTGTGCCACTGCACTCCAGCCTGGCGACAGAGCGAGACTGTCTCAAAAAAATAAATAAATAAATAAAATAATAAAAGATTTTAAGCAGTAGAAGCCCGGCATAGTGTCTTACACCTATAATCCCAGCACTTTGGGAGGCCTAGGTGGGTGGATCACTTGAGCCCAGGAGTTTGAGACCAGCCTGGGCAACATGGCAAAACCCCATCTCTACCCTTGAAAAATACAAAAAAATTAGCCAGGTGTGGTGGCGTGCATCTGTACTCCCAGCTACTCAGGAGGTTGAGGTGGGAGGATCGCTTGAGCCCAGGAGGCGGAGGTTGTGGTGAGCTGAGAGATTTTAAGCAGTAGAGAATTACAGTCAGGATTGCATTTTAGAAAAACCATGTTTGTGGTTTTTTGGAAAACAGGAGGGAACCATACTGCATGCAGGGAAAGCAGTTTGCCTTCATTCAGATGTCACCTACTAATAGTACAATGGCTGGTGTGATGGGAGTAGAGAAAAAGTTGTGGGGTTTGGGTCTCCCTATCCTGTCACTTCAAAAATCATTTCATAAAATGCACATATTTAACAATGTAGTCAGGATTCTTTGTATTAATATTTATTTAAATGAATCAAAAGTTTATTGGAACAGCCTAAAGCTTCAAACACTTGAAAACTGTATATGGTTAGATGTTGTTGAGTTAATCTCTTCACTATATCATATTGACAGGAATAACTTTTTAAATGTAAGATTTGGCCAACCTGACTCTTTCATTTTAATTTTTTATGGCAGTATACACCAACAAGTATTCCAGAAGTCCAACAAGAGAATATAATCAATCCTCAAGACCTAACAGGTATGATAATATGCTTCAGTGACATGTCATAGAACTTAGTTGTATGATTTTTACCCCTTATTTAACTATGGAAAAACATAAAACAGTTGTATTTTAGTCTATGCTGGCCTTAAATTTAAAACGTTTTATAGAAACACCTTGAAGTATTTTGTGTATCAGTTTTGTTTTTCAGAGTCATAAATCTTCTCCCTAGTATATCACCTTTATCCTTTATGAAATTACTTCTTGGGCCAGTCATGGTGGCTCACTTTGGGAGGCGGAGGTGGGTAGATCACTTGAGGCCAGGAGTTCGAGACCAGCCTGGCCAACATGGTGAAACACCATCTCTACTAAAAATACAAAACTAGCCAGGCACGGTGGCATGCACCTGTAATCCCATCTACTTGGGAGACTGAGGCACAAGAATCGCTTGAACCCAGGAGGCGGAGGTTGCAGTGAGCCGAGATTGTGCCACTGTATTTCAGCCCGGGCGACAGAGCGAGACTCTGTCTCCCCCCCGCAAAAAAGGAGGGAACTTACTTCCTCAGGCTGGGGGGTTGTTGGGGGGAGCATTTATTTATTTAGTCTTGATGATAAGTTGTCCTGAGACTGTCTTTTTAGAAATGAAATAAATTAATGATACTCTGTTATTTCATAGTTGAGCTTTTTTATTACTAACTTTTAAACTTTGATAGTGAATCTAGTTGCTAATGTACCTCAAGATGGAGAAGATGAACAAGCCTTTATTTTAACTCTGGTGGAAATCCCAGCCAATGCAGTAGAAGAATTTACTGATGCCACTGCACAGTTCATGCCAAACCCTTTACTGCCAGCTCCCATATTGGTCAAATCAGTGAATACCGAAGAAAGGGGTGACATGAGGTAACGAATGAGTGAAACTGTTTTTGCTAGGAGGAAAAGTGATTTATGAACTAAGTAGCATTGATTGAACAAACCATTCACCAATGTTAGTTGTTATTGTTGTGGAGATCTTATTTATCATTTATGTGGTAAGTTAGAGAAGAAATGTAATGTGGTAGATTTTATATCTGATAAAGATGCCACTTAAATGTTTCATGTATTAGTTTTGTATGAAACTTGTTTATTAAGTTATTTTGAAAGCTAAAAAAATTAACAGTCTAGATCATAAAATGATACCTGTTAAAAGTGTGGTTACTTTGTATAAACATACACATATGAAACTGTGAAATATGCATTCACAGAAAGTTGTGAAAATAGTACAGTGGTAATAAATACAGTTTTTTTTCTTAAGAGACAGGGACTTGCTTTGGTGCCCAGGCTAGAGTGCCAGGCTGAAGTGTAGTGGTGCCATCATAGTTCACTGCATCCTCGAACTCCTGGGCGCAAGAGATCCTCCTGGCCAGGCGTGGTGGCTTGCGCCTTTAATCCCAGGGCTTTGGGAGGCCAAGGTGGGCAGATCACCTGAGGTCAGGAGTTGAAGACCAGCTTGGCCAACATGGCGAAACTCCATCACTACTACAAATACAAAAATTAGCTGGTCATGGTGGCCTGCGCCTGTAATCCCAGCTACTCAGGAGACGGAGGCAGGAGAACCACTTGAACCCGGGAGGTGGAAGTTGCAGTGAGCTGAGATTGCACCACTGCACTCTAGCCTGGGTGATAGAGTGAGGAAAAAAAAAAAAAGATCCTCATGCCTCAGCCTTTCAAGTAGCTTCTCAGCTACAGGTGCGCACCACTGTGGTTAGCTAATTAAAAAAAAATTTTTTTTTTCTTTTTTCAGAGGTAGAGTCTTGCTCTGGTACCCAGGCTTGTCTTGAACTCCTGGCCTCATGCATTCCTCCCACCTTGGCCTCCCAAAGTGCTGAGATTACAGGCATGAGCCACTGTGCCCAGCTGTTCTTGATACTCTTATTTTAATTCTTTATTTTGGAAGTAAGTTATATCTTAACTACCATTAATTAAGATAATTGTCCATCGTGTAGCATTAGAAATTGAAGACTTTAATATTTTTATTTTTGGAGACAGAATCTTGCTCTGTTGCCCAGGTGGAGTGTAGTGGCGTGATCTCAGCTCACTGCAACCTCCACCTCCCGGGTTCAAGTGATTCTCGTGCCTAAGCCTCCCAAGTAGCTGGGACTATAGGTGCGTGCCACCACACTGGCTAATTTTTTGTATTTTTAGTAGAGATGGGGTTTTACCATGTTGACCAGGCTGGTCTCAAACTCCTGGCCTCAGGTAATACACCTGCCTCGGTCTCCCAAAGTGTTGGGATTACAGACGTGAGCCACTGCGCCTGGACTAGAAGGGACATTTTAGGTTAAACGTTTAACTTTACAATTAGGGAAAATACTATTAAATATTCAGATTTATTTTATTATTATTTTTTAGTTGTTTATTTATTTATTTATTTATTTATTTATTTTTAATTGATCATTCTTGGGTGTTTCTCGCAGAGGGGGATTTGGCAGGGTCATAGGACAATAGTGGAGGGAAGGTCAGCAGATAAACAAGTGAACAAAGGTCTCTGGTTTTCCTAGGCAGAGGACCCTGCGGCCTTCCGCTGTTTTTGTGTCCCTGGGTACTTGAGATTAGGGACTGGTGATGACTCTTAACGAGCATACTGCGTTCAAGCATCTGTTTAACAAGCACATCTTGCACCGCCCTTAATCCATTCAACCCTGAGTGGACACAGCACATGTTTCAGAGAGCACAGGGTTGGGGGTAAGGTCACAGATCAACAGGATCCCAAGGCAGAAGAATTTTTCTTAGTACAGAACCAAATGAAAAGTCTCCCATGTCTACTTCTTTCTACACAGACACGGCAACCATCCGATTTCTCAATCTTTTCCTCACCTTTCCCCCTTTCTATTCCACAAAACCGCCACGTCATCATGGCCCATTCTCAATGAGCCGCTGGGCACACCTCCCAGACGGGGTGGTGGCCGGGCAGAGGGGCTCTTCACTTCCCAGCAGGGGCGGCCGGGCAGAGGCGCCCCTCACTTCCCAGCAGGGGCGGCCGGGCAGAGGTGCCCCTCACCTCCCGGACGGGGCGGCTGGCCGGGAGGGGGGCTGACCCCCCCACCTCCCTCCCAGACGGGGTGGCTGGCCGGGCAGAGGGGCTCCCCACTTCCCAGTAGGGGCAGCCAGACAGAGGCGCCCCTCACCTCCCGGACGGGGCAGCTGGCCAGGCGGGGGGCTGACCCCCCCACCTCCCTCCCGGACGGGGCGGCTGGCCGGGCGGGGGGCTGACCCCCCCACCTCCCTCCCGGACGGGGCGGCTGGCCTGGCGAGGGCTGACCCCCACCTCCCTCCCGGACGGGGTGGCTGCCGGGCGGAGACGCTCCTCACTTCCCAGACGGGGTGGCTGCCGGTAGGAGGGGCTCCTCACTTCTCAGACGGGGCGGCTGCCGGGCGGAGGGGCTCCTCACTTCTCAGATGGGGCAGCCGGGCAGAGACGCTCCTCACCTCCCAGACAGGGTCGCGGCCGGGCAGAGGCGCTCCTCACATCCCAGACGGGGCGGCGGGGCAGAGGCGCCCCCCACATCTCAGATGATGGGCGGCCGGGCAGAGACGCTCCTCACTTCCTAGATGGGATGGTGGCCGGGAAGAGGCGCTCCTCACTTCCTAGATGGGATGGCCGCCGGGCAGAGACGCTCCTCACTTTCCAGACTGGGCAGCCAGGCAGAGGGGCTCCTCACATCCCAGACGATGGGCGGCCAGGCAGAGGCTGCAATCTCGGCACTTTGGGAGGCCAAGGCAGGCGGCTGGGAGGTGGAGGCTGTAGCGAGCCGAGATCACGCCACCGCACTCCAGCCTGGGCACCATTGAGCACTGAGTGAACAAGACTCCGTCTGCAATCCCGGCACGTCGGGAGGCCGAGGCCGGCGGATCACTCGCGGTTAGGAGCTGGAGACCAGCCCCGCCAACACAGCGAAACCCCGTCTCCACCAAAAAAATACGAAAACCAGTCAGGTGTGGTGTCGCGCGCCTGCAATCGCAGGCACTCGGCAGGCTGAGGCAGGAGAACCAGGCAGGGAGGCTGCAGTGAGCCGAGATGGCAGCAGTACAGTCCAGCTTCGGCTCGGCATCAGAGGGAGACCGTGGAAAGAGAGGGAGAGGGAGACCATGGGGAGAGGGAGAGGGAGAGGGTAATATTCAGATTTAATTCAATACTATGGAATTTAAGTTATAAGCCCTGAAGTATGAATGGAGCTCAAAACTATTAATAGCATTTTTGGGGCCATGGCCGTGTATCTCTTAGTTTGGAGTTTTTTGGTTTTATTGGAATTTTCATTGGAATACCTCAGCCTTTAACTTTATTATTGGAAGGATTTCTAGGATCCTTTAAAAAAAAAAGTGTTAAATAACTTCTAATTCAGTAATTTAGTATGTATTTCTTTTCTATGCAGTATTTGTTTACCAGCAACTTCAGTTGGTCAAGATGCCATGGGTTTATCTATTTCTGGAAGAGATAATTCTAAAAAGCCGCCTGATAATTTGGATCTTGTATCTAGGAAGAGATTTCAATGCAGGCTTGATAAAAATGACCACATTCCTCCTGCCAAAAAACGTTCACTCACTTTAAGAGATGACTGTCAAGAATATACCACTGAGGTAAGTGGTATATTAAGTACCACTCAATATGGCCATTAAGTAAGATGGCCATATTGCAACAGATCTGTTCCTATTTTTTCCTTTATTCTCTTTAAACTTTTAGATATATATAAAGATAGTTCTGACATTTATCATCATAAGTTATTCAAGTAAAACTGGTTTTGGATTATCACTTTTAACCAATGGTAAATGAAAATTGATGGAGAGTAATCAAGAAACTTATTCCCAGCTCTGTATTGGTGGCTAAAAATAAGACCAAAAGCATTATATATGTCTGGATCTTGGCTCTACCACCTAGTAGCTGTAACACCTTAGGCAAGATACTTCACCTCTCTCTCTGATCAGGTTTCCTAATATGTAAAATGATAATACTAGTATCATCATCATCATCATCATGCCTAAAGCTACCCATTGCTTTTAGGAGTAAAACCACAGCCTTTAGTGCCCCACATTGTCTTGCTGATTTTTGTCTCTAGTCTCATTTTGTGCCAGCTTCTGCCTCACTTTCTGGCCACACTGGCCATCTTTCAATTCCTTAAATGTCCCAGGACACTTCATTTGATGTACCTTCTGTGTGAAACATTCCCTTGAAAAACATACAGACTTCTTTAGTTCAGTCATCAGTGCCTCAGGGAAGTCCGGCCAGACCATGCGAATTCAGTCACCAACCACTATGTTGTAGGTTTCCTAGTACCCTCTTGTTTTTATACTCATCTAGTACTCATCATAATTTGTAACTACACTATGGAAAAGTCCTTTTAAAACCCGTGTTCTCAAAGAGAAAGTTAAAGACCAATAGTTCTTGAGTAATAGTTGACAAAGAGCAAGTGTGCTTTTATATATTTGGTGAGTAAAAAAATGGCATATCCCAGAACTGTTTTATTTTCTCTTGTTATGGGTAAGATTGAACATCTTTTCATATGCTTAAGAGCCATGTGTATTTCCTTTTCTATGAACTGACTTTTCCTTTACCCACTTTTCAATTAGATTATTGATCTTTTTCTTAGAGAACTGGAAGAACTCTTATATATGTCTGTGGTAATGAGTTGCAAATCTTTTTTCCCAGTTTGTCATTGTCTCTTGACTCTGCTTTCTTTGTTGTTGTTTTCTCATGCAGAACTTTTGGATTAACTTTTTATATGAACATTTCCAGACATATTAAAAGATAGACTAGGTATAATGTGCCCCCATGTACCAGTCACCCAGTTTCAATAATTTATCAGCATTCCATGCAGACATTATTTTGTTTTGTTTTAAAAATATCTTTAATGACATGGACAAAAGACCATAGTACTTTACTAAGTACAAAACTAGGTCACCAGACTATGATACGCCATTTAAAAAATGGTAGTTATACAGTGGTGTGAATATGTAAGAAAAGTATAATGTCCATTTGGCTTATTTGTGATTTTTATTTTCTAAACTTTGTTTTTAGCATTTTAACAATTTTTTAAAAATTGCTTTTACTAGTTGAGTATCCTTTATTCGAAATGCTTAGGACCGGAAGTGTTTCAAATTTCAGATTTTTTTGAATTTTAGAATAATTGCATTATACTTACATTTGTATTATACTTAACAGTTCCACATCCCAAACCTGAAAAGCCAAAATCTGAAATGCTTCAATGAGCATTTCCTTTGAGTGTCATGTCAGCACTCAAAAAGTTTAGAATTTTGGAGCATTTCGGATTTTCAGCTTTGGGATGCTCAGCCTGTACAAAATTGTAGGATACACATACACTGTATTCAGATAGAAGACATTTTTTATTTTCCATAATCAGATTTATCAGTCTTTTTGTGTATGGCTTCTGGAGATTATGTTATACATTGAAAGTCCTTTGAGACTTAAATTTCCTAGTTAATGTTAATATTACTGATTTGTTGCGAATTTGATTTGGTGTAAGGAATAGGGCCAAGTTAATTTTCCTCATATGACTTTTACCGTTTACTGAATAATTCATCTTATTTCCACTGATAGGAAATTCTGCTTTTATCAGTAAGACAGTAAATCTTCATATTTGTTTGGATATATTCCTAAAACTTCCTTTTCTTTTATGTTGATTCACCTATTTGTTCTGGGGCCAGTATCATCATACTGTTTGAATTTTTGTAGTTTTCTTTATTCTTTTTTTTTTTTTTGAGATGGAGTTTCTCTCCTATTGCCCAGGCTGGAGTGCAATAGCGTGATCTCAGCTCACTGCAACCTCCACCTCCCAGATTCAAGTGATTCTCCTGCCTCAGCCTCCCGAGTAGCTGGGATTACAGGCAGCCGCCACCACGCCCAGCTAATTTTGTAATTTTAGTAGAGACGGGGTTTCTCCATGTTGGTTAGGCTGGTCTCGAACTCCGGACCTCAGATGATCCGCCTGCCTCGGCCTTGCAAAGTGATGGGATATTACAGGTGTGGGCCACCACGCCCGGCCGAATTTTTGTAGCTTTATGATGCACTTTGGTATCTTATAGGGACAGTATCTCTCCCAAACCCATACAATTTTCTTCTTTTTTCAAGTTTCTCCTCATTACTTATATGTTCTCAAATTAATATGAATTTTAGAATTAACTTGTTTAGCTCTTTAAAAAAGAGTTCTATTGGTATTTGTATTTGAATCATATTAACTTAGATTAACTTAGGGGAAATTGACAGCATAATTATAATATTGAATCTTCCTATTCAAAAACATGGTATGTCTTTCCATTTGTTTAAGTCTTGTTTTGTGTCTTTCTATTTTGTGTTAAACTCTTCTTCATATAAATCTTACACATTTCTTATAGGTTACCCCTATGAGTTTTATCTTTTTTGTTGCTGTTATCATTAAGTTCTTTTCTATTTAGAGAGCTTACTGAGTTCCCTCATTGTATGCAGTAATTTTTCAGTTGGTTCTCTTGGGTTTTGTAGGTAAACAGACATACCATCTGCAAATATAATTTTAATTCTTCTACTTTTTGTAGTTCTAATTTTTTTGTAATTATAGTGGCTAATATAACTAAAAAATAATATTAAAAAGTGATCCAAATAGTGCACATCTTTTTTTTTAATTTCCGATTTTAATAGGAGAACTTCCAGTGTTTATTATGTGGGATGCTAGCTTCTAGATTGCAATAGTTATATTTTATAGTGTTAAGAAAATATCTGTTCCATTTTATAAGTTTTTTTCAAGAATGAATATCATTGGGTACCTTTTCTATAAATACAGATGATTTTTCTCCTCAGGTCTGTTGGTTTATATTAGATTTCATAGTGTCAGATCATCTTTGCATTCCTGAAACGAGCTCTACTTGATTGTGATGTAGTAGTCTTTTGATGTGCTGCTTGTACTATTTCTTTGATACTTTTGCACTGATATTGAGACTGATTATAAAAGGCAGTTAGCAGCTTTCTCTCTTCCAGTGGGCTCTGGAACATTTTAAAATAGTAGCAATATTTTTGCCATAAATGTTTAGTAGAATTCCTCTAAGAGCTTTTTGGGAGATAACATAGTTTCTTTACTTAAAGAAAAAAAGGAAATAAAATTAATTTCAGTTTTACTTGATAAATTTCTAAATTTTTTTTTAAATTTTCTTAAAATAGGTGCACTCAAAGGAATTAACAAATGTTTTTGAGGAAACAGGTAAGTGAAATACATTTTAACATGATTGCATTTTGCTAAATACTCCTGATTATTTGGGATATACCTTGTTCAAATATGAGATTGAAACTGAGTATTCCTTTTCTCCAAGAGTAATACTTGTATTATCAGCACTTCTTTCCTGCAAAGGCCTTGGATTTGGCAGTTTGGTAGGCAAAAGAAGGTCTTTTCATCCTGTCATCAGTTGAAGACTATGTGGCTACAAGGATTTTCTATGTAAGCTCAATAACTACACTTTAGGAGTTAGCTGAATGTAATGGCTTTTTTTCTCCCCCGCCCCGCCAAGACAGGTTCTCACTCTGTTACCTAGGCTGGAGTGCAGTGGCACAATCACAGCTCACTGCAGCCTCCACCTCCCAGGCTCAAGCAATCCTCCCACCTCAGCCTCCTAACTAGCTGGGACTACAGGCATGCGCCACTATGCCAAGCTAATTTTTTTTTTTTTTTTTTTTTTTTTTTGAGACGGTGTCTCGCTCTGTCACCCAGGCTGGAGTGCAGTGGTGCGATCTCGGCTCACTGCAAGTTCTGCCTCCTGGGCTCACACCATTCTCCTGCCTCAGCCTCCCTAGTAGCTGGGACTACAGGCACCTGCCACCACGCCCAGCTAATTTTTTGTATTTTTAGTAGAGACAGGATTTCACCGTATTAGCCAGGATGGTCTTGATCTCCTGACCTCGTGATCTGCCGGCCTCGAAATTTTTGTGTTTTTTGTAGAGACAGAGTTTGTATTTTTTGTAGAGACCATGTTGTCCAGCCTGGTCTTGAATGTATTTTTGTAGAGATGGGGTTTCGCCATGTTGCCCATGCTGGTCTTGAACTCCTGGCTTCAAGCAGTCTGCCCACCCCAGCCTCCAAAAGTACTGGGATTATAAGCATGAGCCACCACCTGTGGCCTATAATGGCATTCATAATAGGTTCTTTACCCTGAAAATTAGTTTAGTTCTAGAGATTTTTTCAGGCTTAAGCCACCTATGGAAGCTGAAAAGATCTTAGAGTCTTCTATTTTTATAGGAATCTAAAATTTCTGTGGGACATTAAACCACTTAGGATCTATTTCCCTCATGACTAAAGCTGCCAGTCACATTTATCCTGTGTTTATACAACTCTGTTTTTCATTTCTTTTATGACATTATTTCTCTTTTCTCTCAAAGTTAGGCTTATCATTCACACCTATAGCCATTGCTTTACCATGGCAATGGCACTCAAGAATAAAAATGTTGCTGATGGCATCTTACAGAGTTAGAGTTACAAGATAGAGAAGGGTTTGATAACCTATGATGGTTCTGGTTCTTTAAAAACACTTATAATGGGCCAGGCGCAGTGGCTCATGGCCTGTAATCTCAGCACTTTGGGAGGCCGAGGTGAGTGGATCACCTGAGGTCAGCCTGGCCAACATGGCGAAACCCCATCTCTACTAAAAATACAAAAAATTAGCCAGGCGTGGTGGTGGGCGCCTGTAATCCTAGCTATTTGGGAGGCTGAGGCAGGAGATTGCTTGAACCTGGGAGACGGAGGTTGCAGCCAGCTGAGATCACGCCATTGCACGCCAGCCTGGGTGACAGAGCAAATCTCTGTCTCAAAAAACAAACAAAAAATACTTGACTGGGCGTGGTGGCTCACGCCTGTAATCCCAGCACTTTGGGAGGCCAAGGCAGGTGGATCACCTGAGGTCAGGAGTTCGAGACCAGCCTGGCCAACATGGCGAAGCCTCATCTCTACTAAAAATACAAAAATAAGCTGGGCGTGGTGGCGGGCACCTGTAATCCCAGTTACTCGGCAGGCTGAGGCAGGAGAATCACTTGAACCTGGGAGGCAGAGGTTGCGGTGAGCCGAGATTGCGCCATTGCACTCCAGCCTGGGCAACAAGAGCGAAACTCTGTCTCAAAAACAAAAAAAAAAAACAACAAAAAAACCCCACACATATAATGGGCTGAGCACAGTGGCTCACACCTATAATCCCAGCACTTTGGGTTGCCAAAGTTGGTGGGTCACTTGAGGTCAGGAGTTCGGGAGCAGCCTGGACAACATGGTGAAACACTGTCTCTGCTAAAAATACAAAAATTAGTTAGGTGTGGTGGTGCATGCCTGTAATCCCAGCTACTCGGGAGGCTGAGGTGAGTGAATTGCTTGAACCCGGGAGGCAGAGGTTGCAGTGAGCCGAGATCGCGCCTCTGCACTCCAGCCTGGACGACAGAGCGAGACTCTGTCTCAAAAAAACAAAAACAAAAAAACTCTTATAATGTTAATACAGTCTTAGACTTAATTGTCCCAACTTTGACTGTGAAACTGTAATATGGTTACAGTTTACAGCCTCTAGAGATGTTCTAAGATTGCTCCCATCCATCTGCTCTCCAATAAAAGCATTAAGCAAACCACAATACAGTGAAGTGTTAGTGAATTTGTTCTATGCTATCTTTAATTAGGTTGTTTCTTTTAGCAGGTTTACTTATCAACTTCATTCTCCCTTCACAGAGCTAAAACACTCTCTCTGAGAACAAGGCCTTAGCTATACTAAGGGAAAACAGGTTTTTTATTGAGCAAGAAAGCTTTAGTTATTTTGTCCTAATCTTTGGCTACTTTGGCTTTTGTCTACTATTTAGTTAAGGAAAGAGAATTCTTTAGCTAAACTTGAGTATTTGAGAGTCTGTAGGTTTTACTTTTCAGGAGACCACAGGTACTTGAGTTACCACCTATATTTTGGATTGGTTTGGTTTCTAAATTTTAACAAACCTTAGCTTTTTTAGAAAGTAATCACTCTCCCATTTTGATTGCTCAGGAAATATTTCTGGGAAAATATTTTCTAGGCCAAAATATATTGATATAACTATTTTGTTTCTGAATGCAGAAGCTGTTAGCATACCTTATTAACCAATTATAATATTCTTAATAATCCAAGTAACTCCACTAATGATAATTTAGCTTACTCTTATTAGGGTAGGTTTATTATAGAATACCATGGGTTTCTTTTCAAATGCTGGGATTACATGGAGTGTATTAACTTCAGTATCCTTGCTTTCCATTTGCTCTTTTTTTTGAAGGGGAGTCTCACAAGGGACAAGATATTTTTCTTACCTCAGGAAGCACACTGACAACTCCAGAACCTCAAAGACAGCAAGTTGAAGCAGCTTTTCAGAGTAGAGGATCTAGATCTCCTGATGCATGCATGGACAAGAATGTGCCTCAGTTACCTCAGGATGAAATGATTGTGTCTGATAAGGAAGAAAGAACTGATGCTGCTCCTAAGTCTCAGCAAATGGATAGCAGAACATCGTCTTCTAAAGCCTCACTATCCAGGTATCATGAACAAATCTTTAATAAGTGTTTTGCTCTCTGTCTTAATAAATATAACCTATACAGAACAGATTAGATCCAGTACTAAGGATGGTGTTTAATAAACATATTCCTCCATCAGTAATGTAAAGGAAAAAGTTTCAGCCAAGGAAATACAGTAATATTGCAGATACACATTCTGTACAATAAGAGCTTAAGTGCTAAAACTTTTTTAGATAGAAAATCTTTAGAATATTTTGTACACTTATTTTTTTAGATTATCCATGGTTATTTTGATCATTACATAATCTACCATGTTCAGTAGCTACTAATGCACATATGTATGGATGCTGACATCAGAAGTTGTTTTACTGAAGTCCCAAATAATGTGTCATTTTTCTCCCTTGTGACAAACCAAAGAGGTAAACCATGGCTTTCTCCCCATAAGAATAAGTGTTGGAATTTAAGCAAGAGCCAACTTCTCTCACAATTTCCTCATATTCTAGAAGCAATGATTATCAATAATTATTGGCTTGTCAGCAGCATCCAGAAGATTAATGTGGTGTTGCTGAACTGAAAGAGGTGGGGGAACATGCACTAGTCTCCACTAAGGGGAAGGGGTTGGGGAAAGGACACATGTAGCTTAAAAGACATATTTAATAGATCTATTGTTTTTGTTATCTAAATTATAGAAGGTAAAGCTCAGTGGTATCTCTTCTGGCCTTAGATATGTGCTGAAAATAGAATGAGGCCCAGGTACAGTGGCACATGCCTATAATCCCAGCTACTCAGGAGGCTGAGGCCGGAGTTTGAGATTGCAGTGAGCTATGATTGTGCCTGTGAATAGCCACTGCACTCCAGCCTGGGCAACATAGCCAGACCCGTCTCTGAAAAAAGAAAAAAAAAGGCTGGGTGCGGTGGCTCATGCCTGTAATCCCAGCACTTTGGGAGGCTGAGGTGGGTGGATCACCTGAGGTTGGGAGTTCCAGACCAGCCTAACCAACATGGAGAAGCCCCATCTCTACTAAAAATATAAAATTAGCTGGGCATGTTGGCACATGCCTGTAATCCCAGTGACTCAGGAGGCTGAGGCAGGAGAATCGCTTGAACCCAGGAGGCGGAGGGTGCGGTGAGCCGAGATTGTGCCATTGCACTCCAGCCTGGGCAACAAGAGCGAAACTGTCTCAAAAAATAAATTAAAATAAAATAATAACATCATGAGAGTTTGGATTAAAACAGGTTGAGAAGCAGTGTTCTAGAACGGAAGTCAGCATTTTTTGTAAAATGGCATTTGTATATATTTTAGGCTTTGTAAGCCATGTGGTCTCTGTTAACAGCTATTCAGCTCTGCAGTTACAGCACAAAAGCAACCATAGACCATATGTAAACAGATGAACATAGCTGTGTTCCAGTAAAACATACTCACAGAATTGGGTGCGGGGCTGCATGTGGCCTGTAGAGCATACTGTGCTGACCACTGTTCCACAGCTTTGCTACTCAGAGTGTAGTCCTGACAACAGCAGTATGGACATCATTTGAGAACTTGATAAAATGCAGAACTCAGGCCATGCCCGCTACCAACTGTGCGAATCTTCATTTTAATAAGATCCCCAAGTGATTTGAATGCTAGAGATGTTCTAGAGACCGGGGTCCTGCTAATTTTGCCCAGGCTGTTTTTGAGCTCCTGGCCTTAAGTGGTCTTCCCACCTTAGCCTCCCAAAGCAGAAGCAGGTATTAAGGTTGTGTCTTGGCTGGGTGCGGTGGCTCACGCCTGTAATTCCAGCACTTTGGGAGGCTGAGGCAGGCAGATGACGACGTCAGGAGTTCGAGACCAGCCTGACCAACATGGTGAAACCCCGTCTCTACTACAGCTACTTGGGAGGCTGAAGCAGGAGAATCTCTTGAACCTGGGAGGTGGAGGTTGCAGTGAGCCGAGATTGCGCCACTGCACTCCAGCCTGGGTGAGAGTGAGACTGCGTCTCAAAAAAAAAAAAAAAAAAAAAAAAAAAAGAATGTGTCTTCCTGGGTATTCTTGAATATCGTTACATTTGTATTTCTAGACCTGGCAGAAGACCCCTGGGATTTTTATCTTTAATATGCTCAAAGAATAGTTTGGAGTCTGATGAACCTATGCAAGTCCATAGTAAGAAACGCCTAAAACCTCTTATACCTGGATTAAGAAAGAAATTGAAAAGATCTAATCCATTCAATGAAAGCCAGGAAAAAAATCGAGAGTCCTCTGATCTGCTTCCATCTCCAAGTGTTATTACTACTCAATCTGAGAATATTAGCAGCTCAGCAACTCAGGTATGTGATAACTACTGTATTTTATAGTTTGTATGAGATGGGTTGGATATGAGATTCAACTAGGGAAAACATAGTAATTTGTTATTTTTATTTGATGTCAGAAATTATTTTAGAGCAACTCCCATCCTTCTCTCCATCGTGTTCCTCCATAATGGAAGAAGAAAAGGTGTTGAGTCAGGAAGTTACAGTTAGATTAGTACAGAGCCATTGAACTAACCATAAATGGACACTTAATAGCCATTCCTTTAATCTAGAGACCCTTCTGACTTGTGGAAGCAAAAGGAAGCAGTGCTGACACCCACAAGAATTTAAGGAACTGTAAAACTAGAATTTGTTCACATGTTTCATTTCTATGTCTCCTGAAGCTGTCCAATGGCAAGTATTGGGATGGAAAACTCTGTAAACCTGTATCAAAGACTTTGTAAAAATATTGGGGTGACTTAAGATCTTGACAAAGAGAAGGCTGGTGAGCATCTGTTGAACAGCATGAGCCTTTGGAAGGGGTACTTTTGTAAAGAACATCTTTAAACTTTTTAAAAACATTTTGTATTATTTGTTAGAATTATTTTCTGAGATCAAGATATCAGTCTAGCTTATCATTGCCAAAGTCGTGGGTTTTGTTTTTTTTGTGTGTTTGTTTTGAGACAGAGTCTCACTCACTCTGTCACCCAGGCTGTAGTGCAGTGGCGTGATCTTGGTTCACTGCAACCTCCATCCCCTGGGTTCAAGTGATTCTCCTGTCTCAGCTTCTCGATTAGCTGAGCTTACAGATGCATGCCACAACACCCAGCTAATTTTTGTATCTTTAGTAGAGGCGGGATTTCGCCATGTGGGCCATGCTGTTCTCAAATGCCTGGCCTCAAGCCTTGGCCTCCCAAAGTGTTGGAATTACAGGCATGAGCCACTGTGCCTGGCCTGTAGTGTTCTTATTATATTCAGGGAAAAAGGCCCTTTGTGATAAAGATTGCAATTTTTTTTTTCTCTGTATGTCATTTGTCTTTTGATTTTATTTATGGTGGTTTTTGTCAAGCAGACATTTTTTATTTCTGTTTAATTTGTCAATCTTTTATAGCTTTCTGCTTTCAGATAGTT
The DNA here is from genome assembly GCF_000001405.40 of Homo sapiens. Taxonomy (NCBI): domain Eukaryota; kingdom Metazoa; phylum Chordata; class Mammalia; order Primates; family Hominidae; genus Homo; species Homo sapiens. The sequence goes on from NT_187651.1 coordinate 1,093,588, forward strand.
TAAAAAGGTACTCTTCCCAGCTGGGTGCGGTGGCTCACGCCTGTAATCCCAGCACTTTGGGAGGCCAAGGCGGGCAGATCACCTGAGGTGAGGAGTTTGAGACCAGCCTGGCCAACATGGCAAAACCCCATCTCTACCAAAATACAAAATTTAATCAGGCACGGTGGTGTGTGCCTGTAGTCCCAGCTACTTGGGAGGCTGAGATAAGAGAATTGCTTGAACCCGGGAGGTGGAGGTTGCAGTGGGCTGAGATCATGCCATTGCATTCCAGCCTGGCTTTGTCTTAAAATAAATAAATAAATAAAAAGGTACCCTTCCCCACCTACCTCCGTCCAGAATTATAAAAGTGTTTTTCCATGGCATTTTTATAGTAGAGTTTTTTAAAAAATACTTTTACATTTAAATCTTTTGATCCATCTAGAATTTGTTTTGGTAAGGTATTGGTCTGACTTTTTTCCCCCTGAGATGGTTATATAGTTGTCCAACATCATTTATTTAATAATACAATAACTGTTTTTGATATGGCACTTTTATCAGATGCTAAATTTCTATATATATTGGGGTTATTTCTAGTCTTCTGTTTCATTGATATATCTGTCATTCGTGTGCCAATACCATGCTGTCTTAATTTGTTTATAGATTTGTAAGTATGCTAATTTCTGATAAGGTATCTTTGATATGTTTTCTTTAGGTGCTGTTTTGTCATGGGTCTGTCTATTATGCAAATAATTAAAGTATTTTTACTTTATTTAGTGACAGATTTAACCATATTATATTTTTCTTTATTAAAATTTTTCATGGAAATTAGGATGAAGTAATGGATTATGGGTACACTGTAATTTACCTAATTATATCTAGTGTGGTATATTTAGTTGCTTCCTATTTTATTATTATAACTAATGCTACAAAGGTTATCTTAGTCATAAAACTCCTACTATGTTTAGGATTATTTACTTAATGTAACAGCATAGAAGTGAAATTTTTGGGTCAGTGATTGTGAACATATTTAAAGCTCAATATTTATTGCCACGTTGCTTTTCAAACAGATCATATTGGTTTAGACTGCTATATATACACACACATATATATATAAATGTTGTATTACAGTTTTATTTTTACTTTATTTTTATTACCTTTTTAGGTTTCTTGTGATCAGCCCTTACTGAAAGAAGGATATAAAAGTGCCCAAAAGCGGGCCCCTCAAGGGGAGGCAACCACAGTCTCTGAATATTTCTTCAATGATATCTTCATTGAAGTGGATGAAACAGAATAAAACAATCTTTTCTCTTTTTCTTTTTTAAATTAGGTCTAGGATTTCCAGAGTCAATTACATCAACAAAACAGTATTTAGAGCAAAATATCACTGTCTTATTTTTCTTTAGGTTGATTTTGAATACTTAATGAGCTTGATTTGAAGCTTTTATAATCAGTGGAAAACATTTCTGAGGTTCCTTTCATTCTGACTGATTCAGCATTTTGCAAATAGCAAGCAATTAAGACTGCTTTCTCAGACAGAAATAACAACTCTTGTTTACATTTTGACTCTTCCTGTGCTAAGCACACATGGACATTTGGGAATGTTGTGGATATATGTCTCTGTATGAATTGCAGTGCAGACAGATTTGGGGGTTAATTGTATCATATTTAACATTTAGCAACTTCTTTTGTGAAGATTTTTTATTTTTAGGGGGAGATGATGAAGGATGAAGGCTTTTTCATTTGCTTCTAAGTACAGTCATGTATCACATAATGAAGTTTAAGTCAATGATGGACCACATATATTACAGTGGTCCCATGCAATTAAAATGGAGATAAATTCCTATCAACTAGTGACATTATAGCCATCATAACACAGTGCATTGCTTTTTTATGTTTAGATATGTTTAGATACACAAATACTTACTATTGTGTTACAACTGCCTACAGTATTCAGCATAGTAACACATTGTAGAGGTTTGTAGCCGAGGAGCAATAGGCTATACCACATAGCCTCAGTCTGTACGGTGTGTAGCAGCCTGTACCATCTCAGTGTTTGTAAGTACACTCTGCGTTGTTTCACACAAGATCACCTAACAAGGCAATTCTTAGAACATGTAGTTAAGGGACACGTGACTATATGTGAAAACAAATTGTCAAACTTCACTTTAGTATGGCAAATGTTAAAGAACTTTTCTATTATCAGCTGTTTGTCTGACTGAAAAATACATATTTTTCTAATTCATGGTGATGTAACATTAGTCCTAATTGAAAAACTAGTATTTAAACATAATTATTTATAAAGATGACACATCAAAGGGCTTATTTATTTTTAAATTTTTTATTTAAAAGGATATTCAGTTTTAGCTATTTTTACCCCTCAGATTGTAGATAAAGAAGGCATTAAATTTATGTTTGTCTCCTTTTTCTGTTTAATTTTAAAGATATTTAAAATGATATAACTAAAAATGTTTAGCTGGTGTATATGTTTTGAATACCTTTTTCCCCTCAGTTTAGTATATTGACTTTGTACTGTAAATTTTTCTGCTTTTCTTGGATAATCTCAGGATTTTCATGAGGATAGGGGGAACTCAACTTTATTTATGAGACAAAATTTCCATACAAAGCTCAATCTCCTTTATACACCCACAGACATAATATTAGTTTTTAAAAAGCCAATTTCTTCATAGTTTTTTCCCATTAAATTCTCAAGGAACACTTGGATCTTTAAGCACGGAACATAATCATGATGTTAAAAACAGAGAAAATAAGGCTTTATAAAGTTAATGATTATCATCAGTATGAATTTAAGGTTTGTTTTAATTTCAAGATTTGATTTTTTATACGTGTAATTCTATTATCTACCCAAGCAGATCTGTAGTGGTTCCAATTAGACTTCTCAAACAGCAAATTTATCCTGATTTTATTTGAAAAGCCTCTTGGATTGATAGTATAGTAGCTCAGGCATTGGAAACTTTCTGCAAACTGTTTTGGGTTTGCAGGCCAGATGGTCTCTGTGGCAGCTACTCAGCTCTGCAATTTCAGTGTGAAAGAAGCCATAGACAGTACTTGAATGAAGGACTGTGGCTGGATTGGCCTTTTAGTTTGACCCCCTACATTAGGCCCCAAATTTTCTTACCCTGAGGTGCTGATATCTGTATGGATGAGTTATTTGTCACTAAAGTTATGAGTTGTGCCTAAAAGTTAAAACTGTTGACTGTATTATGTAATGATCAGTATTTCAGTTGGGAAGATATTTTAGAGTCTAGATAATTATGTTTGTATATTGAAAAAATGGTGGCCAGTTTTTAAGTTCCTTAATAGAAGAGAATTATGTCTCAGCACATATAACAGTAATGCTAATTTATTGAAACTACTGCTGTTAGAGCACTTCTTATTCATTGTCTTTTAGTGAAATTTATGGCGTAACACTTTGTCAGAGAGGAGGCTATATAATTCGGAGCGGAAATTGTCTATAAGTAGGCATTTATTTCATGATTGATATGTCACAGAAATCATGGTAGTAAATCACATTGCTATTTGAATACCCTGTTTTTGTAAGTTTTTAAAACTCATATTCTGAAAAGATTTCATTCTCTTAGTGTTAGCTTGGGAGTTAGATTGCCATGATTAAACTATTATTTATCCTTGTGTAATATTAGTTTTTAACTTTAACATCTGTTTCTTTTTAATCTATAATGAGCTAGTTTTATGGAAAATGGAATTTCTTACTATATAAAGAATACAGAGACTCATTGTATTAGAGAATCAAGTCAGCCAGCTAAAGTATCCTACTGTTAAATCCTTAAACCTAATTTTGGAAAAGAGAAAGTTAATCAATGTATTTACCTTACATGTTGGAAAGAACTATGTTAGGTCTGATTCATGTGAAGAAGATGTTGCAAAGGATTTATTTCACAAATTTTAAAGGAGATATGAGTAAAAGTTTTTATCTTTTCTTGACTTTTTCTCCTGAACACTTATGTCTTAGCAAGTGGTCAACATGAGGATTTGAACGCCTAATTGTTGGTAAATGGTTGAGGCATGACAAAAATATTAATATCCACTGTTTACCATCATGTTATTTGAAACAAAAGTGACCATGTATACTATCTTGCTTGAAGAAGTCTTTGACAGAAAAAGCAATATCATGTCATTTATAAATTTTCTTGTTCTAAAGAAAGCAGTTATATATATATATAAATTATGTAAATAAAAGTTATTTTATATCATTTCTGTTGTGTCCTTTTAAGATGACTAAATAAAGAATTGGCTGGGTATCGTGGCTTACACCTGTAATCCCAGCACTTTCGGAGGCCGAGGTGGGAGGATTGCTTGAGCCCAGGAGTTCAAGACCAGCCTGGGCAACATAATGAGACCTCATCTCTACAAAAAAATTAAAAATCAGCCAACTGTGGTGGTGTGTGCTTTTGGTCCCAGTTACTCAGGAGGCTGGGATGAGAGGTTCGCTTGAGCCCAGGAGGAGGTTGAGGCTGCAGTGAGCTGTGATTGCCCCACCACACTCCAGCCTGGATGACAGAAGAAGACCCTGTCTTTGTGGGGAGGAGACAAATTTTTGACAGGTGTGCATGTCGTTATTTCAAAGCTGTAGGAGTCTGCAATGTGATTGTCCTAATAGTATTTGGAAGAGACTCCACACAGCATCTCTGTTTGCTGCAGCATCGCATCCTGAATCTGCTGGAGAGCCCTGTCTTACATTGGGTTTCACTAAAAATCGGCAGTCTTACGGGCTACCCAGTAAGTAGGTTGGGGTAGTATTCCCAAATATATTTTATCTCAAACTCAAAGGGCGACTTCAAACATTGTTGCTTCTGTCTTCATGGTGACCAGTGCAAGGTGCAGAATCTTGTCTCCCTCTCCCCACTGCCTTTGTTTAAGAGATGGGGTTTCGCTTTGTTGCCCAGGCTGGAGTGTGGTGGCGTGATCATAGCTCACTGCAGCCTCGAACTTCTGGGTGCGAGCAATCCTCCCAGGTAGGTGAGCCGTCATGCCTGGGTAGCTTGTTTCTTCCCTTCAAAAATAGATCCCATGTCCTCAGACCACTAGACCCTTAGGAGATTCACCTATGTGGCAGGCTCCTGAACTTTAACAGTATTTACCTCCCAACCTCTTATATATGTATGTCTTCCTAAGACATCTAGCTGCTTGCTAATTCGTGCTTTCCAGCTCCAGTTAGCATAATGTTATACATGTCACATTTCATTTTTTTGTCAAAAATCAAGAAAATAAAAGTCTCTCCAGACTATATAATGAAAGAAAATGAGGGTATTCATATCACTCTGAAGTAAGACAGTAAAATCAGTTGTCCCTGCCACAATAATTCAAGTTCTTTTAATTTTTCTTACTGGAATGGAAAATGTTGCATTTTTTTCATGGCACTAGCTTTATTCCAGGTATTAGGAGTTGTGTTGATTTGGTCTAATAAAGGTACCAATCGCCAACTGCAGCTGTGATTGACATCATTTGTTAAATCTGTGATAACTTATTGTCATTCCCCAAGACCAGTGGTTCCCAAACTTTATTGCACATCAGACTCACCTGGGAAGCTTTAAAAAGTTTCTGTGTCCAAGTGGTATCCCTTATTGTTAAATCAGTGTCTGGGTGCAGTGGCTCATGCCTGTAATCCCAGCATTTTGGGAGGCTGAGGCGAGACATAGCGAGACCTTATCTCTACAAACAAAACAAAGCAAAAACTAGCAGAACATGGTGGTGTGTGCCTGTGGTCCCAGCTACTTGAGAGGCTGAGGCAGGAAGATTGCTTGAGCCCAGGAGTTCAGGGTTGCAGTGAGGTATGATCGTGCCAGCCTGGGTCACAGAGTGAGACCCTGTTGCTAAAAAACATTAAAAAATAATAGGGCCAGGCACAGTGGCTCACGCCTGTAATCCTAGCACTTTGGGAGGCCGAGATGGGAGGATCGCTTGAGCCCAGGAGTTTGAGACTAGCCTGGGCAACATGGCAAAACCCCTTGTCTACTAAAATGCAAAAATTAGCCAGGTGTGCTAGCACGCGCCTGTGGTCCCAGCTACTGGAGAGGCTGAGGTGGGAGGATCACTTGAGCCCAGAGGTGGAGGTTGCAGTACGCTGATATTGTGCCACTGTACTCCAGCGTGGGTGAAAGAGGGAGACCCTGTCTCAAAATAATTAGAAAACACACACACTCGCAGTGCCTGGGGGTGGGCGTCAGACATCTCCATTTAAAAAAAAAATCTGCAGGTGATCCTAAGGTGTAACACCAACACCAACACACAAAACAAAAAAATGTGAAACATTGTTCATTCGGACCTGTCTGACTTGAACAGCTGGCCAAGCTGGTGAATCAAATGGAAATGTAGTAGGAATCAACAGATCCCACTCACTATGTGGGTCAGAGAATGGGGGTGGTTTAAACCTTCTACTTGGCCTTTCCTTAATGCCTTATCTCATGGGTTAAGGAAACTGTGTGATGATTCTGCTATATCCTACTTCTGTGTATTCTGGGACTGAGGAAATAATTACAGGATGGGCTCCTGTGAGAAGTCAGACCAAGAATCCATCTTTCACGCAACCTCCATTAGCCTTCACTCTGAAAACTGGATCACAGAGGCTTTTAAGGTCTCTGGAAATCAGTATAATTTCAGAGTCACTATCTTAATAACCGTGAAATAGCTGAGTATTTTTGTTTCCCCAGTGCAAAGACCCTGATGAATAACCATAGTTCTCTCTGCAGAAGGCTTGGGGGAAGATTTATGGTATACCCATGAAGCCACAATTACAAAATCCTTCCTCAGAGGCTCCCATCTGCCCCCTCAGTCAAGGGACTTTGGGTCTATAACCTGATTTATTTAGTCTGGAAACTGGATATGAGGCTCTCTCCACTATGGAGACTTGAGTTTGGTTCTTGCACAACAGACCTAGAATTGTTTTGTCTATAGGTGTCATGCAACACTTTAGAAGGCTGTCAGTCTAACAGGAACCTTGGGATCAATTAGCCATCATCACAGATCCCCACATGTAAAAATACACTATGTCAATCCTTTGCTATGGCTTATTACAGTAATTGTGCCTACCTGGTCTAAAACAGTTCGGCATTGCTGCCTGGCTTCTTCCAGTATTCCCAATGAGGTCAAGGGGCCTAATTCCTTGGCAGTACCTCTCACCATCATCTCCAGTCTGCAAAGGACAACCATCATAGTGGCTGCATCAGCTCTTTAAAGAGGCTGATGCTTCTGTTACCAAGACTTTAAAGAAAAGAGTGTCCTCCAGGCCCTCTTGGGAGTTATGGTTAGGGGGTGTCTGAATAAGATGCACATAAATACAGCCAGTCCCCCTTTATCAGCAGGTTCCATATCCTGAGATTGAGCCCATCAAGGATCAGAAATATTTGAAAAATAAAACATAAAAATAACAATACAACTATAACAAATAATACAAATAAAAAATAAGTATGACAACTATTTATATAGCATTCATATTGTATTAAGTATTATGAGTAACCTAGAGATGATTTAAAGTATATAGAAGAATAGTGCTATGTTATATGCAAATACTATCCCATTTTATTTTATTACTTTTTGAGACAAAGTCTGGCCCTGTTACCTAGGCTGGAGGGCAGTGGCACGATCTCAGCTCACTGCAGCTTCCACATCCTGGGCTCAAGGGATCCTCCCGCCTTTGCCTCCCAAGTAGCTGGGACTATAGGTGCATGCCACCGTGCCTGGCTAATACTTATATTTTTTGTAAAGATGGGTTTTTGCCATATTGCCCAGCTGGTTTTGAATTCCTGAGCTCAAGTGAACCAACCACCCGCCTCGGCCTCCCAAAGTTCTGGGGTTACAGGCCTGTGCCACCGCACCTGGCCCCTGGAACCAGTTTTTCTCAGATACCCAGGGACAACTGTGAATCCATTCCAACATCCTCATTTTCCTGAGTCTTCAGATGGCTTCCTGTACATGGCTTCCTCTGTATAGTAGTGAGCATCAGAATCACCTTGGAGGGCTTATTAAACACGGATTGCTGGGCCCCAATCCTGAAGTTTATTTTAATTAATTATTTATTTATTTTTGAGATGGAGTTTTGCTCTTGTTGCCCAGGCTGGAGGCAATGGCAAGATCTCAACTCACTCCAACCTCCACCTCCTAGGTTCAAGAAATTCTCCTGCCTCAGCCTCCCGAGTAGCTGGAACTACAGGCATGCCCCACTATTTTGTATTTTTAGTAGAGGTGGGGTTTCACCATGTCGGCCAGGTTGGTCTCGAACTCCTGACCTCAGCAGGTCCACCTGCCTCACCCTCCCAAAATGCTGGGAATATGTTGGGAGCCGAAAAGGCCAAAGGGATTGTGACCAACTCAGCATTCCACTGGAGGCTACATGATCAAAGAGCAAACTGTTTATCATGAATACAGAATGTGGGCAAACTCACTTCTGTGCCTGCCCCAGAAAGTTTGCTGAGGGCCATCGCTCCCTGGCCCCGGCTCCTTGAGGTTATCTACTGGGACGTCTAGAGCCTATTGTTCGAGGAATGCAGTCTTGCAAGCCTACTCTGGACTGAGCAGCTGACCTCTTCTTCCACACCCCTTCTCACTATCTCTTTTGCCTAATAAATACAGAGGGCTGTGTAAAGCTCAGGGCCCTTGTTCACTAGAGACAAGGTGTCCCCTGACCCTTCTTCCAAACATATTCTTTTGTCTCTTGTCTTTATTCCCGCATTCATCCCCCTTTGTTCAGTCCACCAGGGATCCTGGCAGGCTGCAAGTGGTGCCTCGAACAGCAACAGAATCTGGTGCTTTACAAGTGGCGTCCAAACACAGGGGCTTCGAGGATGTGAATGAAGAATGTCTGCTAGAGCAGAGGAACTGAAATTGACAAGGCGAATGGGGACCCCGGGATGAGTCTGCTGGCAGCGGATATAAGGTCAGTGCCCTAAAAAGGTACTAGGAGCAGTGCTTTAAAGAAGTACTGGGAATGGGAAGTTTTCTGAATCAGGGTAACATGGAGCAGAATTTGTCTATTGAAGGAAAACATTATGTGCAGTTGCTTAAAGTTTCGTTGAAACAAACTGGTGCTCGGGTTCTCAGACATTCATTAAGATGCTACAGGAGGTTATTACGCATAACCCATGGTTTCCACGGCTTATTAAAACTCTTGATGTGGAAGATTGGGACAGAGCAGGAGAACGATTAAAACAGCCTCATGAAAAAAGGTCTTAAAGTTGATTCTTCTGTTTTTTCCACTTGGAGTTTAATTTGTACTGTACTTCTACCATTAGCTCCTTATTATTCTGTGGGACAGCAGGCTGAGTCTAAAAATCTGAAAGAATCTGTTGTCCCACCCACAGCTCCAGCTGAAAATAAAAAACAGGGCCAGGCATGGTGGCTCACGCCTGTAATCCCAGCACTTTGAGAGGCCAAGGCGGGTGGATCATTTGAGGTTAGGAGTTCAAAACCAGCCTGGGCAACATGGTGAAACCCTGTCTCTACTAAAAATACAAAAATTAGCCGGGCGTGGTGGCATGTGCCTGTAGTCCCAGCTACTCAGGAGGCGGAGGCAGGAGAATGCTTGAACCCGGGAGGCAGAGGTTGCAGTGAGTCAAGATCGTGCCACCGCACTCCAGCCTGGGTGACAGAACGAGACTCTGTTTCAAAAAAAAAAAAAAGAAAGAAAAGAAAAGAAAAAACAGGAGAGGGAGGATGAAAATTGGCCTATACCACCTGCTCCAGTTGCAGAACCATCTGCACCACCTCCTTAGGTAGCAGAAATAGAGACCCCAATACAAATAATTTTACGCTCTGCTGCCATAGCTGGAGAGTCCTTAGGACCTTGTGCTTTTCCTATTTCCATAAGACCTGATCCAAATAATGCACAGCAGCTCATTCATGAACACACTCGACTAGAGTTTAAGTTGTTGAAGGAATTAAAAGTGAGTGTGGTAAGTAAGGGCGTACAGAGCCCATTCACCTTAGGATTACTAGAATCTGTGTTTGGTGCTATGCGTCTTTTACCCTTTGATGTAAAACAATTGGCGTGAACTTGCTTGTCTGCTAGTGCATATCTGACGTGGAATTTAAATTGGCAAGAACTGTGTGCAGACCAGGCTAGACAGAACCGTGTTGCTGGACCCGGAGACATTACAGAGGATTTGCTATTGGGTAAAGGCCCTTATTCAGACCTGGAATGTCAAATGGCACTCCCAGATACTGCTTATCAGCAGTGTGTACAGGCCACTAAACGTTCCTGGGCCACAATTCCTGAAGAGGGAGTCCCAGTACAGTCCTTTTCACATATCATGCAAGGGTTGCAGGAACCCTATGTACAATTTCTTGCAAGATTGCAAGAGGCAGTGAAGCGTCAGATTCCTCATACCGTGGCTGCAGAAATGCTAACTTTAACTCTAGCTTTTGAGAATGTAAATGCGGATTGTAAATGTGCCCTGGCACCAGTGAGGTGTACAAAAACTTGGGAAATTTCCTCAGAGCTTGTCAAGATGTAGGAACTGAGCTTCATCGATCTACAATGTCAGTGCAAGCAATGGCTAATTTAGCTGTTGACAAATCTAAAAGGAGCCAAGGGTCAGACCCTAAAATGGGAAAATATTATAATTGTGGAAAAACTGGACATTTAAAAAAGGAATGCCGCCAGATCTCAGGACAGAAAGGATCTTACAATGCAGTTCCTCCCCCAGCAGAAAAAAATGCCAGGACTTTGTCCTCGCTGTAACAAAGGAAATCACTGGGCTAATCAGTGCCGCTCAAAATTTCATCAGAATGGCACCCCCCTGTCAGGAAACGAGACGGGGCCTGGCCCTGGGCCTCTCAAACAATGAGGGCATTCCCAGTTCAGACCACAACCCCATTTCAGGGATGGGTTCCCGGAGGCACATTGGTTCCTTCACCCCAGGAACACCAGGAAATATAGGATTAGATCTACCCGCTAGAGAAAGAATCATGTTAGTTGGGGGAGACAAACCCATCAAAGTTCCCACTGGTATTTGTGGTCCTTTACCCACAGGATACATGGGACTAATTTTAGGCAAAAGCTGTCTTAACTTACAGGGCATTACTGTAGTCCCAGGAGTGATTGACTCTGATTATGAAGGAGAAATTCAAGTAGTTTTAATGTCACAAGATCTTTGGGTTTTTGAACTGGGAGAATATATTGCTCAATTATTGCTTATTCCCTGCAAATTACACCCTTCTCCACGAAAGGAGAAATGAGGAAATAAAGGGTTTGGGAGCACAACTACATGGGAAGTCTGTCCCAACCAGTAGCCTCTAATAGACCCACCTGTGTAATACAAATTAAAGGAAAGAAATTTTATGGGCTTATGGATATGGGAGCTGATGTGTCAGTAATATCTAAAGACAATTGGCCCCCATCCTGGCCCTTGCAATTAACTTCTGCATACTTACTGGGAGTAGAAACAGCTCAAAGTGTTCAACAAAGTGCTGAGATTTTACCTTGTCTTGGTCCGGATGGACAGTCTTGTACTTTTCAGCCTTATGTCGCAAATACAGCTATCAATTTATGGGGTCGAGACTTACAGCATGGGATATGAAACTTACAAATGAAAACTTTGATAACCCAGGATTTAAAATGTTGAAGAACATGGGATATCACAGTGGAAAAGGTCTGGGGAGGTTCCTACAATGAAACCCTAATCCAATATCAATAACTGGAAAAACAAATAGAAAAGGGCTAGGACCTCAGGATTTCTGATGGAGGTCATTGATATTTCTTCTCCACGCTCTGCCTTACCATTAGAATGGCTCAGTGACAAACCCATATGGGTGGATCAATGGCCGCTATCTTGGGAGAAGCTGACGCAACTTCAGCAGCTAGTAAAAGAACAATTGGATGCAGGACACATAGAGGAGTCAGTTAGCCCCTGGAATTCTCCAGTGTTTGTTATTCCAAAAAAGTCCAGAAGTTGGTGACTGCTGCATGATTTAAGAGCTAGTAATGCAAAAATTCAACTGATGGGCACCTTACAGAAAGGTTTACCATCTCCAGCGGCTATTCCAAGAGACTGGCCTCTTGTAGTAATAGATCTTAAGGACTGTTTCTTTACTATACCCATACATGAGAAGGATAAGCCTCAATTTGCCTTCTCTGTGCCTTCTATTAATCAAAGAGAACCTGTTTCTCATTATCAATGGAGAGTTTTACCCCAAGGCATGCTTAACAGTCCTACGCTATGTCAGCATTTTGTAGGACAGGCATTAAAGGAGCCTCGGAATATGTTTCCTACTGCTTACATCATTCATTTTATGGCTGATACTCTTTTGGCCGCTCCTACAGATCAAATATTGCATCAATTATTCAGAGAAGTAAAGTAAGCTCTTGTTAATTGGAATCTCAACATTGCTCCAGAGAAGGTACAAACAACTTCCCCATACCAATACTTAGGAACTATTGTTACAGAGAGAAGATCGACCAGAGTCACGACGACATCAACCCCCATAACCTGGGACAACTCAAGAAAACTACGCAGGAAGCTGAGAAACTACTGGAGTGTCAAGGCCAGACAAAAACCCCTGATTCCGTGTTCTTGGCCATGTTAGCCATAATATCCTGTGCAGTATGTTTTTCCTGTGCAGAGGCAAAAACATATTGGGCATATGTTCCCAAGTCCCCAGCAGTATGACCCATACTTTGGAGTGACACTCCTCCTAAGATTTATCATGATTAAGGAGCATGGGCTCCAGGACCCCTAACTCCACCTGACATAGAACAGTTAGACTCTCAGAATAATGTCATTAATTATACCGCTCCATTGGAAGGACTTCCTTTGTGTGTCACCACAAAGACATCACTCAGCCATAGCTGTCTTACAGTTCAAGCTCACACATGGTTGAGTCACTATGGGAAAATCATGTACTTATTAAGTCTTGGTTATATTAATGTAACCGGTGTGCTAACCAACCATTCCTGGCCCAATCGCCTTCATTGTGCTGACTATACAGAATGGATTCCCTTCAATAGTTCCTACCCCCCTCCATAGACCCAGTGTCTTGGCCCACTGGCTAGAAAACAATCTATGTTAACTGGAGACATTGTGGATTGGGGACCTAAAGGCCAATTAGATGGAAAAGAAGAAAATCAGAAATCGTGGCACAAACTTTGCTGGCATTGGTGGCAAGCTTTTAATGCTTCTTCTTTATATAACACTGGGATCCAATCCCAGTCGGCCGCCCAGATTGCTTGGCATGGAGCAGGCTTTAGCCCGCCTCTTCCTCAGTGGCATTATCTAGGGAGGAAAGGACCAATTCAAAAGATGATATGGAAGGCAGCATTCCCATTTATGAATGGCAACATCTGGGTTGCCATAATACTATCCAATAATAGCAATAGTAAGCAACACAGTCTTAATGTTACATTTGTAAAGAATATCACCACTCAATTTACAGTTTGTGTTTTTAATCCTTATGTGTTTTTGGCAGCTAAGAAGGACCAGCTCCAGGTAAACAATACCCAATTGACCTGTAAATCTTGCCAGTTATATCACTGCATTAATCATAGCACATTGCAAACACATAATATCTCTACTTTGATGATTTTAGGTTGCATCCCTGGGCTATGGATTCCTGTTAATCTGTCTGAGCCATGGGCTGCCACAATTGCTTTACATTTTGTGAAACTTCTTCTAACTCAGTTTACTCATTGTGTCCGTAGAGGCTTAGGCATGATAATTTTTGCTATTGTTTACTTGGTCACACTAATAATTTCTGTTGTGATGTCCTCTGTAGCTTTGCATAGTTCTATTCAAACAGCTCAGTATGTGGAGAACTGGACACGCACAGTCAACCAAGGGTGGCTACTTGAGAATAAAATTAACACTGAGTTACAAACTGAAGTGGCAGTGTTATAATCCACGATTCTATGGTTAGGGGAACAAGTACAAAGCTTGCAATTGCAGCAGTAATTGTGTTGTCATTTTAATCACACTCATATTTGTGTAACCAACTTAGAATATAACCAAAGTGAGTATCCATGGGATCTTGTGAAAGCCCATTTGCAGGGAGCTTTCACATCCGACATCACCTTTGATATTGGTGAATTACAAAACAAAATTCTTGATTTAAATAAACAAATTCCAGAGTTTCAGCCTTCTTTAGAAGACTGGACTGAATTCCAGCAAGGCCTGGAGAGCGTCAACCCTTGGACCTATCTAAAGCACCACATTAACATCTTATATATAGTTCTTGGAATAATGTTGTTTTGTCTCTGTCTTCTGTTCATAGTCTGTAAAATCGGATGGACTGCCAATCGGAGAATGAAAGCTACCCAGCCTGGCCTTACATTCTTTCACTTAATACATAAACAAGAAGGGGGAAATGTTGGGAGCCAAAAAGGCCAAAGGGATGGTGACCAACTCAGCATTCCACTGGAGGCTACATGATCAAACAGCAAACTGTTTATCATGAATACAGAATGTGGGCAAACTCGCTTCTGTGCCTGCCCAGAAGGTTTGCTGAGGGCCATCGCTCCCTGGCCCCGGCTCCTTGAGGTTATCTACTGGGACATCTAGAGCCTATTGTTCGAGGAATGCAGTCTTGCAAGCCTACTCTGGACCGAGCAGCTGACCTCTTCTTCCACACCCCTTCTCACTATCTCTTTTGCCTAATAAATATGGAGGGCTGTGTAAAGCTCAGGGCCCTTGTCCACTAGAGGCAAGGTGTCCCCTGACCCTTCTTCCAAACATACTCTTTTGTCTCTTGTCTTTATTCCCGCATTCATCCCCCTTTGTTCAGTCCACCATGGATCCTGGCAGACTACAAGTGGCGCCTCGAACAGCGACAGAATTAGGTGCTCTACAGGATTACAGGCATGAGCCACCACTATGGGCCCCAATCCTGAAGTTTATGATTCAGCAGATCAGCCTGGGGCCTAAGAATGAGCATTTCTAACAAGTTCCTGGGTGAGGCTGATGCCACTGGCCTGTGAGCACGATTTGAGAATCACTGTTTTATAGCAGATTCTCAAACTTGGCTGCCTACTGGAATCACCTGAGATGTTTAAAAGAATACTCATTCCTAGGTTCCAACATCAGAAATGATCATTTAACTGGTATGGAGTGCTTGGCTTGGGATTCCTTTAAATAGCTTTATTGGCTATATTTGACACACAAACTGCATATATTTAGAATACAATTAAATTTTAATATATGTGTACACCCATAAACCATCACCACAATAATAATAATATATCCATCATTTCCAAAGTTGCCTCTTCTACCCTGGCCTCCTGCTCCTCCCTCTCTCCTGAACACCTCCCAGATCCCAAGGTAACAATCTGCTTTTGGTCACGATGGATAGCCTGCATTTTCTAGAATTTTATATAAATGAAATCATATATACCCTTTTTCCTTTTTGGTTTCACTTCTTCCCTTTAGCATGATTTTTTGTTTGTTTGTTTGTTTTTGAGACACAGTTTCACTCTTTTTGCCCCGGCTGGAGTGCAGTGGTGCAATATTGGCTCACTGCAGCCTCTGCCTCCTGAGTTCAAGTGATTCTCCTGCCTCAGCCTCCCAAGTAGCTGGGATCACAGGCGCCCGCCATCACGCCCGGCTAATTTTTGTATTTTTAGTAGAGACGGGGTTTTGCCATGTTGGCCAGGCTGTTCTCGAACTCCTGATCTCAGGTGATCCATCTGCCTCGGCCTCCCAAAGTGTTGGGATTACAGGCGTGAGCCACCGCATCCAGCCTTAGCATGATTATTTTGAGATTCATCTACCTTGTTGAATATATTAATAATTTATTCTTTTTTAAAAATATGGTTTAATCTTTATATTTTGTATGGCTTTTCTCATAAAGTGGATATATTGTATTTTTTAAAGGTTAGCCATATAGCATAAGTATATACCAAGTACTCCTTATTTCTAGTCTCTTTGTTTCTTTCCCAATCTCCTCTTCTCCTCTCAACATGTTTCAATTTGACTATAATTCTTTTTTTTTTTTTTTTTTTTTTTTTTTGGAGATGGAGTCTCACTATTTGCCCAGGCTGGCCTCAAACCCTTGGGCTCAAGTGATCCTCTCACTTTGGCCTCCCAAGTAGCTGGGACAATAGGCACAAGCCACTGCACATAGCTTCTTTGAAATAATTTTAGACTCACATAGAAGTTGCAAAAATAATACAAAAAGTTCCCCTTGTATCCTTCACTTTTCCCCCATGATTATGTAAGTGTAAATAAAAATCTAAAAACAATTAAAAATTGAATTTTCCTAGAAAAGAAAGAATCCCCCAGTCTGTCTTCAGAGCGTTTACTTTAGAAAACTTGTAATTGTGAATTCCTTCTCTGCCCTTTGAAGATGTATTTACATCTTCTTTTATGAGGCTCGCTCT
Organism: Homo sapiens; assembly: GCF_000001405.40. Lineage (NCBI taxonomy): Eukaryota > Metazoa > Chordata > Mammalia > Primates > Hominidae > Homo > Homo sapiens. The sequence goes on from NT_187651.1 coordinate 1,109,903, forward strand.
TTCGCCAGCCTAGAGTGCAATGGCACAATCTCGGCTCACTGCAACCTCCGACTCCCTGGTTCAAGCTATTCTCCTGTCTCAGCCTCCCAAGTAGCTGAGATTACAGGCACGGGCCACCATGCCCAGCTAATTTTTGTATTTTTAGTAGAGACGGGGTTTCACCATGTTGGCCAGGATGGTCTCAATCTCCTGAGCTCGTGATCCGCCTGCCTCCACCTCCCAAAGTGCTGGGATTACAGGTGTGAGCCACCATGCCCGGCCTACATCTTTTTTTAAATAAGCTTAATAACCCATGAGAAAGGTGTTAGTTTAAAAAAAAAAAGATAAATAAATCTCTTGTCAGTTTTTTTTTTCCCCAACCCCATAATCTTATCCTTAAGGACCTGGAAGCCTTCTCTTTGAAATGAAATCATCGAGGGAAATAGCATTCCTATTTCCTAGTCCTATGGAAGGGTAGGAACCTAACTTCAGCTGGCACCTGTTAAGTTACAAACCTACCATAAAGACATAAGAAATTTAATTTTCCTTTGGATAAAGACAATTAACAAACACAGGTGACTACTCCGATTCGCAGGTGACAGGTGGTGCTGTGAAGTCATCTTATTTGAGGACTAGTTGTTTATCTTGAAAACATGTATGACATGGGTTGCATCTGCCTGGTTATATAAAGGGGTGAGTGTTTTTTATTTTTTTGAGACAGAGTCTCACTCCGTCACCCAAGCTGGAGTGCAGTAGCGCAATCTCGGCTCACTGCAACCTCTGCCTTCCAGGGGTGAGGGTTAGGTTGTCTTTGCAATCTCTTTAGCAGATTGCCTGTAATGCACATCACATTCTGGTTTGATAGGTTTTCAAATACTAAAATTGTTTTTTTCTCTTCTACTTTAATGGAGAGGTTTTTTGTTGTGGCAGGAATTTTTGTCTTAAATTATATTTCCCCAAGAACATCTTATATAATCCTAGTACAATGATGAAAACCAGGAAATTGACATGTGCGCAATACTATTAACTAAAGATTTTATTCAAATTACAGCCAATTCTCAATATCCTCAAGGATTGGTTCCACAACTCTCCTCCTCCACCAAAACCCCAGGATGCTCAAGTCCTTTATATAAAATGGTATGAGCATATGTCTTATGCACGTCCTCCCATGTACTTTAAATTTTCTCTGGATTATTTCTAATAACTAATACAAATGCGAATGCTATGCAAATAGTCATTATACTGCATTTTAAATTTGTATTTTTTTATTGTATTGTTGCGTGGTTTTTTTTTTTTTAAGACAGGGTCTCAACTATTGCCCAGGCTGCAGTACAGTGGTGAGATCGTAGCTCACTATGGCCTCGACCTCCCATGGCTTAGGTGATCCTCCTGCCTCAGCCCCCGAGTAGCTAGAATTACAGGCTCCACCACTCCCAGCTAATTTTTGTATTTTTAATAGAGATGGGTTTTTCGCCATGTTGCCCAGGCTGGTCTCAGACTCCTAGGCTCAAGTGATCCGCCCACCTTGGCCTTCCAAAGTGCTGGGATTATAGGTGTGAGCCACTGCGCCTGGCCTGTATTGTTATTTTTTTATTGTCTCTTCCCACCCAATATTTTCCATCTGTGGTTGGTTGAATTTGCCGATGTGAGATCTGGGGATACAGAAAGCTGGCTACATATCATGCTTACAGGCAGTGCATGTGTATATACAATTCCATGAAATTTTATCCCATGTATAGGTTTATGTAACATCACCACAGTCAGGGTACAGAGCTGTTCCATCACCCCGAAAGTCACTCTCATGCTGTCAATTATAGTCATTCCCTCCTCCAGCTCTAACCCTTGACAACCACTTATCTGTTCTCCACTACAACTTTTTTTTTTTTTTTTTGGTCACCTAGGCTGGAGTGCACAGCTCATGGCAGCCTTGACCTCCCATGCTCAAGCAATCCTCCCATCTCAGCCTCCCAAGCAGCTGGGACCACAGGTGCATGCCACCACGCTCAGCTGTTTTTTTGAAAAAAGTTTCTGTAGAGACTGGGTTTTGCTATGTTGCCCAGGTTAGTCTCCAACTCCTGGGCTCAGGCGATCCCCCACCCCTGCCTTGGCCTCCCAGAGCGCTGAGATTACAGGCATGAGCCACCATGCTGGGCCCACAACTTTTCATTTCATTAAAATGGGATCATACAGTATGTAACTGTGCAATAAAGGGTTAATTCAGCAGGTTTGGGTTGTACACATTCCAAAGAAGGAACTGACACTTGACCAGTTCCTTAACCTATAAGCCCTTGAAATAAATGTCCTGCCTTTTAAGAGTTTTTGTATACCTGGGGCCTTCAGCCATGACAGATAGTTTATGCTAATTTTATGCTGATTTAAAACTGTATCCTTTCACTGTAATAAGCCATAACTGAACATAGCTTTTCTGAGTTCTGTGAGTCTTTCTAGTTAATCATTAAGCTTAAAAGTGGTCTTGGATAACCTTTAGAGATTGTGCTTTACATAAAATCTAACTTTTTTTGTTTTTGTTTTTGTTTTTTAAGAGTTGGGGCCTCGTTCTGTTGCCCAGGCTGGAGTGCAGTGGTGCAATCATAGCTCACTGCAGCCTTGACTTCCTAGGCTCAAGTGATCCTCCCACCTTGGCTTCCGAAGTAGCTGGAACTACAGGTACGCGCCACTATACCAGGCTAATTTTTTAAGAGTGGGGCCTTGCTGTGTTGCCCAGGCTGGTCTTGAACTCCTGGGCTGAAGGGCCTCAGCCTCCCAAGTAGCTGGGATTGTAGGTGTGAGCTACCGTGCCCTACATCATTTTTATTGCAGGCAGTATTGTGTCATATGGATTTACCATAATTTGCTTATTCATTCATCTGTTAATGGACATTTGGGTTGTTTAGAGATTTTGTGTATTACAAATAAAGCTGTTATAAATATTTTTGTTCAAGTTTTTGTATGCACACGTAATTTTATTTACCTTGAGTAGATTCTTATAATAGTGAAAAGTAAAAAAGCCTTTATCACAGCTTGGAGTCTATTATCTTCTGTAGATGCAGGGCAGTTTGGCCGAGAATCAAGCCAGGATTTGACAAGAAGGGAGTTGAAGGGTCAATGAAAGGTACAGTATGATATAAGGACACTACACAGGAAGGAATGGAAAGCTGAGAAATAGGATGGACACATTTGGGCAGATGTGGTCAAGACCCAGACTCTCAAATGCCCAAATCCCCTTGAGCTTTTCTCAGAGTGGAGGCAACCTACCCTCATATCCACTCCCCATTCCTGACCAGCCTTTCCCTGTGTAAAAGGCACTTAGTCGCTTCATCTGGGGCAGTTGCCTTATGAGCTGATGCTAGTTCTTGTAAGGGACTGATCCTACCCTGCCTCCTTGCCTCTGGATCTTAACAGAAGTTAGTTATTCCAGTGCAAACCAAAAAGTACTGAACGTGGCCCAGAAAGAGATAGTTTCTTGCCAGTGTGTATTGGCAAGAGTTAGGGAATATGGAAATGGATTGTTACGCCAAGGAAAACAAATATAAGGTTGGATTGGGATAAATGTATAAACATGAGTGCATGTGCTGGCATGTCAGTCATGTTTTCCAAAGATAGTCACACAATGTCTCTCATCTTTTCTGCCAGTGGCCTTGACACTCCTTCCATTGAGTGGTGGGGTCTATGTCCCCTCCCCTTGAATCCAATAGAGTACAACCAAAGTAATACCATGTGATATCCCAGGTAAGGTCATTAAGTTTCTACAGAAGAGACTTGATAGCAAAGGAGAGCCTGCCAGGTCTAACTGCTCATCCTGACCTCCCAGCTTCTTGCCTGGCCTTTAAATAACCCTCCCTTAGGTGTCCTGGAATGTCTCCTTGCTCTGATTCCAGAGCAGTTATTTTTTATGTATTCATTCAACAAATTTAGCGTCTGTAATATGCCCAGCATAGGCCATAAATGATGACACTGACAAGACCCCAAGTTGGAGAAACTAAATGAGCCCTAACAACAAGTGCTGACCCGAGCCACAATAGAGGCCTGTTGAAGGGAGAAAGAGGTAATGAGGTGGGGTCAGGGAGGGCTTCTGGAGTAGGAGATTCCTGAGCCAAGTCCTAAAGGATGTGTATGGGCTCACCAGGTGGAGAAGATGGAACGGACAAGTCTGGTCGTGGAAAGATGCCCTGGGCAGAGGGAACGGTGCGGATAAAGGAAGGAGAGCAAGTGGAAGATGGCAGCCAATGGGAATGAGCAATGCATGGGAAGGAACTGAGGGTGAGATGAAAGGCAGCGCACCAGGCTGCAGAGATCAGCCCTGGCGGTTACATTTTTCAATTAATTCTCTTATTTTTATTATATAAAACATTATTTTGGCCAGGCGCGGTGGCTCACGCCTGTAATCCCAGCACTTTGGGAGGCCGAGGTGGGTGGATCACGAGGTCAGGAGATCGAGACCATCCTGGCTAACACGGTGAAACCCGGTTTCTACTAAAAATATGAAAAATTAGCCAGGTGTGGTGGCGGGCACCTGTAGTCCCAGCTACTCGGGAGGCTGAGGCAGGAGAATGGCATGAACCCGGGAGGCGGAGCTTGCAGTGAGCCGAGATCGTGCCACTGCACTCCAGCCTGGGCGACAGAGCGAGACTCCCTCTCAGAAAAATAAATAAATAAATAAATAAAATAAAAACATTATTTTACTTTATTTTTATTTTATTTTTATTGTTTTTTTTAGAGACAGGGTCTAGCTCTTGTCACTCAGGCTGAAGTGCTTGGCAAGATCATGGCCCACTGCAGCCTCAAACTCCTGGACTCAAGTGATTCTCTCACCTCACCCTCCAAGTAGCTAGGACTACAAGCACATGCCACTGTGCATGGCTATTTTTATTTTTCAGAGACATGGGCTCACTATGTTGCCTAGGCTAGTTTCAAGTTCCTGGCCTCAATAAAACATTATTTTAAAAAATCAGAGATGGCAAAGATTATGTTCCTTGTAATCTCAATAGTGGGGTAGAGAGACACTGGACACTAACAGATGCTAGGTGACTGCTTTTGGCCTTCTGTGCATTTGCACTTCACCTTTTGCATTTTTCTACTTAGCTGTTCTGGGAACATTATACATTTCCAAAGAGCTTCTTGTAACAAAAGTTACAAGAAATAAGAAACATGTATGACTTTTTTTTTTTTTTTTTTTGAGACAGAGTCTTGCTCTGTCACCCAGGCTGGAGTGCAGTGGTGCCATGTCGGCTCACTGCAGACTCTGCCTCTCGGGTTCCAGCGATTCTCCTGCCTCAGCCTCCCAGGTAGCTGGGATTACAGGCACGTGATACTATGCCTGGCTAATTTTTGTATTCTTAGTAGAGATGAGGTTCCACCATGTTGGCCAGGCTGCTCTCAAACTTCTGACCTCAGATAATCCACCTGCCTTGGCCTTCCAAAGTGCTAGGATGATAGGCATGAGCCACTGCACCCGGCCAAAACAGGTATGACTTTTAAAGAAAGCAAGGAATCATATCCTATTGTGTCTTTTCTGTCTTCGGGTGGTGATTTTAAGTACTTTGCATCATTGAAGAACTATTTAGAGAAAAATAAAGTGTGGCAATTAAAATATCAAACCCTCTCTTCTGATACCCTGATACATATGAAAAGTCAGTTTTTACTGGCCTTTTTTTCTGTTGACCATGGGAGGCAAGCACAGTGTAAATCATACCTTTGCAGTTTAGCTCATGCTCTCCTCCATTTGCACAAAGCCTGGCCATGTTCATTGCTCAGTCCACTCTCAACGCTTCTGCAAGGCTCAGCTGCAACCCTTTCCCAATTGCATTCTGTTCCTTTAATGTCTGTCCTACACAGTTCAGTAAGAAATCATGTGGCCATTTGTATTATTTTCTTATAAGTACCTTGAAGTCTGAACCTAAGTTTACCTCCAGGTGTAGACGCACCCTTTCTCTACCCCATCCTCCCCCTTTACTCTGCCCCACTAAGCAACCAATGGAGTAGAAGTAGTAAGTGCTCAATAAATATGTGAATGAAAAACCTTAAGTTCAAGGCATTTTGTATAGAATGTTTTAATTTTTATGGGTATATTTGGAGTCCTTTATTTAAGACCACAGTGCTGATGTCCACAATCTGTCACTACATAGTGCCTGGTGTGGTGGCTCATGTCTGTAATCCCAGCACTTTGGGAGGCTGTGGCGGGCAGATCGCTTGAGTCCAGGAGTTCAAGACCAGCATAGCCAACATGGTGAAACCCCTACAAAAATAAAAAATTAGCCGGGCTTGGTGGCACAAACCTGTAGTCTCAGCTACTGGAAAGGCTGAGGTGGGAGGTCAAGGATTCAGCGAGCTGTGATCGTGCCACTGCATTGCAGCCTGGGCGACAGAGTGAGGCCCTGTCTCAAAAAATGAAATAAAGTAAAAAATAAAAATAACTACATAGCGAAAATAATCAGAAGAATGTTTAAGGTCTCCAGTGAAAGGACAACAGGCTTGTTGTGCTGTTCGCAAGCACGTGTTAGATGCGATTCACTCATGTTGTTGGTGTGTCACTGGGGGTTGTGACTGCAAGTTGTCCAGGTTCTTGGCATTGTGAACAAAGAATTGGACAAAACGCCCAGCAAAGCAAAGAAAGAACAAGGCAACGAAAGAACGAAAGCAGGGATTTACCGAAAACGAAAGTGCACTCCACAATGTGGGAGCGGACCGAGCAGAGCTCAAGGGCCCGGATATAGAATCTTCTTGGGTCCAAATACCCACTAGAAGTTTCCTATTGGCCATTTTATGCTCACCTCAAACCCGATTGGTTGCAAGAAGCAAGCAGTCAGAGGCTAGGGTGAAATTACAAAGTTATACTTCTATGCAAACGAAGACTGGACCCCCAATCAGTCTGATTGGTTGTGGACAGCAACCATTCAGAGGCTGGAGTTAAGGTTCAAACTTGGCAAAGCAAGCCTCCACCAGCAGTAAGTCTGATTTGTCGGGGACAGCCAATTTCCTATCTGCCCTGCGGAAAAGGTGGGGGGGTTTGCAAAGGGAGTAGCCTTTGGTCCTTTTGTTACTTAGGCATGGAAAGTTAGGGTTTTCCTTTCAGTTTAGCTCTAGGAAGTCAGCGTGAGACAGCCTTAGGTTCCCTGCTTCCAGACTTATTCTCCTGCCTTAGGTACAGTCACTATCGTGATATTATCTATCGCTGTGTCAACACAACACCAATCCAAGCCCAACCGCAGCTCTCTCACTGCCGCACCGCTTCGTGAGGGTCGATCCGCCGGGGAGACCTGCTCTCCTGCGCTCGGGACTAGACGCGACCTCGCGGGGCTGAGGCTCTGTCCCTTATTGGCTGGGTCAGGGGGCGTGGCGCGGCTTGACCAATCGCGGGCGGCGCGCTTAGGCACGTGTGTGGACAGGCCTGAGAATCAGAGAAACCTTCTCTGGGGCTGCAAGGACCTGAGCTCAGCTTCCGCCCCAGCCAGGGAAGCGGCAGGGGAAAGCACCGGCTCCAGGCCAGCGTGGGCCGCTCTCTCGCTCGGTGCCCGCCGCCATGTGGGCCGTCCTGAGGTTAGCCCTGCGGCCGTGTGCCCGCGCCTCTCCCGCCGGGCCGCGCGCCTATCACGGGGACTCGGTGGCCTCGCTGGGCACCCAGCCGGACTTGGGCTCTGCCCTCTACCAGGTAGGCTGAGCGCCCCGGTGGCCTGGCCGCCGGTGCCAGGCTAGGAAGCAAGTGGAGGAGGGGCACGCTTCAACAACTGCTGCTCTCTTGTCCGGAGCCCCAGTTGATTCTGTGACGCACGTGAAGTTTGAAGAAGAAAAGCCTAACAGATACAAGAAAGTTTAGTTCACTTTTAGAGCTGGCACTGTACTTTGTGTCTTTGAAATCAGTGGTTCTTAAAGCCTGGTTTAGAATTGCCACCTGGGGAGCTAGCTGAATAGCTGCCTGAGCCCTACTCTGGACCTTGTGGGTCTCAGGTGGAGTCGCTGTGTTTATATTGTTAGTGAACTCATTAGGGGACTTTTGGCAGCCAGCTTTGGGAACCACTGGCCTAGAGCAGCCCAACGAGGGGCGCTGTGCTTAGGAAATTTGAGTTTAAAAGTTGATTATGATGGCCGAGCCCAGTGGCTCACGCCTGTAATCCCAGCGCTTTGGGAGGCCCTGGCGGGTGGATTACCTGAGATCAGGAGTTCGAGAACAGCCTGGCCAACGTGGTGAAACCCCATCTCTACTAAGAATACAAAAATTAGCCGGGCATGGTGGCGCGCGCCTGTAATCCCAGCTACCTGGGAGGCTGAGGCAGGGGAATCGCTTGAACTTGGGAGGCGGAGGTTGCAGTGAGCTGAGATCGTGCCATTGCACTCCAGCCTTGGCAACAAGAGCGAACTCTGTCTCAAAAAAAAAAAAAAAAAAAAGTTGGTTATGTTAATAGAAAATATCCCACAGTATCTTTGAGTGGCTTTTCTTGGAATTAGGAGGCATCATAAGGCCAAAAAACTCAAAACTTGCGAAATATCAGAGCTGGAAAATTTCACTGTGTTCCCACGATTTCTAAGCCTATACAGATAACATCTAAATAGTGCAAACAACACACAATTGTTTGTCAGTCCAGAATGTTTAATTCAGAATTATTAAGTGGTTATTGTGGTCTAGGCACTATTTTAGATATTTGGCATGGATGCGTAGGAATGGAACTAATAATTTTGTAGGGAAGATGGACAAGAAAGCAGGTAACTGTGGTACAGTGTAAGAAGGGTTGTCTAAAGCTTGAGAAGGTGGTTACAGAAAGCTACCGATAGGAAGTAATGGGTGAGATGAATCTTGGGTAAGAGCTGGCCAAGTTCAGGGTGCAGGATGGAAGGTAAGACTGTATAAACCAAGAGAGTTACAAGAACATAGGTACTGAGTTATGAAAGTGTATATCTGGTGTGAGGACTTGAATTCCATGTCTAGGACATGGAATTCATTGAATAGTGTCTGGTGATGGGATTGATTGATTATGGGGCCAGATAGAGGAGGATCTTCCATGCAAAAGCCACATTTAGATTCCATTTGGCAGGTTGTCCATTAAAATATTTAAGTAGATAAGTGGCATGATCCTATGGATATGGTAGAATCATCAGTGTGGTGGCAATGTGGAGGATGGATTGATATAGGGAAAAGACTAGACCTAGGTGACAGTGGAGAGTTGAGTCTTGAGATGAAGGAGTCAAAGTTAGAGTTGTATGTAGGAGGGGGGCATAAATACCTGAGGAGCAAAGATTATAGAGTTAATAACTGAGTGGAAGGGGAAAATGGATGACTTTGGAGTTTCCAACTGGGCAGAATATTTAGTTAGGTGGAACTGCCATTAATACAAAGAAGGCTTTGGTGATGGGTTTTGTATGAATCACCTTTTGCTAGGTTGCGCTTTGTGTAACAAATAATCAAAAAATCTCAGTAACTCACAACAGTAAATATTAGTCTCTCACTTGATTTTGTTTTGTTTCTTAATCTCTCACTCGTGTTGGTGGCCTTTGGTTAGCTGCTGCTGTGACTGTTCCACTGCAGGGTAGGTTCAGGTCTGCTCCATGTGTCTTCCCATTCCTGGACTGAGGCTGAAGAGCAGCCCTGAATTAAACATGCCCTTCTCATGGCCGAAGGCACAGGAGCAAGAGGCTGAACACAAATTGGATTTAAAATCCTTGCTGGCATGTGATGAAATTAATGTGTGCTCACATTAGACAAAGCAAGTCCATGAGGGTGGGGGAGAATGGGATGAATGATCCAGTTTAGCTGTGTTTCCTGATTACAAATAAAAGCAACTATAATAAGTAATAATAATGGCAGGAATTTTATAGTGTACCCACCATTTTTCTAAAGGCTTTATGTGGTTTTACTCATGTATTTATCATAATGATCCTGTGCAGTAGGTACAATTGTTATTTCTGTTTTATAGATGGGAAAACTGTGGTATATAGGGTCCAAGAAATTTGTCTGAGATAACACAGAGCCTGAATTTGAAGCCAGGTGGTCTGGCTCATAACTCTTGAGTCCAGGGTCTTAACTGTTGCTCTATAATGCTTCTCACTCACCCAGCTCTACCTAGGTGGGTTCTATGGTTGAAAAGATGGGGTGGGAAACTTGTCAGTGGCTCAGCTCCAATTCATTATGACTGTCAGGCACTAACCTCTGTGGTTGCTCAGCTTCACAAGAAAATTACTAGGTTGTAGAATGTTGTTTCGCAGGTGATTAAAACACACACACACACACACACAAACACAAACACCTGGCGTCCTGAGAGATCAAGATTTGCCAAATGCAGTATCAGTAAGTAGGGAAACTGAAAGTTGAACTTGGTTTTGCCACTAAACTACACTGCCTCTTGGTTAGTGAGTCTCATCCTAAGGAGGCTAGGTTGGTTGATAAAGGATTGCCTGGGAGGTGAACTGTAGCCAGTACTGGCTCTTCTGTGATTTAAGTCTGATGGGCTGAGCTTGGCACAGATGTTGCCCAGTCTGTAGAGGCAAATGTCAGCTTCAGTGGGTCAGTGCTTTTCTTCTTTGACCCACTGGTTGCTTAAAAGTACGTTGTTTAATTTCCATATATTTGTGAATTTTCCAGTCATCCTTCTGCCATTGATTTCTAGTTTCATTCCATTGTGATTGAAAGGATACTTTTGGGCCAGGCATGGTGGCTCAGGCCTGTAATCCTAGCGCTTTGGGAGGCCGAGGCTGGTGGATCACCTGAGGTCAGGAGTTCTAGACCAGCCTGGCCAACATGGTGAAACCCTGTCTCCACTAAAAATAAAAAAATTACCTGGGCATGGTGGCGCACGCCTGTAATCCCAGCTACTTGGGAGTGTGAGGCAGGAGAGTCGCTTGAACCCGGGAGGCGGAGGTTGCAGTGAGCTGAGACTGTGCTACTGCACTCCAGCCTGGGCGACACGGCCAGACTCCGTCTCAAAAAAAAAAAAAAGGATACTTTGTATGATTTCAGTCTTTTAAAATTTATTAAGATTTGTTTTGTGGCCTGACATGTAGTCTATCTTGGAGAATGTTGCCTGTGCACTTGAGAAAAGTTACATACTTTTTTCTGCTGTTGTAGGGTGACAAGTTCTGTATATTGTGTTAGCTCCAACTGGTTCTTTCCCTAATACCATGCTGCTTCCTTGTTTTTTATTTTCTGGATTTTGCAGAGCAAGAGAATGTAGCAGAAATCATGACCCTCAGAGCTCTTGGAGCTGTAGAAAATAGGAAATAATGGAGATATACTGTAGACTGAATATTCATCTAAGTTTGAACAGTTAGGAAGTTGCTTAGTGTTCTGTCAAACAGAAGGAACTAAATAACTAGAGATGCTAATCACATGGGGAGCAAAATGTATTAGTGGGCCAAGTCTGAATTTCAAAGATAATTAGCTAGTTAAGTATTGTTCTAAAGTAATATGCTGACCAAACAAAATTTAAAAATACAGAAGGGTGAAAAGTTAGTCCCTCTACCTCTTTTCTACTTCTCACTGTCAATATTTCCTTGTGTATTACTTAATTTGTGTATATATGCCAGCATAGAGTTTTGTTCTGTTTTTTTTTTTTTTTTTTTGAGATGGAGTTTTGCTCTTGTTGCCCAGGCTGGAGTGCAATGATGCAATCTTGGCTCACTGCAACCTCCGCCTCCCGGGTTCGAGGGATTCTCCTGCCTCAGCCTCCCGAGTAGCTGGGATTACAGGCAAGCACCACCTTGCCTGGCTAATTTTGTATTTTTTAGTAGAGACGAGTTTTCTCCATGTTGGTCAGGCTGGTCTCGAACTCCCGACCGTAGGTGATCTGCCCGCCTCGGCCTCCCAAAGTGCTGAGATTACAGGCGTGAGCCACCACGGCTGGCCGAGTTTTGTTCTTTTTACTAATTTATTTATTTATTTGAAACAGTCTTGCTCTGTCACCCAGGCTGGAGTACAATGGCACGATCCTAGTTCACTGCAGCTTCAAACTCCTGGGCTCAAGAGATCCTTCCACCTTAGTTGGTCAAGTCGCTGGGACACACCACCATGCCCAGATAATTTTTAAATTTTTATTCTTTTTATTTTTATTCTTTTTGTAAAGATGGAAGTCTCCCTATGTTACTCAGGCTGGTCTCAAACTCCTGGGCTTAAGCGATGCTCCTGCCTCCGCCTTCCAAAGCTCTGGGATAACAGACATAAGCCACCACACTCAGCCTGTTCTTTTTAAAACATAAAATAGGATCCTTGGCCAGGTGCGGTGGCTCATGCCTGTAATCCCAGCACTTTGGGAGGCCGAGATGGGCAAATCACTTGAGGTAAGGAGTTTGAGATCAGCCTGGCCAACATGGCGAAACCCGGTCTCTATTAAAAATACAATAATTAGCTGGGCATGGTGGCACACACCTGTAGTCCCAGCTACTTAGGAGGCTGAGGCAGGAGAATCGCTTGATCTCGGGAGGCGGAGGTTGCAGTGAGCCGAGATTGCACCATTGCACTCCAGCCGGGGCAACAAAGGGAGACTCTGTCCCAAAAAATAAAAATACAAAATTAAAAATAAAAATAAGATCCTTTTTCTCCCTCTGGGATTTGTTTTTAAGTGTACTTTGTCAGTAAGCAAGCATTGGTTGGAATCTCAGATAGTGACTGATGGGACAGGAAAAATAAGATGGTATTCTAACCTTCAAAAAGCTTATATTCCTTAAAATAGGAAAACAAATAGAGATCAGTTTAAGTTCAGAAGGTGTTTAAGGAAGAAAGATGTTAAATTGAGTAGGAGTGGCCAGAAGTAGAGTTGAAGATGAGATAAAACATGAATTAGGCTTACAGAGGAGTAAGATATGGAGAGATGGACAAGTGGGGTGGTGAAGAAGAGCTTGAACAAGACAGGCAGGGGTGAATCTTTTCCATACGATCCAGTGGCCCAGCGTGGCTGCCACAGATGGGGTGGCCCAGTGTGGCGGCCACACAGAGTTGGCACAGACCACTGTTTTTTTTTTTTTTTTGACCTTTATTTTGGTAAAAAGGAATTGCTTTCTAATATTTCTCTCCCCTGTCTCCTCTATTTCTGTTTTAGGAGAACTACAAGCAGATGAAAGCACTAGTAAATCAGCTCCATGAACGAGTGGAGCATATAAAACTAGGTAAACACAGCATTTATTCCACAGCTTATGCCTTTACTTAAGATGTCCTAAAATAGTTATTGCTTTTAGGAAAAATACTGGAATTAAGCTTTTGATATTTTTTTTTTTTTTTTGAGATGGAGTCTTGCTCTCTTGCCCAGGCTGGAGTGCAGTGGCGCCATCTCAGCTCACTGCAACCTCCGCCTCCTGGGTTCAAGCCATTCTCCTGCCTCAGCCTCCCAAGTTGTTGGGATTACAGGTGCCTGCCTCCATGCCTGTCTAATTTTTGTATTTTTTAAATAGAGACAAGGTTTCACCATGTTGGCCAGGCTGGTCTTGAACTACTGATGTCAAGTGATCCATCTGCCTTGGCCTCCCAAAGTGCTGCAATTATAGGCGTGAGCCACTACTCCTGGCTGAGCTTTTGACTCTTAAGACTATGCATTTGTTGGTATGCAGGCATTTAATTTTATTTTTCCTATTACTTGGCCAGTTTTTCTCTTCATAGAGTACTACCACTTTTGGGGGGAAAAGTAAAGATTCAAATTCATAAATTTTATGAATAAATAATTTATTTTTAATTTTTATTAATTTTTTTTTTAAGAGATGGGTTCTTGCTCTATTGCCAGGCTGGACTGAACCCCTGGCTCAAGCGATCCTCTCATCTTGGCCTCCCAAAGTGCTGGGATTACAGGTATGAGCCACCACACCTGGCCAGTGATTTCTTAGTAGGCATTTAATATTTCCTCCCTAAGTGCTGAATCTCAGATGGAAAGCATTCTTCATATTTGATAGACTGTTTCAGATAACTTTTATCAACAAGTATATAATACTTAAAATTGTATATAATACTTTTAATGTAAAATTTTACATTTAGGTTAGAGTAGTTTAAATACTGGATCTCAGGAGTATAAAAATAGTGAAGAAGACTGGATTTGGAAAGTATGGTCTAGAATTGCTTATTTACTAGTTTATTTAGAGACAGGGTCTCCTCACTCTGTTGCTCGGGCTGGACTCGAAGTCGGGAGCTCAAGTGATCTTCTTGCCTCAGCCTCCCAAGTAGCTGAGACTGTACCTGTGCCCCTGTACGCAGCTATGGAATTCATACTTTTGAAGCCATTTTAGATCAAGGTGTTGTCTCCAGAAAAAGAATTCAAACTCTTGCTGAAATGAAAGTGTTTTGTTAGGGGTGATAACTCAATTGTTATGCCCATTTTGAGAGTTTGATTTGGTGAACTCACTGTCCCCCTTAGACATTAAGATGGTGGGTTTTGGGGCCAGGCACAGTGGCTCACGCCTGTAATCCCAGCACTTTGGGAGGCCGAGGTGGGCGGATCACATGAAGTCAGGAGTTCGAGACCAGACTGAGCAACATGGTGAAACCCTGTCTCTACTAAAAATACAAAATTAGCTGGGTGTGGTGGCGCATGCTTGTAATCCCACCTACTCGGGAGGCTGAGGCAGGAGAATTGTTTGAACCTGGGAGGCGGAGGTTGCAGTGAGCCAAGATGGTGCCATTGCACTCTAGCCTGGGTAACAGAGCGAAATTCCGTCTCAAAAAAAAAAAAAAAAGAGGTGGGTTTGACTCAATGGAGGGTTGAGGAGTCCTGTGGCATCAGGTGCCTGCTGGGGATGGTGGATGCTGAGGAACCGTGGTGCAGGCTGGTGGCCACAGGAGGGTAGAGGACTGAGCCGGACTCCCTGGGGAAGGAGGTAGGGAGAAGGGGGAAAGGACAAACTTGGCTGTCACAGCTTTGCCAAGAATTAAATGTCAGGGGAGCTTAATTATGTGCTCTGTGAGCCTGCATCAAGGATAACCCTCTTTCTGGTTCTTCCTAATAAAACCAGAATTCACCAGCTGCTCCAAATTGTAAGGCCCCACTCTAGACAGAATTGCTAAAGAGTGATGTTGTCTTAAGTCTCTCTCTTTTTTTTTTTTTTTACTGAGACGGAGTCTTGCTCTGTCACTCAGGCTGGGGTGTAGTGGCGCGATCTCAGTTCACTACAACCTTGGCCCCCCGGGTTCAAGCGATTCTCCCGCCTCAGCCTCCCGAATAGCTGGGACTACAGGCATGCACCACCACACCCAGCTAATTTTTCATATTTTTAGTAGAGATGGGGTTTCACCATGTTGTCCAGGCTGGTCTCAAACTCCTGGCCTCAAGTGATCCACCCACCTCAGCCTCCCAAAGTGCTGGGATTACAGGCATGACCCACCTGTCACTTTGGGAGGTCAAGGCAGGAGAATTGCATGAAGCCAGGTGTTTGAAACCAGCCTGGGCAACAGAGTGAGACCTCATCACAAAAATTTAGCTGGAGTGGTGGCACATGCCTGTAGTCCCAGCTGCTGGGAAGCCTGAGGTGAGAGGATCACTTGAATTTAGGAGTTCAAGGCTGTAGTGAGCCATGCTGGCACCACTGCACTCCAGCCTGGGTGACAGAGTAAGATCTTGTCTCAAAAAAAAAAAAAAAAAAGGTCCTACTTGGAAGATCGTTTGAGATTATTTTCTTGCCTAAATAAACAAAGAAATAGCTTTCTGAAATAGCTGAACATTTCATTAGACAAAGACTATATTAAGATGAAATTCTTGGACACCAATAAAAATAAACTAATGTTTTAATTATTAAAGGTACAATTTGATACTTCTGTTCTTGCTCCATTACCTTGGTTTGCCGAGAGTGGGTTATAGATATTCCCAAGAATACTCCAGTGGGCTCTTCAGTTATAATTTTCTTTGTCTGTCATGATGTGAGCAATGTTGAGAAGCACTGAAGACAATCTCTGAGTCAAGGAAGGGGACTTTTAAATTGCTAAAGTGTTCAACTCACCCAGTTGCAAGCCTAAAAAGTTACGGATCACTAATGTCATCTTTAGGTAAATTTACTGCACTTATCATGGAAGTAATTTCTAAAATTTTATTTTTACCTGGTACAAATGAAGATAGGAATTTTCCAGATCTATCATAGCATGTATTTAATAAATGTGGTGGAGATGAGGCATTATTTGCAATATGTGAGCTGCAGAGAAAATACTCTGTAATTTATGTAACTACTAGTGAATTCAGAACATAGACTCTAGGATATACTCTAAAATCAGGGATAGATTGATTTTTTTTTAATACCAGTTTTTACATTTACTTCAGAAAATTGGCAACTTGTAAGTTGAGTGAATGATTATTAGCCTTTTCTCAGAGGATATGTTGAACTTTTAAAAAGTGCTATATTTTGGATTAAGTATTATGTTTTTCTGGCATTGAGACCTTTTTATCGTGTCAATCTAATCTAATCTAATCACATTTCTATCATAGGAGGTGGTGAGAAAGCCCGAGCACTTCACATATCAAGAGGAAAACTATTGCCCAGAGAAAGAATTGACAATCTCATAGACCCAGGGTGCGTACATAGCCAAGTACTGACTCAGAGTGTTCTCTGTTCCATAGTACTTTATTAGACAGTCTTGTAAATCAGTTATTTTGAATTCTAGTTCTCATCGTAAGATTCAGGAACATGTGTTTATTGAGAGCCTACTATGTGTCAAGCACTATGTGTTGACATGTTTATTGAGAGCCTACTATTGGTCAGGTACTAGTGATATATCAGTGACCAAAACAGACACAGATCTTTGCTCTACTAGAGTTTACATCATAGCAAAGGGAGACAGAAAGCAACAGTAAAGACTGTAACTTCTGGCTGGGTGTGGTGGCTCACTCCTGTAATCCCAGCACTTTGGGAGGCCGAGGTGGGCGGATCATGAAGTCAGGAGATTGAGACCATCTGGCTAACATGGTGAAAACCCGTCTCTACTAAAAATACAAAAAATTAGCTGGGCATGGTGGCATGTGCTTGTAGTCCCAGCTACTCGGGAGGCTGAGGCAGGAGAGTCGCTCGAACCCCAGAGGCAGAGGTTGCAGTGAGACGAGATTGTGCCACTGCACTCCAGCCTGGGTGACAGAGCGAGACTCTGTCTCAAAAAAAAAAAAGATTGTAAATTCTGTAGTGTGTTAGTAAGTGACAAATGTCATGAGAAAAAGAAAAGGTGGCCCAGGGTAAAGGAGAGGAAGATATAGGGCAAGTTGCAGTTTTAAGAGGTGGTGCCAAGGTAGGCCGCATTGAGAAGGTGATGTCTGAGCAAAGATTTAAAGGAGGAGAGAGAGAGAGAGAGCCTTGTAACTCTCTGGGGAAAGAGTGTTTCAGGCAGAGGGAATGGCCAGTGCAAAGGCCCTGAGGTGGGAGTGTGCCAGGTAATGCTGGTATGCTCAAGGGGCAGCCAGGAGGCTGGGGTGGTTGTGGTGGAGGGAGTGAGGGGAGAGGAGTAGGAGATGGGTCAGATCCTGTATGGCCTTGTGGGTTATCATAAAGGTTTTGGTTTTCACCATGGGAGAAATGGGGAGCTATTGTAGGGTTTTGAACAGGAGATGATTATGATCTGACATAGCTTAAAAGAGTGCTTCTGGCTGCTGTGTTGTGAGTAGATGGAGCAGCAAGGGTGGAAGCCCTGTGACCAGGTAGAGGGCGATTGCAAGGATTTGAGGGAGACATGATGGGGACTCGGCATAGGGTAGTAGTAGTGGTGGTGGCAGGAGTGCAGGGTTCTGGATGTATTGTGAAGACAGAGCCAACCCAACAGGATTTCCTGAAGGATTGGATATGGAGTGTAAGGGGGAGAAGAGGGGTAAGTGAAAACTCCCAAAGTATTTTTTCTCCTGACACGTGCACACACATCCAACCTGGAGACAGCACTGTTAACACCTAGTATATTATCCTTCTAGGCCATTTGTATGCATATATATATACCAGACACCTACATTTTTTAAAAATGCAAATGAAATCGTACTAAATTTGCTGTTTTGTAGCCAGCTCTCTTTTTTCCCTCCTAATGTATCTTGACCATGTAAGTAAGTGAGAGGCGGACTAGTGGTTAAGAGCCTGGCCCCTGGGGCAAGATTGCTTATGAAGCTCCCGGCTCTGCCCCTTACTTACTGTGTAACCTTAGACAAGTGACTTGATCTCTGTGTGTTTCAGTTTCCTCATCAGTAAATGAGGGTCACAATAAGATCCACCTCAGAAGGTGGTTCTAAGGAGGACATGAGTGAGTGTTTCTTTTTTTTTTTTTTTTTTTTGAGACGGAGTCTCACTCTGTCACCAGGCTGGAGTGCAGTGGCGCGATCTCCGTTCACTTAACCTCCGCCTCCTGGGTTCAAGCGATTCTCCTGCCTCAGCCTCCCGAGTAGCTGGATTACAGGTGTGCACCACCATGCCCAGCTAATTTTTGTATTTTTAGTAGAGACGGGGTTTCACCATGTTGCCCAGGATGGTCTCAATCTCTTGACCTCGTGATCTGCCCACCTTGGCCTCCCAAAGTGCCGGGATTACAGGCATGAGCCACCACACCAGCCGATAAGTGAGTGTTTCTAAAGCCTTTAGAAGAGAGCCTGGTATTTGGAAAGGATTTTTATTTTAATTAATTAATTAATTATTTATTTTTTGAGATGGAGTTTTGCCCTGTTGCCCAGGCTGGGGTGCAGTGGCATGATCTCAGCTCACTGAAACCTCTGCCTTCCGGATTCAGGTGATTCTCCTGCCTCAGCCTCCCGAGTAGCTGGGATTACAGGCACGTGCCTCCACGCCTGGCTAATTTTTTTTTTTTTTTTTTTTTGTATTTTTAGTAGAGATGGGGTTTCACCATGTTATCCAGGCTGGTCTCAAACTCCTGACCTCACGTGATCTACCTGTCTCAGCCTCCCAAAGTGCTGAGATTACAGGCATGAGCCACCGTGCCTGGCCATTAGTTGTTTTTTGAGACAGGGTCTCATTCCATTGCCCAGGCTGGAGTGCAGTGGCACAGTCACAGTTCTCTGCAGCCTTGGCCTCCTGGGCTCAAGTGATTCTTCCACCTCAGCCTCCCAAGTAGCTGGGACCACAGGCATGTGCCATCATGCCCAGCTGTGTTGAAAATTTTTTTTTTTTTGTAAAGATGGGGTTTCCCCGTGTTGCTCAGGCTGGCCTCAAACTCCTGGGCTCAAGCAGTCCACCCACTTGAGCCCCACAAAGTGCTAGGACTACAGGCATGAGCCACCCCACCTACCTCCAAAAGTTTTTAAGAGATGGGGTCTTGGCTGGGCGTGGTGGCTCATGCCTGTAATCCCAGCACTTTGTGAGGCCGAGGTGGGCAGATAACCTTCAGGTAAGGAGTTTGAGACCAGCCTGGCCAACATGGTGAAACCCCGTCTCTACTAAAAATACAAAAAATTAGCTGGTTGTGGTGGCGCATGCCTGTAATCCCAGTTACTCGGGAGGCTGAGGCAGGAGAATCGCTTGAACTCAGGAGGTGGAGGTTGCAGTGAGCTGAGATCGCGCCACTGCACTCCAGCCTGGGTGACAGGGCAAGACTCCATCTCAAAAAACAACAACAACAACAAAAAAGAGATGGGGTCTCACTATGTTGTCCTGGCTGGCCTCCAACTCTTGGGCTCAAACAGTCCTCTTGTCTCAGCCTCCTGAATAACTGGGATTACAGACTTGAGCCACCACACCCATTTTAGATTTTTAAAAATAGATTTTATATACAACATGTGTATTTGAAATATTGTCCCATTGAGGAAAAATCTTTTCCTTTTCCATGTGTAACTGTTTAAATGTGTAGTTTTTAATGACATTAATTCAAACAACATCCTTTCTTCGCTTTAGGTCTCCATTTCTGGAATTATCCCAGTTTGCAGGTTACCAGTTATATGACAATGAGGAGGTGCCAGGAGGTGGCATTATTACAGGCATTGGAAGAGTATCAGGGTGAGTATTCTACTTGTGCTTCATAATGTGGGTTGAGAAGAAGACTTTGATGAGGCACAGGCATCCAGCACTCACTTTGCATATTAGCATGCGATTTGTATGCTATTTATATTATGTAGGACTGGCTGGGTGTGGTGGCTCACGCCTGTAATCCCAGCACTTTGGGAGGCTGAGGTGGGTGGATCACCTGAGGTCAGGAGTTTGAGATCAGGCTGGCCAATGTGGTGAAACCCTGTCTCTACTAAAAATAAAAAAATAAGCCGGCATGGTGGCACACGCCTGTAGTCCCAGCTACTTGGGAGGCTGAGGCAGGAGAATCGCTTGAACCTGGGAGGCAGAAGTTGCAGTGAGCTGAGATGGAGCCACTGCACTCCATCCTGGTGACAGAGCAAGACTCCGTCTCAAAAAAAAAACAAAAAGATGTCTTTCCATGGAGACAAGGGCAAGGAAGGAGACCAGTCTTTATCTTTTAACTAGAGATGCTCTAGTACTGGATATTATGGCTGAAAAAAATTCAGTCATTTAATAGGTATAAAGTAGTACTTAATTATAAATTCTTTCTTTTTTCCTTTTTTGTTTTTTTTAGAGATGGTGTCTCGCTCTGTTGCCTAGGCTAATCTCGAACTTCTGGGCTCAAACGATGTTGAATATAGGCTAGCACATCATTATAATTTTTTTTTTTTGAGTTGGGGTCTTACTCTGTTGCCCAGGCTGGAGTGCAGTGACATGATCATAGCTTACTGTAGCCTCAAACTCCTGGCATCAAATGATCTTCCTGCCTTGGCCTCCCAAAGTGCTGGGATCACAAGCATGAGCCATTGCTCTGGCCTTTATTATAATTCAAATTGACCTTTCTTACATAAAAATTGTTGAATGGTTTATATCATCACTACTCTTTCTCTGACAAATGACAGATGAGCTGAATTTGCTCAAATTAAGCAAAAAAGAGGATATATTGATTCTCTTATCTGGTGAGTCTGGGCATGGCTGTATCTGGGAGCTCAAATGGTCTTAGGTATTACTAGGTCCCAGGCTGTTTTCTACTCCTGGCCCTGACTTGCTGTGTGTCAGCTTTGTTTCTAGGCAGCCTCTCTAAATCCAGAGGCAGTGATGGTCATAGGCAGTTCCTGGTTTATATTCTATAAGTTTAGCAGCTGCAGTGGAAGGCAAGATCTGCTTAGGCTTAGAGCCTGTCCCATTGCCGAGCCTCAGTGGGAACTCTGGGTAGAAAGACCTGGTCCCTGTGCCCCCCTTTAAGGCAGGCTCTGGGGTCAGTCCTACTTGAGCCACCTGGATTAAAGATAAGAGGCAGTTTCTGAAAGAAGGTTTAGTTTTGTTGCCAAAATAATAGATGCTGGGTAGGCAAAACCAATAGAAATGCAATCTAGTATTTTTGTGGGCCAATTTGATTTCTCATTCTGTAACAAGTCTGTGACCTTTAATAGACAAGCAGATATGGCTATGTCCCTTGTCCATGGTCACATAACTAACAAGTTGGCAGAGCCAGAATTTCAGTCTAACTTTGTCTGACTTCACAGCCTGGCCTCTTTCCAGTACCAGAGCTTCTTAAACTTTCTAGCGTAGCACCCCCAGTGGTAGGAAGTATGAGCACACACTCTGGAGTGTGAGGTTATGGCCCAGCAACCTATGAGAAGCCTACATTTCCTTTGAAGTCTAGTTCGTTTAATGTTAAATCATTAAAAGTTTGCATTCTACTCTATAAAATGTTCATTGCAGTGCAGAAAAAGGTTTTATATGACCTAGGGAATAAAATTGATGCTCAAAGAAGAGTCCTGTTTGTCTTGTGGCGAGCCCTGCTGGCCACATATCCTAGTATGAGAAGCTCAACACTACCCTGTGCTGGGTGTTCAGTTGCCGTTCTCTATTTTCAGCAGGGATTTAATGACTCACTCTTTAGAGTTGTAGGCAGCATAAAGTGAGGTAACACAAACATCAGAAACATAAAGAAAATTGAATTTTGTAAAGAGCACACTGTTGTCATCTCAGATTTCAAGGGTACCTCTGACCTTAAGGTTTCCTGCCAGTGCTGTACAGTTTCCCCAACCAGCTGTGGTTGTTGGCCGCCCTGCTCTTTGTGACTCATACCCAATAAACTGGTTTTGGTGAGAAAGGGCACTGTTGATGACTCAGGATACCTTTCATGTGTTTTTAGTATATTAAAGTTTGCATTCATTCTGACTTCAGTTAAGATGAACGTTATATTTTAGACTACATTTAGTTTTGTAGAAAACCATGGGGCTGTAATGTTGAAGAACAAGAATACAAAAAATAAATCTTAGTACTAAAGGTCAGTTTTCATTTTTGCAAAATACCCTCCTAAAAGGAGACTTTGAAGGTTTATTATGAGGGAATTCTTTTCCCTTGAGACTTGGATTTTTTTTTTCATTATTATTTTCATCTTATTAGGACCTTTTCATTCAAAGAACCATTATGACACAAGGCTTAGGTTGTTAGTTTTTTATTACTAATCTAGGACTGATGACTTTTCAAAAACCAAGTGTGAGTTTATAAACTTGTTAGAAGTAATTGTTTTGTATTATATAAATTAATATGTGAACTGTGATTAAAGTTTGCATTTATATCCTAAGACTGCTGTCTGCTAATGGATGTTAATAGTGATACGTACTAGAAGTTGAAGGTTGTATTGGGGTATCTTGTAATGAGTGTAATTAGTTTTGAAGAAATCTCTTAAATTCTCTCTCCAATGAAATTTCTGCCTTTCAGAGTAGAATGCATGATTATTGCCAATGATGCCACCGTCAAAGGAGGTGCCTACTACCCAGTGACTGTGAAAAAACAATTACGGGCCCAAGAAATTGCCATGCAAAACAGGCTCCCCTGCATCTACTTAGGCAAGTCACCAGAGTGGTAAAATAAACTATTATTAGCTGGTAAAATGCAAGATAGTTTGGAAGGCTGTATGTATTACATTTGGGATGGGTATTTTATAAACCTGTTGATTTCTCCTGTAATTATAAAGGAAACACAGGTTCTTTGCTGAAAACTCTGGGGGAAAGTAAACAAGAACTGTTCATAGTACTAGTGCATAATACTCATACATTTTGACGCATGCCAGTTTTTTTCTCTATGTGTTGTGTGGTTTTTTTTTTTTGTTCTCTAGATCCTGTTTTTCTTTTAACTTTATGGATCATACTATGAAAAAAATAGTAGCAAGTATTTATAGATCTCTTGAGTGCCAGGTACTGAGTTAAATGTGCAAGTATTATATAATTTGAGCAGATGTAATTTAAAGTAAATTTAATTTCCAGTGAAAGTAAACTTATATTTGAAATTAAAACACATTTAAATCAAAGAACCTGAAAGCAAAGCAGTTTAAAATGGGCCTTTCCTCCGGGCGCGGTGGCTCACGCCTGTAATCCCAGCACTTTGGGAGGCCGAGGCAGGCGGATCATGAGGTCAGGAGATGGAGACCATCCTGGCTAACACACTGAAACCTCGTCTCTACTAAAAAAAAATACAAAAAATTAGCCGAGCGTGGTGGCAGGCAGCTGTAGTCCCAGCTACTTGGGAGGCTGAGGCAGGAGAATGGTGTGAACCTGGGAGGCGGAGCTTGCAGTGAGCTGAAATCGTGCCACTGTACTCCAGCCTGGGCGACAGAGAGAGAGACTGTCTCAAAAAAAAAAAAAAAAAAAAAAAATGGGCCTTTCCTGATACTGGGTTAGTCTGATAAAATTCCAACATACGTTGTTCATGTATGCAGGTATTTGAACGGGTACTGATGTAGAGGTATTTTTTGTTTTGTGTTTTTCTGTGAAGTTGAATTTACCTGATTAACTCACAATACGAACTGCTCTGCACGTAGAGAAAACAGCAAATGAGGCCCAGCTGCTTGTAGGTGCTGTGCTGGTCTTTATAGGGGATACAGTGAGGAGGATTTTGTTGTCTCTGTCTTCAGCGAGCTCATAATGAATTGGACACAGCATATAATGTGCAACCAACAAAAGACTTAATGGTTGCAGATTCTGAACTAAGTGCTTTCTATACATTTTTCAAGTCATCCTAATATATGATATGGCTCCTTTTTTTATCTTCATTTCGTGGGTAAGGAAACCGGGGCATAGGATGGCTAGGAAACACACCTATAATCACACAGCTGTGAAGTCATGAGCTCTGCTTTGAACGCAACTGACCTGTGTACCCACCACTCCAATCTGCAATGAAAACAGTATCAGAAGGCAATATGTATAAATTATTATATGAATTCTGTGGATGGCTTTTGTATTGGTTTAGAAGAAGGAAAGATACTTTTCCACCTTAACTCTTTAAGAATTTATGATGTTTCTGGGGCTTTAGCTGGTCCTCAAAGGAGAGAAGGTTCTAACCATTTCGAGAAGAATTTTGCACAGAGGTGGGAAAGCCTGATGGGTTTGGGGCAATGAATCCTTTTGGCTGCATTGGGGGTTTGGAGAACGAGGCTCTATAACAGTTTAGAAAGACAGGGCAAGTTTTTTGTGAATGTGATTAAGAACTGATGCTGTCATTGATACAAGTTTCCCTCTGCGTAGCACATTTAGTTCATAGAGATGCTTATGTTTCTCATTTCTTGTCTTCAGTTGATTCGGGAGGAGCATACTTACCTCGACAAGCAGATGTGTTTCCAGATCGAGACCACTTTGGCCGTACATTCTATAATCAGGCAATTATGTCTTCTAAAAATATTGCACAGGTAATTTTTCATGAATAAAGTGTACAGTGGTGCTTTTTACTCTTAAGTATCTTTACGAATTAGGTACTCTGGGATGGCTTGAAAGTAAAACAGAATTTAACACAAAATCTAATCTTTTTTTTTTTTTTATACTTTAGGTTTTAGGGTACATGTGCACATTGTGCAGGTTAGTTACATACGTACACATGTGCCATGCTGGTGCGCTGCACCCACTAAATCGTCATCTAGCATTAGGTATATCTCCCAATGCTATCCCTCCCCGCTCCCCCCACCCCACCACAGTCCCCAGAGTGTGATATTCCCCTTCCTGTGTCCATGTGATCTCATTGTTCAATTCCCACCTATGAGTGAGAATATGCGGTGTTTGGTTTTTTGTTCTTGCGATAGTTTACTGAGAATGATGATTTCCAATTTCATCCATGTCCCTACAAAGGACATGAACTCATCATTTTTTATGGCTGCATAGTATTCCATGGTGTATATGTGCCACATTTTCTTAATCCAGTCTATCATTTTTGGACATTTGGGTTGGTTCCAAGTCTTTGCTATTGTGAATAATGCCGCAATAAACATACGTGTGCATGTGTCTTTATAGCAGCATGATTTATAGTCCTTTGGGTATATACCCAGTAATGGGATGGCTAGGTCAAATGGTATTTCTAGTTCTAGATCCCTGAGGAATCGCCACACTGACTTCGACAATGGTTGAACTAGTTTACAGTCCCACCAACAGTGTAAAAGTGTTCCTATTTCTCCATATCCTCTCCAGCCCCTGTTGTTTCCTGACTTTTTAATGATTGCCATTCTAACTGGTGTGAGATGGTATCTCATTGTGGTTTTGATTTGCATTTCTCTGATGGCCAGTGATGACGAGCATTTTTTCATGTGTTTTTTGGCTGCATAAATGTCTTCTTCTGAGAAGTGTCTGTTCATGTCCTTCACCCACTTTTTGATGGGGTTGTTTGTTTTTTTCTTGTAAATTTGAGTTCATTGTAGATTCTGGATATTAGCCCTTTGTCAGATGAGTAGGTTGTGAAAATTTTCTCCCATTTTGTAGGTTGCCTGTTCACTCTGATGGTAGTTTCTTTTGCTGTGCAGAAGCTCTTTAGTTTAATTAGATCCCATTTGTCAATTTTGGCTTTTGTTGCCATTGCTTTTGGTGTTTCGGACATGAAGTCCTTGCCCATGCCTATGTCCTGAATGGTAATGCCTAGGTTTTCTTCTAGGGTTTTTATGGTTTTTGGTCTAATGTTTAAGTCTTTAATCCATCTTGAATTGATTTTTGTATAAGGTGTAAGGAAGGGATCCAGTTTCAGCTTTCTACATATGGCTAGCCAGTTTTCCCAACACCATTTATTAAATAGGGAATCCTTTCCCCATTGCTTGTTTTTCTCAGGTTTGTCAAAGATAAGATGTAGGTATGCGGCGTTATTTCTGAGGGCTCTGTTCTGTTCCATTGATCTATATCTCTGTTTTGGTACCAATACCATGCTGTTTTGGTTACTGTAGCCTTGTAGTACAGTTTGAAGTCAGGTAGTGTGATGCCTCCAGCTTTGTTCTTTTGGCTTAGGATTGCCTTGGCGATGTGGGCTCTTTTTTGGTTCCATGTGAACTTTAAAGTAGTTTTTTCCAATTCTGTGAAGAAAGTCTTTGGTAGCTTGATGGGGATGGCATTGAATCTGTAAATTACCTTGGGCAGTATGGCCATTTTCACGATATTGATTCTTCCTACCCATGAGCATGGAATGTTCTTCCATTTGTTTGTATCCTCTTTTATTTCCTTGAGCAGTGGTTTGTAGTTCTCCTTGAAGAGGTCCTTCACATCCCTTGTAAGTTGGATTCCTAGGTATTTTATTCTCTTTGAAGCAATTGTGAATGAGAGTTCACTCATGATTTGGCTCTCTGTTTGTCTGTTGTTGGTATTTAAGAATGCTTGTGATTTTTGTACATTGATTTTGTATCCTGAGACTTTGCTGAAGTTGCTTATCAGCTTGAGGAGATTTTGGGCTGAGACAATGGGGTTTTCTAGATATACAATCATGTCGTCTGCAAACAGGGACAATTTGACTTCCTCTTTTCCTAATTGAATACCCTTTATTTCCTTCTCCTGCCTAATTGCCCTGGCCAGAACTTCCAACACTATGTTGAATAGGAGTGGTGAGAGAGGGCATCCCTGTCTTGTGCCAGTTTTCAAAGGGAATGCTTCCAGTTTTTGCCCATTCAGTATGATATTGGCTGTGGGTTTGTCATAGATAGCTCTTATTATTTTGAAATACGTCCCATCAATACCTAATTTATTGAGAGTTTTTAGCATGAAGGGTTGTTGAATTTTGTCAAAGGCTTTTTCTGCATCTATTGAGATAATCATGTGGTTTTTGTCTTTGGCTCTGTTTATATGCTGGATTACATTTACTGATTTGCATATATTGAACCAGCCTTGCATCCCAGGGATGAAGCCCACTTGATCATGGTGGATAAGCTTTTTGATGTGCTGCTGGATGCGTTTTGCCAGTATTTTATTGAGGATTTTTGCATCAATGTTCATCAAGGATATTGGTCTAAAATTCTCTTTTTTGGTTGTGTCTCTGCCCGGCTTTGGTATCAGAATGATGCTGGCCTCATAAAATGAGTTAGGGAGGATTCCCTCTTTTTCTACTGATTGGAATAGTTTCAGAAGGAATGGTACCAGTTCCTTCTTGTACCTCTGGTAGAATTCGGCTGTGAATCCATCTGGTCCTGGACTCTTTTTGGTTGGTAAACTATTGATTATTGCCACAATTTCAGCTCCTGTTATTGGTCTATTCAGAGATTCAACTTCTTCCTGGTTTAGTCTTGGGAGAGTTTGTGTGTCGAGGAATTTATCCATTTCTTCTAGATTTTCTAGTTTATTTGCGTAGAGGTGTTTGTAGTATTCTCTGATGGTAGTTTGTATTTCTGTGGGATCGGTGGTGATATCCCCTTTATCATTTTTTATTGCGTCTATTTGATTCTTCTCTCTTTTTTTCTTTATTAGTCTTGCTAGCGGTCTATCAATTTTGTTGATCCTTTCAAAAAACCAGCTCCTGGATTCATTAATTTTTTGAAGGGTTTTTTGTGTCTCTATTTCCTTCAGTTCTGCTCTGATTTTAGTTATTTCTTGCCTTCTGCTAGCTTTTGAACGTGTTTGCTCTTGCTTTTCTAGTTCTTTTAATTGTGATGTTAGGGTGTCAATTTTGGATCTTTCCTGCTTTCTCTTGTGGGCATTTAGTGCTATAAATTTCCCTCTACACACTGTTTGAATGCGTCCCAGAGATTCTGGTATGTTGTGTCTTTGTTCTTGTTGGTTTCAAAGAACATCTTTATTTCTGCCTTCATTTCGTTATGTACCCAGTGGTCATTCAGGAGCAGGTTGTTCAGTTTCCATGTAGTTGAGCAGTTTTGAGTGAGATTCTTAATCCTGAGTTCTAGTTTGATTGCACTGTGGTCTGAGAGATAGTTTATTATAATCTCTGTTCTTTTACATTTGCTGAGGAGAGCTTTACTTCCAAGTATGTGGTCAATTTTGGAATAGGTGTGGTGTGGTGCTGAAAAAAATGTATATTCTGTTGATTTGGGGTGGAGAGTTCTGTAGATGTCTATTAGGTCCGCTTGGTGCAGAGCTGAGTTCAATTCCTGGGTATCCTTGTTGACTTTCTGTCTCGTTGATCTGTCTAATGTTGACAGTGGGGTGTTAAAGTCTCCCATTATTAATGTGTGGGAGTCTAAGTCTCTTTGTAGGTCACTCAGGACTTGCTTTATGACTCTGGGTGCTCCTGTATTGGGTGCATATATATTTAGGATAGTTAGCTCTTCTTGTTGAATTGATCCCTTTACCATTATGTAATGGCCTTCTTTGTCTCTTTTGATCTTTGTTGGTTTAAAGTCTGTTTTATCAGAGACTAGGATTGCAACCCCTGCCTTTTTTTGTTTTCCATTTGCTTGGTAGATCTTCCTCCATCCTTTTATTTTGAGCCTATGTGTGTCTCTGCACGTGAGATGGGTTTCCTGAATACAGCACACTGATGGGTCTTGACTCTTTATCCAGTTTGCCAGTCTGTGTCTTTTAATTGGAGCATTTAGTCCATTTACATTTAAAGTTAATATTGTTATGTGTGAATTTGATCCTGTCATTATGATGTTAGCTGGTGATTTTGCTTGCTAGTTGATGCAGTTTCTTCCTAGTCTTGAAGGTCTTTACATTTTGGCTTGATTTTTGCAGTGGCTGGTACCGGTTGTTCCTTTCCATGTTTAGCGCTTCCTTTTTTAGGGCAGGCCTGGTGGTGACAGAATCTCTCAGCATTTGCTTGTCTGTAAAGGATTTTATTTCTCCTTCACTTATGAAGCTTAGTTTGGCTGGATATGAAATTCTGGGTTGCAAATTCTTTTCTTTAAGAATGTTGAATATTGGCCCCTAGTCTCTTCTGGCTTGTAGGTTTCTGCCGAGAGATCCGCTGTTAGTCTGATGGGCTTCCCTTTGAGGGTAACCCGACCTTTCTCTCTGGCTGCCCTTAACATTTTTTCCTTCATTTCAACTTTGGTGAATCTGACAATTATGTGTCTTGGAGTTGCTCTTCTCGAGGAGTATCTTTGTGGTGTTCTGTGTATTTCCTGAATCTGAACGTTGGCCTGCCTTGCTAGATTGTGGAAGTTCTCCTGGATAATATCCTGCAGAGTGTTTTCCAACTTGGTTCCATTCTCCCCATCACTTTCAGGTACACCAATCAGACGTAGATTTGGTCTTTTCACATAGTCCCATATTTCTTGGAGGCTTTGCTCATTTCTTTTTATTCTTTTTTCTCTAAACTTCCCTTCTCGCTTCATTTCATTCATTTCATCTTCCATTGCTGATACCCTTTCTTACAGTTGATCGCTTCAGCTCCTGAGGCTTCTGCATTCTTCACGTAGTTCTCGAGCCTTGGTTTTCAGCTCCATCAGCTCCTTTAAGCACTTCTCTGTATTGGTTATTCTAGTTATACATTCTTCTAAATTTTTTTCAAAGTTTTCAACTTCTTTGCCTTTAGTTTGAATGTCCTCCCGTAGCTCAGAGTAATTTGATCGTCTGAAGCCTTCTTCTCTCAGCTCATCAAAGTCATTCCCCATCCAGCTTTGTTCCGTTGCTGGTGAGGAACTGCGTTCCTTTGGAGGAGGAGAGGTGCTCTGCGTTTTAGAGTTTCCAGTTTTTCTGTTCTGTTTTTTCCCCATCTTTGTGGTTTTATCTACTTTTGGTCTTTGATGATAGTGATGTACAGATGGGTTTTTGGTGTGGATGTCCTTTCTGTTTGTTAGTTTTCCTTCTAACAGACAGGACCCTCAGCTGCAGGTCTGTTGGAATACCCTGCCGTGTGAGATGTCAGTGTGCCCCTGCTGGGGGGTGCCTCCCAGTTAGGCTGCTCGGGGGTCAGGGGTCAGGGACCCACTTGAGGAGGCAGTCTGCCCGTTCTCAGATCTCCAGCTGTGTGCTGGGAGAACCACTGCTCTCTTCAAAGCTGTCAGACAGGGACATTTAAGTCTGCAGAGGTTACTGCTGTCTTTTTGTTTGTCTGTGCCCTGCCCCCAGAGGGGAGCCTACAGAGGCAGGCAGGCCTCCTTGAGCTGTGGTGGGCTCCACCCAGTTCGAGCTTCCTGGCTGCTTTGTTTACCTTAAGCAAGCCTGGGCAATGGCGAGCGCCCCTCCCCCAG
The DNA here is from genome assembly GCF_000001405.40 of Homo sapiens. Lineage (NCBI taxonomy): Eukaryota > Metazoa > Chordata > Mammalia > Primates > Hominidae > Homo > Homo sapiens. Next base: position 1,140,141 of record NT_187651.1, read on the forward strand.
CCTCGCTGCCGCCTTGCAGTTTGATCTCAGACTGCTGTGCTAGCAATCAGCGAGACTCCGTGGGCGTAGGACCCTCCGAGCCAGGTGCGGGATATAATCTCCTGGTGCGCCGTTTTTTAAGCTGGTCCGAAAAGCGCAATATTCGGGTGGGAGTGACCCGATTTTCCAGGTGCGTCCGTCACCCCTTTCTTTGACTCGGAAAGGGAACTCCCTGACCCCTTGCGCTTCCCAAGTGAGGCAATGCCTCGCCCTGCTTCGGCTCGCACACGGTGCGCGCACCCACTGACCTGCGCCCACTGTCTGGCACTCCTTAGTGAGATGAACCCAGTACCTCAGATGGAAATGCAGAAATCACCCGTCTTCTGCGTCGCTCACGCTGAGAGCTGTAGACCGGAGCTGTTCCTATTCGGCCATCTTGGCTCCTCCCCAAAATCTAATCTTTTTCCACAGAGAGTATCTAAAGGTTGTCTCCAATTAGAGCTTTTTATTAACTATAGGAATACTCCTATACTGTAATAAGATTATTAAAACAGGTTTTAGGCCAGGCGCGGTGGCTCACGCCTGGAATCCCAGCACTTTGGGAGGCCGAGGTGGGGGGATCACGAGGTCAGGAGATCGAGACTATCCTGGCTAACGCGGTGAAACCCCGTCTCTATTAAAAATACAAAAAATTAGCTGGGCGTGGTGGCACATGCCTGTAGTCCCAGCAACTTGGGAGACTGAGGCAGGAGAAATGCTTGAACCTGGGAGGCAGAGGTTGCAGTGAGCTGAGATCATGCCACTGCACTCCAGCCTGGCGACGAAGTGAGACTCCGTCTCAAACAAACAAAGAACAGGTTTTTAAAAGGAAAACAGGGTTTAAAAAGAAAGGGCTCCAGTAATTCCTTTTTTAGGGCTATACCCTAGGGAAACTCTGATATATGTATGAAGAGATACTTAGAAGAATAATTCATGGCCAGGCACTGTGACTTGTGCCTGAAATCCCAGCACTTTGGGAGGCTGAAGTGAGAGGATCACTTGAGTCCAGGAGTGAGAGACCAGCCTGGGCAACATAGGGAGACCCTGTCTCTACAAAAAAATAAAAAATTAGCCGAGTGTGGTGTGGCACATGCCTATGGTTCCAGCTTTCAGGAGGCTGAGGTAGGAGGATCACTTGAGCCTTGGAGTTTGAGGCTACAGCGAGCTGTGGTTGCACCACTGCACTCCAGCCTGAGAAACAGAATGAGACCCTGTCTCACAAAAGAAAAAGAAAAGAAAAGTTCATTATAGCATTGTTTGTTAGAGCAAAAGTTAGAGAATAACCTAACTGTTCATTCATGGGAGATTAATAATACAGTTTTTGTCTGTTAAAAGGAATGAACTAAAATTGCATCTGTCAATATAAGTCTCAAAAAGTAGATTGAGTAAAAAACATAGTAGAATCAATATATGGCTATTTACTATGTATGTAAAGGTTAAATACATCGAATCCTACTGTATATTATTTGTGTATAAACATGCACGTGGGAGCGATACACTCAGCTTTAGAACAGTGGTTGCCTCTGAGGTGGGAAGGAAGAGACAGGGATGAGGTAGGAGGTAGATAGGCGCTTCAACTATATCTCAAATACTTTATTCCTTTTTTTTTCTTTTTTTTTTTTTGAGATGGAGTCTTGCTCTGTTGCCCAGGCTGGAGTGCAGTGGTGCTACCTCGGCTCACTGCAAACTTTGCCTCCCGGGTTCACGCTATTCTCCTGCCTCAGCCTCCTGAGTAGCTGGGACTACAGGCGCCCACCACCATGCCCGGCTAATTTTTTGTATTTTTAGTAGAGACAGGGTTTCACCACATTAGCCAGGATGGTCTCGATCTCCTGACCTCGTGATCTGCCGACCTCGTGATCCGCCCGCCTCGGCCTCCCAAAGTGCTGGGATAACAGGCATGAGCCACCGCGCCTGGTCAAATACTTTATTCCTTAAAAAAATGATCTGAAGTAAATTTTGCTTAATGTCAAGGTTTATTAAGATTAGGTATTAGGCTAATGGATGTTTGTTATTCTGTAATTTTTTTTGCATGGTTGGAATATTTATAATACAGATGCTGCTATTGTGTTTTCATTTCTTTATTGGATTTAAGTTTGTCATATTTTTATTAATATTCTGATTAATCTATACTTGCAATTATTATATATCTTTTTGATTTTTCTATCAACATAGTTGGTTGTAATTGTTTATGGTATATTTTACTGTTACACAGTGACCATGCCTACCTATATGCTTTATTTATCTAAATAGAAACTTCGGCTTTGCTTACTTTTGCACAGATGGCCGTTGCATTATCTATATGAAATTCGTATTGTGGTCTCCATTTAATCTGGTATTATATTTTTTTCTTTTAGAGAAACAGGATCTTGCTATGTTGGCCAGGCTGGTCTCAAATTCTTGGCCTCAAGGATCCTTCTGCCTTAGCCTCCCAATGTGCTGGGATTACAGGCCTGAGCCAACATGCTGGGCCTGGTGTTACAATTTTTATAGCTTACCTTTTATTAGTTTCCTAGGGCTGTTGTAACAAATTATCACAAATTGAGTGGCTTAAAGCAACAGCAATTTATGTATTTATTTAGAGATGAATGTCTTGGTATGTTGCTCCAGCTGGTCTTGAACTCCTGGCCTCAGATCATCCTCCTACCTTTGCCTTGTGGGTAGCTGGGATTATAGGTGTGAGCCACAATGCTTGGCTAACAGAAATTTATTCTGTGAAGTTCTGGAAGCCATAACTCTGCAGTCAAGGCAGCAGCGGGGCTGTGCTTCCAGGGGACATTCTGTTCCTTTCCTAGCCTCTTCCAGCTCCTGGTGGCTCCAGGTATTCCCCTGGCTTATGGCTACCTCCCTCCCATGTCTGCCTCCATCTTCACGTGACCTTCTCTGGGTATCTGGGTCTTCTCCTTCTCTATCTTATAAGAACACTTGTCACTGGATTTAGGGACCACCCAGGTAATCCACAAGATTCTTAATTATATCTGCAAAGATTCCTTTTTCAAATGAGACCATCTTTACAGATTCTGGTGATTAGGATATGGCTATATCTTTTTATCTTTTGTTGGGGGAGGCTACTATTTAAGCACTATAGCCCTCTATCATCTAACATGTTCTTTGCTGTGTCTTTCTGCTGCCAGGTGGAGTCTCTATTCCTGTGGAACTTTGAAGTTTAAAGTGCTTTAAAATCAGATCTTTTAAAAATCAAAAGTGTACTTACTTCTTGGAATAAGCAATACCTGCTTATGATAAAAAACTCAAAATGTCTGAAGGGCATTTGACTGAATGACTGTCTTCCTTTTACTTATTTTATTTTTGTTTTTTAAAAAATATTAGGGCTGGGCGTGGTGGCTCATGCCTGTAATCCCAGTACTTTGAGAGGCCAAGGCAGGAGGATTGCCTGAGCCCAGGTGAGACCAGCCTGGGCACACACCTGTGGTCCTAGCTGTTTGGGAGGCTGAAGCAGAAGGATTACTTGAGCCCAGGAGGTTGAAGCTTCAGTGAGCCATGATTGTACCACTGCACTTCAGCCTGAGTGACAGAATGAGACACTGTCTCAAGAAAATATACATATATTTATAATATATAATATATCAGAGAAGGAAGGTGGAGTAAGTACTAGTGTTTTCAGTATGAAGAAAAGTGCTCACACATAGCCGGACATCTTCAGTGCAGATTTCAGGTTTAGGGCTCATATATTCAGGAAGGGGTCAGAAAAGATACTATGGAGACTCAATATATGATAACAGAAATTTCTTTTTAAATTCCAAGAGGTTCATATTATATATCTAATTCATATTATATAGTTCATATTATATATATATGGTTCATATTATGTATAACGTATATAATACACACACACACACACACACATATATCAGTATTTCTTTGAGCTACTTCTCTTAGCCTTTATTTTTTTCTATTTCCCTTAAATAGGAAAGGAGGTTTAGGGTTAAGGTTTGCCTTCTCATATTTTAATGAACCGTATTTTTAAGTTTCCATAGTATCTGTTCTGAGCCTTTCCTGAATATATGAGCCTAAACCTGATATCTGCACTGAAGATGTCAGGCTATGTTTCTCCTCTTCTCAAAACCTAAACCCGTCATTTATGATTTTAATACTAACCTCTCCTTTTTGCTTCATCATTTATTCCCTTTCTCTTACTCTAATTAATTTTCTTGGGCAAGGCACGGTGGTCCACACCTCTAATCCTAGCACTTTGGGAGGCTAAGGTGGGAGATTGCTTGAGGCCAGGAGTTTAAGATC